>NT_167247.2:680003-988665 GCF_000001405.40 Homo sapiens
GGCCATAGTTCTAAAACTAAGGAACAAACTTAGTAAGGAAAAAAAAAAAACAAGAATGAAAAAAACAAATGAAACTTCACACAGGAATTCCCCAAGGCCACTGATTCATATTACAGGTGTGGAAAGGCATCCTGCTAATTCCTAAAATCTTTCTCAACACCAGGGGACACTCTCCCTTTGGATTTCTATGTCTAGAGACCTGTGGCTCATTAAAAGGCAGACTGATTTTTCAGAAAGAGAGAAAGAGGTTTTTAAAGATGAGTTTATGCTGCAATCCCAACATGAACTATTACTTCAAATATGTTTTAACTTTTATAATCACTGGGAATATAAACATGAATAGCTTCCTTAACTGTGAATCAGAACACTCAATCAGGTAAGAGAATGAACTAGGAGACAGGCTGTGAAGTTACACATAATCTCAATATGTTAATGAATGATCTATCTACTTGCTAGTATTAAACACCCAGTATCTAGATCTCATTTTCTATCTAATGGTGGACTCCTCATTGTGTTTGTGAGATATGAAGGCCCTTGACTTACCATGTTTTTATTGCCATACCTTGTTCTCAATTCAACATATCTAGTTCTCTAGACATTATCCAAAGCAAACATGTGATTTCTAAATGGTGAAATTTCAGTGAAGGAAACGATTTACTACAGACCACTCTGACTGCTAATTTTCTCAGAAGCTAGGAATATATGTTTTACCATATGGATTTTTGGGACAATTTTGTTTTCTGGGTCCAAGAACCAAAAATTATATTTGAAATATAATTTGTATTTTAAACAGGAGTGGTAATTTTTAAATATACAAAATATACATGGTCATTCAAGAAAGTTATTGTGAATTATTTGAAGGCAGTCCTTCATGGAGGTATAGTAAAAGTTAGATTGTTTTTCAAAACTTCTTCCCAGCTATGAAGCCAAAAAACCCATGGGCTCTCTAGAAGTGTTCCCTTGTTCATTATTTTTTTTTACCCTAGTCACATCAAATTATATTCTTTTCTCCTCAGTGGTTTCTAAAACCTTGAATGATACTCCTTTTATAGGAAGCACTCCAATGTCAGCATCTCTTTTCAATTTCTTTACAGTTCTACTAGCTCTCTCAGTGCCTCTCACTTCTGTAAGT
Source organism: Homo sapiens (assembly GCF_000001405.40). Lineage (NCBI taxonomy): Eukaryota > Metazoa > Chordata > Mammalia > Primates > Hominidae > Homo > Homo sapiens. The sequence continues at coordinate 681,136 of NT_167247.2, forward strand.
TCCCCACACATCCTGACTTCTTCCCTCCCAATATACAAGAGCTAATCCATTACAGCCTAATGAAAAGAACAAAGAAGAAGCTACTTCACAATATTATGTCTGCTTTTATTAGTAAACCTAATGAAGATAATACCAGTACTTTGCAAATTATGGAGAAAAAATTTTTCTAGAAAATGTAATGGATCTAGAAGAGAAGAAGGTGAATTTCACTTGAGGTAGAATATTCCTTAATATCTGATGAGTGAGTTTATTTCAGGCAAAATAAAAACAGAACTTAAGAAAATAGATCACAAGAGAAGACAATTTCAAGAAGGCTGAATATATATTTTGAGGAGAGGTTAGTATTGGTGAAAAAAGAAGAGAAACTACTGAATCTATCAGAGGAAATACTATTCTTATCCAGGGATTCACAGATTTCCTAGGAAAGAAAGAGTCTAAGATCAACTGGTGAATAAAAGCACAATAACATTTGCAATGAAAAAAATAATTTGGGATTCTATTTCAAAAAATGTATAAAGGGTCAGATTATAGGAAGAAACTGAGCTCATCATCAGATATAATAGTGATGAAATTTTAAATATTCAGGTTAATATGTGATTAATGTGGTCATGTTTCTTACCCCAGTAGGTCACTGCGACATTTCAGGGATGTGGGTCAGGAAGAGATCAGTAAGAGAATATCTCTAATTCATTTACATTCTAAAATGAGGAAATGCAATTACTACTACTCTTTCAAGATTTAAAAAAAAAATCGTGGTTTTGATGCATTGAAACCTGTCTTTTTATTTAAGTTAACATCCTACTGGTGGTTTCTTACTAGGCCAAGAGATAGCTATGTGGTATGCTTAAAAATTGCCCCCTGTGAGAGCTGCTTGGGAAGATGAAAGGAAAGCTGTGACCGAATGAAGATATTCACAGGCCCAGAGATGTGGCTAATGCCTGTAATCGCAGCACTTTGGGAGGCCGAGGCAGGCAGATAACTTGAGGTCAGGAATTCAAGACCAGCCTGGCATACACGGTGAAACCCCATCTCTATTAAAAATACAAAAATTAGCCAGGTGTGGTGGTGGACTCCTGTAATCCCAGTTACTTGGGAAGCTGAGGCGAGAGACTCTCTTGAACCCAGGAGGCGGAGGTTGCAGTGAGCCAAGATCACACCACTGCACTTCAGCCTGGGAGAAAGAGTGAGAATCTCAAAAAAAAAGAATGAAAATATTCACAGCCAGAGAAGACTGTAGGCTAGCAACGTTTTCTGATTCCTGGGAGAAAGAAATATATTAATGAAAAACATAATAAAAAAATAGTTGTGTCAGAGATCATAACAGATATATATATATATATCTTTAATATTTAGCCATCTAAAAGCCAAAAATGTAAAACTTGTGAGGTTGAATCATGCAAAACAACAATACTCTCCCTCCAGATATTCTTGGCTTGGTAAGAAAATTCTGAGCTGGAAGGATTCTGATTGTGATTAGTGTTCCATACATTATTTTGTCTTTTGTCTGAAGCAATGCTGAATACAACCTCAGTCACTGAATTTCTCCTTTTGGGAGTGACAGACATTCAAGAACTGCAGCCTTTTCTCTTCGTTGTTTTCCTTACCATCTACTTCATCAGTGTGGCTGGGAATGGAGCCATTCTGATGATTGTCATCTCTGATCCTAGACTCCATTCCCCTATGTATTTCTTCCTGGGAAACCTGTCCTGCCTGGACATCTGCTACTCCAGCGTAACACTGCCAAAAATGCTGCAGAACTTCCTCTCTGCACACAAAGCAATTTCTTTCTTGGGATGCATAAGCCAACTCCATTTCTTCCACTTCCTGGGCAGCACAGAGGCCATGTTGTTGGCCGTGATGGCATTTGACCGCTTTGTGGCTATTTGCAAGCCACTTCGCTACACTGTCATTATGAACCCTCAGCTCTGTACCCAGATGGCCATCACAATCTGGATGATTGGTTTTTTCCATGCCCTGCTGCACTCCCTAATGACCTCTCGCTTGAACTTCTGTGGTTCTAACCGTATCTATCACTTCTTCTGTGATGTGAAGCCATTGCTAAAGCTGAGCTTAATCAGTGGCTGCTCAGTACTGTCACAGGGACAATCGCCATGGGCCCCTTCTTTCTCACATTACTCTCCTATTTCTACATTATCACCCATCTCTTCTTCAAGACTCATTCTTTTAGCATGCTCCGCAAAGCACTGTCCACTTGTGCCTCCCACTTGATGGTAGTTATTCTTTTGTATGCACCTGTTCTCTTCACCTATATTCATCATGCCTCAGGGACCTCCATGGACCAGGACCGGATCACTGCCATCATGTATACTGTGGTCACTCCAGTACTAAACCCACTGATCTACACTTTGAGGAACAAGGAAGTGAAAGGGGCCTTTAATAGAGCAATGAAAAGGTGGCTTTGGCCTAAAGAAATCTTGAAGAACTCTTCTGAAGCATAAATAAACAATTAAAAAGATGAGTTTGTAATTACATTGTTTCTTAAATTATTTAGAAATGTACAACAGAGGGAACTGGATAAAACAAAAATATATGGAAAAATATGCTGTAGTTGTATTTAACAATGCTTTCCTGGATTATATAAGGGACATTTGAATGAATGGGATACTAGCCATGGAACTCTACTGCTGACTATGTTTTGAAGATATCAGTTGATAAAATTGATGTTAGGTTTTTTATATGTTCTTATGATGAAATTGGGTATAGAAATATGCCTGTTTTTCCCATATATCAAATATATGGATAATACTTGGGTCTATTTATCTATCTGGTCCCTCTAGGTTAATGCATTATAATATTATAAATAAAATTATTATGCTTTGATATTTTGAGGATTTTACTTTAGGGCCATAGTTACTCAACTGGAAAAGAATATGCTAACTGACGTATGAGTTAAGGAGAATTTTTAAGGGGTGGGTCTTGATTTCTTATTCTTCAAACAAGGAGACAAGTAATTAAAGCAAATGACATTGTAATCACTAAATAACAACAACAACAAAAACCCTGACAGTTCATCTAAATAGTTTTGGCACCTCTGTCTCCAGATATCTCTTATTAGTCAACTGTCCACACCCTCAATGATTACTTAAAATATTAAAAATCGGAGATAATTTAACAAAGCTCTTAAGACTCTTTCAATCTCGTTAGGATGTTATTGTTCCCTCAGCCTTTAATTGCGGAAGATGACGACTTTATCAAAATTTTATTTTCTTTTTCTTACTTGGCACCAAACTCATACTAAGCAAAGGCATAGAAGTCATAATTATTGAAGTATTTCTAGACATGAACTGCTATGTTCCTCACTTTTTAAGTTCCTATAAATGGCTTCTGTCCCTGAAAAAATGGTGGATTCTATAATTTATAAATATTTAAAGAATAGACAGAAAATACTATGAAAAGGCATTTTAAGCTGGTGGACTGACCCTTCAAGGTCCCTGCATGCACTTTTGTAAATCTAAACAATTTTATTCTGACTTCTCTCCATGCTTCTTTTGTCTTCTAACTTCACCTTCTTTGGTCCCTCAATTCCAGTTTAGTTTATAATAAAACAAAACAACAATGTGTGTGTGGAGATGGCAACTCCTAATCTCAACTGTCCCACACTATCAGTAATATATTTGATGCATATTTTTATACAATATGTTTTTTCTGTCATTTCTGGTGGTGAGAATCTGCCACATAATTCAAACTTCAGAGAGTTTGTGAACTGTAGAAGAGCACATGGGGTTCTGGTTAACTATTAGTGCATAACACATTAGGACCCCAAAATTCAATCGCTTAAAACACTTAAGTTACATGCTTTGTTGGGTAAGAAATTTGGAAAAACACAGCAGAGAATGGTTGACTCTGATCCATAATGTCTCTGACCTTTGCTGGAATGACTTCAGTCTGGTCACGGAATAGCTGAGAGCTGAGTAAGTCTCTCTCTCTATTTCTTTTTCTCCTCCCTTAATTGCTCCTTGTGACTATCATATGCTTCTTCAACAGGGAAGCCTCAGACAGACTTTTTCATGTTCCAGTAGACCACGGCAAAAGCTGCCAGCCTGGGGCTGAGATTGACCAGTAATAAAATGTCTCCTATTCAAAAAAGCCCAGGATCTGATGGCTTTATTGATGTATACTACCAAACATTTATAGGATAATTAATGCCAATCTTCTTAAACTCACTCAAAAATATGAAAAGGAAGAAATACTTTCAAACTCACTTTATGAGGTCAGCATTACCCTAATACCAAAGCCAGACAACGCAACTATAAGGAAATGCAGTTACAGGCCAATATCCCTGATGAACATAGATGCAAAAATCCTCAATGAAAACTAGCAAAATGAATTCAACAGCACATTAAAATGATCATACACCATGACTAAGTGGGATTCATCCTTAGGATGCAAGAATGGGTTAACATACACAAATTAATAAATATGATATGCCACATTAACATACTGAGGGATAAAAACCATATGATAATAGGTGCAGAAGAAGCATTTGATAAAATTCAATATTCTTTCATAACTAAAAGAAACTTTCAACAAATTAGGTATAGAAGAAACATAGCTTAATGTAATAAAGATAATGTATATCAAGTCCACTGCTATTCTCATTATCAGTGTTGGAAAGCTAAAAGCTTTTCTTCCGATATCAGGAGCAAGTCAAGGAGGCCCACTTTCACAATTTCTCTTCAATATAATTCTGACATTCCTAGCTATAGCAATTACACAAAAGAAATAAATAAAAGGCATCCAGACTAAAAAGGAAGAAGTAAAATTTTCTGTTTGCAGATGACTGGATCTTACATCTAGAAAACCCTAATGACTACACCAAAAACTGTGAGAACTAATAAATTTAGTTAAGTTCACAGGATACAAAATTAACTTACAAAAGCCAGTTGCATTTTTACAACAATGATCTATTTGAATAGGAAATCAAGAAAACAATTCTATTTACAATAATATCAAAGGTAAATAAAATACTTAGGGATAAATCTAACCAAGAAGGTGAAAGATCTGTACCTTGAAAACTATAAGGCATGGATGACAGAAATTGAAAAAGATACAAATAAATGGAAAGATATTCTTTATTCATGGATTGGAAGAATTCATATTGTCAAAATGCTCATACTTTCCTAAGCAAACTGTAGATTCTTTACAATCCCTATCAATATTCTAATGGAATTTTTTACAGAAATAGCAAAAGTACTAAAATTCTTATGGAACCACAAAAGACTCCAAATAGCCAAGGCTATCTTGAGCAAAAAGAACAAAGCTGGAGGCACAACTACCTGAACTCAAAATATACCACAAAGCTATAGTAATCAAAACAGTATGATACTGGCATAAAAACAGATACATAGAACAATGGAACAGAATAGAGAGCCCAGAAATAAATCTATGTACTTATGGTCAGTTGGTCTTTGGCAAAGGTGCCAAGAACATACAATGGGAAAAGAATAGTTTCTCCAATAAATTGTGTTGGAAAAACTTAATATTCCACCTAAAGAAGAATGAAATTAAACCATTGTCTCAAACAATACGCAAAAATCAATTTAATTGGATTAAAAACTGAAAGGCAAGACCTGAAACTAAAACTACTGGAAGAAAACAGGGAAAAACTTCTCAATGGTGGTCTGGGAAATGATATTTTTAAAATATCATACGTAAAGCACAGGAAACAAAATCAAAAATAAATACGATTCTACCAAACTAAATAGTTCCTATTTAACAAAAGAAAACATCAACAGAATGAAGAGATAACCTATGAAATGGGAAAACAATATTTCATAAAGAGTTAATATCCAAAATATACATTTTTTAAAAACTCAATAGCAAGAAAACAAATAGCCTAGTTTAAAAATGAGGAAAGAATCTAAATAGACATTTTTTCAATGAAATAGATATTTCCACACAAATGGCCAAGTGTATTTTTTAATGTTCAACATCATTAAATCAAAGGAAATACAAACTACAACCACGAGATATCACTTCACATCTGTTAGAATGGCTTTTATCAAAAAGACAAAAAATAACAAGTATTAATGAGGATATAAAAAGAGAACCTTTGTACATTGTTTTTGGGAATTTACATTTGTACAGCCATTATGGGGAACATATAGAGATTCCTCAAAAAACATAAAGGTAGAAATACCATATGATTCAGTAATCCCACTTCTGGGTATATGTCTAAAGGAAATAAAATCAGTATTTCAAAACCAAACATTGTATGTTCTCACTGATATGTGGGAGCTAAGCTATAAGGATGCAAATACATAAGAATGATACAGTGGACTTAGGGGACTTGGGGTGTAGAGTGGGAGGGGGGGTGAAGGATAAAAGACTACAAATACGGTGCAGTGTATACTGCTTGGGTGATGAGTGCACCAAAATCTCACAAATCACCACTAAAGAACTTACTCATGTAACCAAATACTACTTGTACCCCAATAACCTATGGAAAAATAAAAAAAAAATTAGTATTTCAAAGACATATCTGCACTCTTGTGTTCATTGCAGCATGATTCTCAATAGCCAAGATACAGAATTAGCCCAAAGGTCCATCAAAACAGAGAAGTGGATTTAAAAATGTGACCTATATAATGTGCATATAGCGTGGTGATTATAGTTAACAATACTGTATTATATACTTGAAATTTTCTAAACTAGAAGATCATAAATGTTCTCACCACACACATACAAAAGGTTGTAACTATGTGAGGTGATGGATGTGTTAATTGGCTTAATTGTGGTAATCGTTTCACAATGTATACATATCTCAAAACATCACAGTAAACATCATAAATATATACAACTTCATGTGTCAGTCATACCTTAATAAAGTTAAGAGGAAGAAAACGACCACCAAACCCTCTAGGCAGGGGAATATATCAATAGGAACTTTAAAAACTGAAAAGCGAAGAAAACAAAGACTTATTAAAGCAGAGAAGAATATTCAAGGATTCTGGAAAAACTCCAAAATATGTAATACATACAATGGGAATATCAGAAGGAGTAGAAAAGTAGATAGGAACAGAAGAAATATTTGAAGCAATAACTGAAAATTTCCCCAAATTAATATGAGACATCAAACTTCAAATCTAGGAGGCTCAAGGAATACCAAGAAGCATAAATGCCAGAAAAACTATGGCTAGGAATATCATTTTTAAACTATGGAAAATTAAACAAAAATCAGAAAGTCAAAGATTTTTTTTAAATCATGAAGAAGCCAGAGGATAAAAAATACCATACCTTTAGGGAAGAAAAGATGACATCTGAGTTCGCAGAAGCTACAAAAGTTAGAAGAAAATAGAGTGAAATATTTAAAATTTTTGATAGAAGAAAAACCAATCTAGAATTCTGCACTACATGAAATTATCCTTCAAAAGTGAATGAGAAATAAACCTTCTCAGAGGAACAAAAATTGAGGGAATTTATTGCCAATAGACTTGCCTGGTAAAAAGTGATAAAATAAATTTTTTAGAGAGTAATAAAATTATACAAGTGAGACATTTCAATCCACCTTTAAGAACAGAAGAGCATTGAAGAAGAAATAAGTGAAAGTAAAATAAAAGAAAAAATATCTAATTACGTATGCTTATGTAAGTGTGTGTGTGTGTGTGTATGCTTTCATATGCTTAGGATGGTTTCATAACTTTGCTCTTGTGAAAAGTGCTGCAATTAACATACACATGCAGGTGTCTTGTTTGTACCATGATTTATTTTCCTTTGGGTAGATATCTAGTATTGGGATTGCTGAATCAAAGGGTAGTTCTAATTTTAGCCCTTTAAGAAATCTTCATACTGTTTTCCATAGAGGTTGTACTAATTTATATTCTCATCAACAGTATATAAGCATTCCCTTTTCTCTGCATTCTCACCAACATCTCTTGTTTTTGACTTTTTAATAATAGTTACTATTACTGGTATGAGATGATATCTCAGTGTGGTTTTAATTTGCACTTCTCTGATGACTAGCAATGTTGAGCTTTTTTTATATGTTTGTAGGTTTTGTAGGCTGATTGTATGTCTTCTTTTAAATGTAAGACCTGAAACTATAAAAATTTTAGAAGAAAACCTAGGAAAAACTCTTCTGAACATTGGCCTAGGCAAAGAATTTGTGACTAAGACCTCAAAAGCAAATGCAACAAAAATAAAAATAGACAAACAGAACTTAATTAAACTAAAAGGCTTCTGCACAGTGAAGGGAATAATCAACAGAGTAAACAAACAACCTACAGAATGGGAAAACATATTTGCAAATTATGCACCTAATACGGGACTGGTATCCAGAACTTACAAGGAACTTAAACAACTCAACAAGAAAAACAAATAAATAACCCCATTAAAAAGTGGACAAAGGAAATTTTTGTATTTAGTATATGCTTGAAATGTTTGTATTTTAAAATGTCAAAAGAAAAAAAAATTAGTACCTAACATTATCCTTTCGCACTGTGCCAAGAGTAGACATTCATTATAGTGCTTTTACATCTGTGAACACCCCCACTACATTGTGATCATTTCCTAGATTCCTTAACAGCTGGTAACAACCATGGAAATTAGGTCCTACCAATCAGCAAGACTATGCATGTGGAATTCAGTCTTCTCTGCATGAAACAGAGGAATCTGGTCCTTCTGGAGCATCAGTGATGGATCTAGAAGTACTCTAGGGTTGAGTAATGATGGCAGTGATATTTACGCCAACAAGAGACCCTCTGTGTTTCTGCATCTCATTCCTGGCAGAATAATTCAGAGTCTGACTCTCTTTACCTACAGGATAGTGTGTGAGCTATCAAATATTATATAAGAAAAAACAGCAGCTTAAATTAGCCAGGGTAGCTTATGTTGTTTGCAACTGAAACCACACCAAGAAAATTCACTTCTCTCAATTACTCACTCCTGATTTTAGTTACATATGCACACAGACACACAGAATAGAGCCTGATATGGTTTCGTTTTATGTCCCCACACAAATCTCATCTCAATTGTAATCTCCCATGTCAAGGGAGGGACCTGGAGGGAAGTGATTTCATCATGGGGGAACTTTCCCCCACGCTGTTCTCCTGACATATACACTAAGTAAACAGAGCTCTGGTCTATATAACCCTGGGAACCAACCACATCCTCTCTGTACTACTTACCTCCAGACTTCTTTTACTTGAGAGAAAAATTAACTTTTACTTACATGACAATTTTTACTTTTAAAACTTTGTATTGACAGTTTCTAATAGCTAAGTGTGATTCCTGGCTGACTGATATATAATGTACTAGAGAGCCATTTATTAAAATGGTGAATTTTGGAATTGAAAAAGGAACATAAAAACATTTGGAATAAAAGTTAATCATCACCTTTCCACAATGGATGATTAAAGTATTAGGGAAAACGTTAATTAGAAACTGAGTAATTGATAGATCTGACTGATACCACCTCAACTCACTGGACAATAATATAAATAGCATCTCTAAGAGTGGGACAACTAAATATCATGTGTCTCAGGATATGATGCAATAAAAATAACATAGCAACTTAAGTCAATGGCATGACAAAAAAGTGGGGTCTGCTATGTTATAAAGGGACTGGAAAGACAATAACAAAATACATTGTGTGAACCTTGTTTAGATCCTAATTTTAAGAAATTACTTAAAGATCAATGGAGAAATTTGAACATGGCTTGTGTATTAGATGATATAAAGGAAATACTGATAATTGTGCTAAGTATCATAATGGTATTGTGGGCATGGTTTTTTAAAATGTCTTTATTAGTCACAGATTATACTAAATACATATGTGGAATATGTACATACATAACTTACACAACATAATAGTTATACAACATCTGGAATTTGCCCTAAAATTTTCCATGAAAACTAACAAACAAGGAGCTGTAGCTAATTAAAATAAGATTAGCAAAATGTTGATGTTGAAGCTGGATGGTGGCTACATGGAGTACATGGGGGTTCACTGTGCTCTTCTCTTTTATGTATGTTTGAAATGTTCTACAAGAAAAGAAGTTTAAAAGAAAAGGAATTCAGCTTTAGATTTTTAAAAACACATATCCTTAGATCTTGCAATTTAGGTGCTAAAAGTTTATTACAGGAAAATCCAGATGTAAACAATGTACAGTAAAAGAATAGAATACAACTAAAAATTCCCAAAATAGAATAACAAATCATGTTTAGCCATACGATGAAGCCCAGAAGAATAAAGAAATAGATGCTTGTTAATAGAAAAAGTTGTTCGTGACACAGTGTTCAGTGGAAAACCAGATTACAAACTCCATGATCCAACTTGTATGTATAAATATAAATACACATAGAAAGAAATTTTTAAATGTCATACAACAATAATATAAAAAACAATATTTCTAGGTTTATTTTGGTATTGCTGTATTATTTTTAAATATTTATGACATATTTAATAAAGAACTAATCAAAGTTTAAATAATTTTGATTATTTGACATGGATGGAATTGGAGGCTACTATCCTTCGCAAACTAACACAGGAACAGAAAATCAAATACCGTATGTCTTCACTCATAAGTGGGAGCTAAATTATGAAAACATATGGATACATAGAGGGGAACAACACACTGAATCCTACTTGAGGGTGGAGGTTGGGAGGAGGGAGAAGATCAGGAAAAATGATTAATGAGTACTAGGCTTAATACCTGGGTGATGAAATAATCTGTACAGTAAACCCCCATGACACAAGTTTACCTATGTAACAAACCTGCACATGTACCCTTGAACTTAAAATAAAAGTTAAAAAATTGTTGCCCTATCATTTTCATTTTTAGTATAACTGCAGAAGAGTTCAAAGAGAATGGTCGAATAAGACAAAGTTACTCCTCTCCAACCCATCCTGGAAGAGTCCCCAGTGGAGGTGTCCGAAGTCCAAAATAACATCTTCATTACTCTCCTTCAATCAAGTGTTTCAGTTTGTTTGATACAGAGAATCTTCCGAAGTGCCTGATGCACCTCCTTGTTCCTCATGGTATAGATCACAGGATTGAAGAGAGGGGTGACCACAGTGTAGAGCAGGGAGAAGACCTTGGAGAGGAGCTGGGAATGGACAGCAGAGGGTGCAACATAAAAGATCATGAGCGTTCCATAGAATGTGGTCACTACAGCTAGGTGGGAGGAGCATGTGGAGAAAGCCCTTCTCCTGCTTGCCCCAGCAGGAACTCTCAGCACTGCCACCACAATTCTGGCATAAGATGTCAGAATCAGTCCAAAAGGAATAGTGAGGCAGAACACAGACAGAATGAGAGTTGTCACCTGAGCCACTCTGGGATCCGAGCAAGCCAGGCCCACGAAAAGCATAAAGTCACAGTAAAACTGGTCAATGTGGTTGGGGCCACAGAACCTCAGCTGGGCCACCAGGGCCACAACCAGTCCATCTACCACAAATCCAGAGAGCCAGGTTGTGACCACCAGCCCCATGTACCGTCTGGGCCCCATCAGGAGTGGGTAGTGGAGTGGGTAGCAAATTGCCAGGTAGCGGTCATATGCCATGACAGCCAGCAGTAAGCATTCAGCTGTGGCTAGAGAGCCGAAGATAAAGAACTGGAGCAAGCAACCAGCCACAGAGATAGTTGCTTCTTGCAGGAAGCCCTCCAGCATTTTTGGCATCACTGCGGAGGTGTAGAGAATATCCAGGAAGGACAGATTCGCCAAGAAAATATACATGGGTTTGTGGAGCCTCTGGGAGCTAACCACTGCTACAATAATCAGCATATTCCCTATGATGATGAAGACATAGACAGCAGTGAATACAATAAAAAACAAGAAATGCAGTTCAGGGATGTCATAGAAGCCAAGGAGGACAAATTCAGTAATAGTTTCGTTTCCTGTGGAGACAATTTCCATGTCGATCGTCCAAGTTTCTGCTTGGCAATAATTGGGGGAGAAATTTTAGCATGTCTCTGCATCTTCTATACCAAGCCTAACGTTATTAGAGCTAAAACAAAACAAAACAAAAAAGACAAAAATGAGTCTCTAAAACAAGACTCGCTCACGCAAGTCTTCAACTATCCCCCTTCTTAGTTGTCATTCCTTCCTCAACTCTCATCCTTCCCTGCCTTCCTTAATTGTGCATATTCTTTAACGCTCAGAAGAGTTTATCCAAACTCATAATTTTAGTCTTTCAAAGACCTTTACCCCATTAATTCAATCTACTACCTCTTTCGCATAATCACCTCTATCATTCTTATCTGTATAGTCAGCCATAGCCTCCTTCTTGTGCACCAGTATAATATTCTCCAAATGTGTGCTATATAGACATGGCCCACAACTGCAAACTCTTCTATCTTTCTCAATCACAACCAATTCCTCTATGAGTGGTTTGAGAATTCTGTCTAATCCCCATGGTCACTATCTCATTCTTCTCATTATCTCAACCGCCCCTTTCATTCCCCATCTCCTAATCAGTGATACCTTACCAACTGTTCCTCGGATAATTCTTATATATTCTTCACTTATTGCCTTCCTTAAATAGTAGTTTCATCAAGTCATTCAGGAGTTGGTAGTGAAAATGTGGTAAATGGTAATAGGGAAGGAAGTAGGTGCCATGGGAGCAGAGAAGGACCAAACCCAGCCTGGGGTTGTGGGGCAGAAGGTGTGGGATCAAGGTCGGGGAAGGCTTTCTGAAGATAGAAGCAAGTAGGCTAAGTTTTGAGGGCCAATTAAGAGTTGGCCAGGAGGCCGGGCTTGGTGGCTCACGCCTGTAATCCCAGCACTTTGGGAGGCTGAGGCGGGTGGATCACGAGGTCAGGAGATCGAGACCATCCTGACTAACACAGTGAAACTCCGTCTCTACTAAAAATACAAAAAAAATTAGCCGGGCGTGGTGGCGGGCGCCTGTAGTCCCAGCTACTCGGGATGCCGAGGCAGAAGAATGGCGTGAACTCAGGAGGCGGAGCTTGCAGTAAGCCGATATCGCGCCACTGCACCCCAGCCTGGGCAATAGAACGAAACTCCATCTCAAAAAAAAAAAAAAAAAAAAAAAAAAAAAAGAGTTGGCCAGGCAAAAGACAGGAAACCAGACCAGGCAGGGCATCCCTGGCAGGAAAGCATATGCAAAAGCAAAGAGTTGTAATTGAGCATGACACTTCTAAATATCTGAAAATGGCTCTGTCATACCTGCTGGAAGGTTTTCATATGCTATTCAAAGCAATATGTGTTTATTAACTGAAGACAATGAGAGAGAATACAGGGAATGATTAGAAACAGTTGAGAAAGGTAGAGAAAAAAAGCAGATATCATATAAATAAATATAAATACATAATACTAACAGTGTTACTTTCTAGAATATGGGATTAATAAATATACATTATATTTATTATCACAAAAAATGTAAGTTATCTTTAATACAAATAGTCTAGAACATCAGTTTCCTAAGAGGTGAAAAACTGGATGCCTCAGGGACCACAGTGCTGGGAGCCTTCACGGCACACTGTTTTGTAGTTTTGCCTAAGACCAAATCTGCCTTTTGAATGGAATCCCATTTTCCATACCTCTGCTCATTGCTAACGTTAAATCCTCGAAGACCCAGCTTAAGAACTTATCTCTACCAAGAATCCCCCTTGACTAATAGAGCCCTTTATTTCTCTCCCAATCATGTACTAAGGATCTAGTGTATAGAAGATATTACATCTGTTTCTGAGGATAGTGGGCCAAACAAAACTGGTCCATACTCTTAAGGAGTTTACACTCTTGTGTGACAGATGGACATATCAACAGAAAATTGCAATACGCCAAAAGACAGTTAATGAATTCAACCTGAAAGAAATAGTACTAGGAGGAAGTGATGCTGAACTGATGAGTGATTGCAGTGGAAAATGGAAAGAATGGAGGTGAGGGCATTTTAGGTAAAAGGAAAACCATGAGTACACACTGAGGCAAGAAACAACATTGGATGTGAGGAGGAGAAAGAGGTAGCAGGGGGTAAGTAGCCAAGGGTAGCTCAAACAATCCCCTCGATTCTGAAGGAGAATTAGGATTGAGGTGAAGAATGGGGGAAGACAGGGAGAGAAAGGGGCCAGGATCAGAGTCTGGGGACCCTTGCTTGTCACAAGAAGGAACTAGAGCTTCATTCTATAGGCAGCAAGGCACAGCTGAAGGCTTTTAAACAGTACAGTGGCATGTTTCAACCTAAATTTAAATAGTATTATGGAAGCTACATCCAAGGTAACAAGAGTGAAAGAAGGGATGGCCCCACTCATCTGATACCTGATGTGCAAATACATGCTGCCTTGAGTTCATCATTAATTATCTTATGGTATGCACTTTCTCTTTTCCAAAAGACTAAAAGTTCATTTAGCACAGGATTTAAATTTTTATAAGTGCTACTGTACCGAAGTCTTACAAAAAGATATATTCTCAATGAATACTTAATGTTTAACACCATGTCTTCCTTAACCTAAACCCATATGAATTGATCAGAGAAGAATGCTGTTCTTCATAGACTACAAAATTCCACAGGTTCTGTTATTGCCCTCCAACTCCCGTCTCTAAAGCTATTCTCTTACCCTTTGATCCCATCTGCATTTCCTTGTGAGTGAATCTGGCACTCCCTATGTGGGCCATCTTTAACTCTAGATTATTTTATCTGGTCCAAACTCATTCTGAGGCTTGGAGTCTTTCTATAGGATTCCTGCCAGGAGAGAGGTGAGCATGTAAATCAGGCAAGAATACCTCTAATAATAAATAGCTCATGACCACTACCTCCCCTGGAAATCAAGAGTATCATTGGAGCTGGAGGCTATTATTTTAAGTGAAATATCTCAGAAACAGAAAGTCAAATATTGCATATTCTCATTTATAAGTGGGAGCTAAATAATGTGTGCACATGAACACAGAATTCAGAATAATAGACATTGGAGACTTGGAAAGGTGAGGTGGGAAGGGGTGAGGGATGAGAAATTACCTAATGGGTATAATGCACACTATCTGTGTGATGGTTACACTAAAAGCCCAGACTCAATCGCTACACAATATATTCATGTAACAAAACTGCACTTGTACCCCTAAATCTGTAAAAGTAGATATGAAAAGAAAAGAAATGGGAAAAACACAGAAACAGTAGGATATATGAGAGGCTGTTATTCCCTTAAAGACAGAGGGGAATCAGGGAATAGAGGAAGTTGATGAATTTAGAGTTGAAAACTCCAAGGAATAGAGCTGAATTTGGAATTGGAAAACTCAAAAAACTGCAGGAAGAGTTTGAAATCAACAGGAATTTCACCATACTGACTGGTAGAGAAGTAAGAATAGTGCAAAATGCCTGTTTGTTGTCTAACGAACAATCAGCCACACACTCAATTCTAAGTAAAAACCATAACCCTCATTCAACCCAGACTCTGAGATAGCATAGAGTCCTTAATTAAAATGAGCAATTCAAAGAATATTCCAGGAAAAAATATTTTAAAAAATATATACAAAACTGTACATTTTAATTCATCTTTAGGTATTAGAAAAAAATTTATTCTCATATTTTGAAATGTCTGCTAAACAAACATGTTATGTTTGTAAGCAGAAAACCAAAAAGTTAATTCAGTTTGATTTTTTTAATCTGTTAATTCTCCTCAAGTCTCTTCAGTAATTACTCCATAATAAAACATTAAAATATACTTAAAAGGTTTTAAAAGAAAACAGTATAATTTTAAGTATATCCCAGTTTTGTCAAGCCATGGGATAGCAGGAGGAAAACTTTCCACCATGAAAACATTAGTATGAGGGTGTCTCGCTTCTTCCTACTCTGTAACATATCAACTGAAGCTTGGGGAGCATGAATATCTACTGTTCCCCATCTCCAAAAGAGAAGAGAGAATTAAAAAAATAAGTCAGTATGCACCCAGAAGGATTAGAAATCAACTTTTAAAAACATCCAATGGAGAAAAGAGCAGCACTGGTATTCTAGAGAAATACTGCGGGACTTCTTGAAATGATTTTTAATAAAAGACTTTTTGACTCTCTGGGTTAATTGAAAGTTGCTAGTGATTACAGGATAAACAGCTATAAAAACCAGCCATTTAACTTTTTTAAAGAATCTGTGAACTAAGCTGTAAAGAATTTTACAAAAATAAACGTACCCGAAATATCGACCCTGTTCTCTAAAGACAGGACTGTGAGGAGGAGATGATCTGCTAAGATTTGCTGAAGACTTCAGAATGTTGGAATTTCCTACCTTCAGCTCCCTCCCTGCTTGAGCTCAACCTGAAGTAACGTAGAACATTGATTACAAATGTCACCCTTGTTACCCTCCACTCCTGAGCCATTTTCTCTTCCACCCTCCATCCCCTTTTCTAGCTCTCAGGCTATTCTGTCCTTTCATCGCAGTCCTTTCCCTCTATCACATGGGAGGGCAGGAAATTGCCACAAAGGGAGAGGCCCCTGAGAACCAATTACAGATTTACTGGAGAGCAGCCTGAAATGAGCAAGACATAGCAGGCCCCTAAGGAAATTGTATTTTTTCAAAGGCGGTTTCCTGAACTGTTGGCTTGACCATAAACGGAGCAGAAACCAAAAGAGCCAAATGGAGCCCACCTTTCCATCCCCTTGGGGACAAATGCTCTCCATTTCACCAAACATCTAAAGCCCCAATTCCTAGTCTCCATAACTCACCAGAAAATTCTGATTTCTCTGCAACATCCCTAAATTCCCCATTACCAACAGTGGTCCTCCCAGGAGCCTGCCCTCAACTTTCATTCTCCAATCTACAGCCTCCAAATCGCCCTCTTACCATCCCAGGCAATTGTTTCAATAGGTACCACCCTTAGTAGGGGTGTTTTATATAGATCATCAAAATCTTGCCAATGCTGAGCCTGATTTAAGGAGAAGGAAGGTGGCGTGATGTTACAAAATGACGTTGAAATGGTTATGTAGCGTTTCAATATCCTTCCTGACCAAATTACTGCCCAACAACTTTGTCTGCCACTACTCCCTTTTTTGAAGCTTCCACAGAAATCAGGCTGATATATTTATTTCTCATCCCTAGGAGTGTGTTGAAGGCACTTCTGTGTCATTTATCAAACTCAGACCCTAACTTCAGCTCCACTTTCTCCCTGACCAACCGAGAACACTTTTTCTCTGAACTACGTTGTCTACTATCTGTAGTTCACAGTAAATGCCACCCTATTTTTTCTTGGCAGCAGGAGGGGTTCTCTTAATCGTTTATTTTTTTCATCAAACAGCAGCATATGCTAAAAGGTAAGTATATGTGTCTTGAAAAGAAAACTTTTGGAAAAATGTAGCATTTTTTAGTTAGCCTACATTATTATGATTTTTAATTGACAAATTAAAATTGTATATATTTATGATGTATAACATGATGTTTTGACATATGTATACATCATGGAATGACAAAATCAAGCTAATTTACATGAACCATTACCTCACATACTTATCATGTTTTTGTGATGAGAACACTCAGATCTACTCTTTTAGCAATTTTCACATATACAATTCATTAATTATAGTCACCCTTTCATATAATAGATCTCTTGAATTATCTCTCTTGTCTAACTGTAATTTTTGTAACCTTTGACCAATATCTTCTCAATTTTCTCCCTTTCTTCCAGCCCCTGGTAACCACCATTCTATTCTCTGTTTCTGTGAGTTTGACTTTGTAGATTTCATGTAGAAGGGAGACCATGAGGTATTTGTCCTTCTGTGCCTGACTTATTTCAGTTAATATAAGGTCCTCCAGATTCATCCATGTTGTTGCAAACAACAGAATTTCCTTCTTCTTTAAGGCTGAATAGTATTCCACTATGCATATATACCACATTTTCTCTATCCATTCATCTGCTGAGGGATGCTTAGGTTTATTCCACATCTTGGCTATTGTGAATAATACTACAATGAACATGAAAGTGTAGATCTCTCTTCTTATTTCCTTTGAATATATACACAGACAAGGGATTGCTGGGTCATACAACGGTTCTATTTTTAATTTTTTCAGAATTTTTCAGAAACCTCCACAGTGTATTTAATGACTGTACTAATTTACGCTTCCACCAAAAGTGTATGAGTTCTCCTTTTCCACATTTTCATCAACATTTATCTCTTATCTTTTCTGTAGTAGGCATTCTAACAAGTGTGAGGTGATATCTTATTGTGAATTTAATTTGTATTTCCCTGATGACTAGTGATGTTGAGCATTTTTTCTTGTACCTGTTTGTCATTTGTACGTCTTCTTTTGAGAAATGTCTATTCAGGTGCTTAGCTCATTTTAAAATTGAGTTATTTGTTTCCTTGTTATTGATTTGTTTAAGTTCCTTATATAGCTTGAATTTTAGCCACTTACATGTATCATTTACAAATATTTTCTCTCAACCTGTGGGTTGTCTTTTCACTCTATTGTTTCCTTTGCTGCGGAGAAATGTTTTAATTTGATGCAATCCCATTTGTTTACTTTTGGTTTTGCTGTCTGTGATTTGAGGATCATATACAAGAAATCTTGCCCATACCAACGTCATGGAACTTTTCTCCTATATTTTCTTCTAATAGTTTTACAGTTTGCAGTCATATGTTTAAGTCATTAATCCATTTTGAGTTAATTCTCATATATTGAGTGTCATAAGGATCCAATTTCATTCTTCTGCATGTGGATATTCAGTTTTCCAACATCATTTATTAAAAAGACTTTTCTTTCACCGTTTCATGTTCTGTTTATATGATCATATGGTTTTATCTTTAATTCTGTTAATGTTATGTATCACATTTATTGATTTGTGTGTTGAACCATCCTTGCATCTCAGAGCTAAATCTCACTTGATCATGGTGAAAGATCCTTTTAGTATACTGTTAAATTTGGTTTGATAGAGAAACACAACTTCAGAGATAATTCAAGTTTAAGATGGGAAAGTCTGACTAATCTTAATTCTTACAGATATTTTAGCAAACTTTTTGTCAAAATACATTTTATGGACTTTTTAAGGTCATCAGTTCAGACCACAGTCCCATGGATAAAGACAAGGATCTGTGGGGAGTAGATGTTTGTATTGTTAATCACCCTGGTGAGAGGTTAATCCTGGGGTATAAATGAAGTCTCCAAAAGTAGGTGATATATTAGCATGAAAAATACATTTCTACCTTCCCTTGTGTCCTGGGGTCAATTTGGCCTAAACTGCAAGACGTGAAAAGATTATAAGTAGTTCCAAATGAAATGAAATATACCCTTGGCCACATAAATTACCTAGTGGAATTCAAGTGTGTGTGGATCAGTATAACAGCATATAATTCTCTGCACTACATTTACTTTCCACTAAGTTAGAACTACAGTAAATTATTCTATAAGCTACAACTTGATATATGTTGTACTAGGAGAATTCTAAGAGGGCCTGTGGCCTTGCTTAGAAAAAGCAGGTACAGGGGACAGTGGTTGCTGTTCCCACAGCCAGGGTGGAGAAAGCAATGTCAACCACTGCAAAGGATGACAAAATAAAAAGAGTCAGTCAGCTCTCACAGAGCAGCAGCTTGAAGGCACAGAAAAGACACAAGAGAGGAAGGACCAGAGGAGACATTCCTGAACACATCTTGCAAACTCTCAGAAGTGACTATGGGATGCTTCACGGGGGCTAACTTCAAGCTCAAGTTTGACAACCATTTATGTTGTTTGGCTTTGGTCACATATATATCCTATTTTGTATCAGTAATTCCAGTTGGAAAAGAAACCACACATTTCCATGAGTCTCCCATGTTACTAAAATATTTCATAAGCTCGAGCTCAGTGATGTTTTCTGATTATTTGTTCCTTAGACTCCAGCCTAGGCATCCAAGGCAATCTGAATCCATAGAAACTTTAATAACAGTACATCATGGACCTAACCCAAAATATTGTTCAATCTCTTATCTTTGAAAACTTCTTGAGGATTAACAATATATTTTAATACAAAAGAGATAGTATTCAACCCAGCAGGATTTTACAAAAACAAATTATAGCTCTTTGTGGTTTCTGTTAGAGATTTACATAGTCTTACCATTTAGATTTCTTCTTCACTAGACTACGAATTAGAAGTAAATATTATCCAGGGCAGATGGTGTATCCTATTCATCTTTGTATCCCAAGAATATTTTAGCTGTGTCATAAATGATTAGTGAATAAGTAGCAATGCATGAATGCATGAATGAAAAAATAAAAATGGTCACTTGATTCATAATCCCTGGCCTTCTAAAAATATATTAACACAATGTCCGGTTGAAAAGAAAGTTCCAAACATTCCACCAGTAGACATGACTAGCAATAGAGTTGACCTTCATTATTTGTGGATTCAGTATTTGCAAAGTCACCTGCTCCCTAACATCTATTTTTAACCCCTAGCTCAATACTCACAGCACCTTCGCAGTCGTTCATGGACAAGTGCATGAACACAGTGACAAAAAGTTTGAGACACACTGTATGCATCCCCACCTGATGCTGAGCAAGGAAACGCTCTGTCCTCTTGTTTCAGCTATTATACTGTAAACAAGTGTCCTTTTCATGATTTCCTGATTTGCTGAATGCCATATTTTTCACATTTTTTGTTTGTTTTTTGGTGATTTCATAATTCAAAATAGCCCCAAATGTAGCGCTGAAGTGCTGTCCCATGCTCCTGAGCACAAAAATGTTGCAATGGATCTTACGGAGAAAATGCATTTGCTAGATAAGCTCTGTTCAGGCATGTGTTATAGGGCTGTTGGCTGTGGGTTCAACGTTAATGATCAACGATATATATTATATAAGATGTGTTTAAACAGAAACACACTTACAATAAGGTTATTTATTGATCAGGTGACAAAAATGTGACCAAAAACTCATAGGAATCTAACCCTGCATCTCCCCTAAAGCAAGGAATTATTTAATATTTGCTCCTACAGGGTTCAAGGCAACTTTATAGAATGCAACTGCAGTGAATAATAAGAATCAGCTGTGTCTGCATTTTAAAGATGAGAAATATGAGTCTCATTAAAATGAAGTGAATTGTACAAAGTTATAGAATAGGTTAGTCATAGAGCCAGCATTAAAACCCTGGCCTAGTTCAGTGCTCTGTCAGCTGTATCTTCAGTTCTGAAAATGCAATAAGAAAAGATAAAATACGGAATTCAGTCGGCCAGTGGCCCGCAATCCTCTTCTCTCGGTTCCTCTTTCCTCGCTCAAGATGGCGCTGCTCGCGAAGCGTTCTTGGCGTTGGGCGGCCGCAGCGGCTGCTTTCGAAAAGCGCCAGCACAATGAGATACCATCTCACACCAGCTAGAATGCCGATCATTAAAAAGTCAGGAAACGACAGGTGCTGGAGAGGATGTGGAGAAATAGGAACACTTTTACGCTGTTGGTGGGACTGTAAACTAGTTCAACCATTGTGGAAGTCAGTGTGGCGATTCCTCAGGGATCTAGAACTAGAAATACCATTTGACCCAGCAATCCCATTACTGGGTATATACCCAAAGGATTATAAATCATGCTGCTATAAAGACACATGCACATGTATGTTTATTGTGGCACTATTCACAATAGCAAAGACTTGGAACCAACACAAATGTCCAACAATGATAGACTGGATTAAGAAAATGTGGCACATACACACCATGGAATACTATGCAGCCATTCTGCATCTTTCTAATGACAAGAATATTCTCCAGCATAACCACAATACTATTATTACACCCAAGGGAATTAACATTGAACCAATAATATAAAACCCATATTCAACTTTCCCACTTGTTCCAAATCTTTTTTATAGTTGTTTTTATTTTGTTTTGTTGATGACGTAGGATCCAGTCAAAAATCATGAATGACATTTTATTGCCATGGCTTTTGGTCTTCTTCAATCTGGAACGATGTCATCTCCCATCTTTGCTTTGTCTTTAAAGACATGGATATTTTTTAAGAGTTTGTGTCAGTTGTCTATAGAATATGCCACAATATGGATTTGTCTGACTGTTTTCTTATACTCCAATTAAACATTTTTAGCAATAATACTACATAGGTTACACTAAGAGTGGACAAATAGCAATCCAAATTATTCTACTCCATTCTGTTCCCTGTAACATTAATGGCATCATCTTCAGCCATAACAGGGCTACACTCTGGGAGTAGATGACTGATGAGCTGAGAGAAAACAGATTCCTGAGGAATTCTGGATCAGAGCAGCCATATTTCCCTGAACTACAAATCTTTAGACATTTAAGTGAGAGATAAATTTTCATTCTCTTTGAGCCATTGGCATTTCCATTACTTTCAGCCAAATCTAATAAATAAATGAAATGATAAAATATAAAGGAGTCAGAAGAAAACTAAGTACGAAATCCAGTTTATGTAAACCCTGAACTTCTAGTTATATAAATTAATAAGTAAATTTATTACTTAAACCCGTTGGAGTTGGGGCTTGTTATAATGGTTGGTATGTCTTGAAAACATTCTATTTGACACACAGCTTTTATCACATCTATGAAAATGTATAAAAACACAGAAGAAACAAATCAAATAATAGATACCAATGATAAAAATGCAAAGAAAGATTTGTATAATAAATGAAAAAGAAATCAAAGCAAGAAAAATTAGTGACAATTGTATAAGAAAATGACATTTAGCACCTCAATTAGGTCAAAACATGTTTATTTCTCTTTTATATTATTAGTTACCTGTAGAATCAATAAAACCTGCAAGGGACCCTATAAATAGTTATCAAATAAATTGATTACTGGATTATATCAATATACATAAGAAGGGTAAAATTGCATTATTACTTTTTGTAGATGTACTAGAACATCTACAGTGATGGGAAAAAATCATGAGAAAAAAGAAGAAAATTAAAATGGTTGAACCAGAGATATGGGAGAACTAAGAGAAACCAATAGCTCTGGATATATTCTTTGAAATGTTCTTAACAGGTCATTCTGTATTTCTTGCAATCTAAGAAACAGATTCAAAATAACAGATTAATTGGTTTTGTGAAGCATTCTCCCCATTGGAAAGCCAAGAATGCTTGGAGACTCAGATCCTCAGAGAGCTTAAAGAGAGACAACAAACCTAAGAGAGGCTTCCTCAAGAGGGATCCACTATGTAGATAAAAAAGAAGATAAGCAAGTCACAAATGCCATCTGCCTTCACTGGTTATTTCTCCAAATAGAAAATAGAAAGACACCTTTGAGATAATATCTTCTGGAAAACACTGAAAGAGCCCCCAGAGGAGAATGAACCAAGGGCTCTTCAACTGCAAAAGGATATCAGTGTGTGGACTTGTATTTCTAATACACAACCTTGAATATGGCTGGAATATTGAATTTGTGTATATATTCAAGTGTATCTTTGGGTGTTTATAGTTTTATGTTCAGTGTATTTAGACTTTTACTGTTATCTGTAATAATGCCAATAGAATACATGATTTGCAACTTTAGATAAATCTGGCATCTGGGAATATTAGGCTATTCTTCTGTGCCTGTATTTTGAAATATAATTTGACAGTGTGTGAATTTGTGGAGTTTATGTGTGTAGTTTGGGGATTTTCATGTTTACAATGTAAGAGGACTAAGTTTGAAAGTCTGTAAGATGCAGAAATAAGCAATTAAGGAAGTTCTTGTCATCTTTTGCCTGAGCATGTTTTAAAACTAGAGAAATGCTCACCCCTCTAAATAGTTGAACTGTTTAATGCTATAGGAGCTTAAAAAGAGAGGATCTTTCTCATTTTTTTTCTCCTCCTTGAACACTGTGAAATTTATGGTAAAATGACAGAAAAAGAAGAAAGACTAAGTGAATCTGGTAACTAAAGAAAGAGCTGGAAAAAAGAAAACTAGAGGGCAAGAGGTGATAAGAGAGGTCACCTCTTATCAGACAGGAGACAAGTTGATGGAGAAAAAGATCTGCTATGAGGGAAAATTCTGTCTCCAGCCCTGCAGGAAGAATTGGAAAATCAGAAAAGAGTGAAAAGGGAGCTAGACTGACTTAATCTTCAGCCCAGGTAAAACTGGAAAGACAGTTTAACATGTTCTTTAGAATGATAGGCACTATCAGGAAGAGATGAAGTCAGGGATTCAGGCTCAGAGAGACAAATACTCATCCAGGATCCCAAGAGTGAGCAAGGGTGGAATATGGACTCCAGGCAAGGCTGCCTAATTTCAAAGTCCATGATATTCTAATAGAAAGGGAGATCTAGTGCTGCGATCAGATGCAGAGAGAGGTCATCTTTGCCCATTTCACGATTCCATAGTTGTGATTTTTCCTTGCCATTTCTTTTGTCTTCCAGTCAAAGGTATGCAGGCAGGATGAGTGCAAACACCTCCATGGTGACTGAGTTTCTTCTTCTCGGCTTCTCCCACCTGGCCGACCTCCAGGGCTTGCTCTTCTCTGTCTTTCTCACTATCTACCTGCTGACCGTGGCAGGCAATTTCCTCATTGTGGTGCTGGTCTCCACTGATGCTGCCCTCCAGTCCCCTATGTACTTCTTCCTGCGCACCCTCTCGGCCTTGGAGATTGGCTATACGTCTGTCACGGTCCCCCTGCTACTTCACCACCTCCTTACTGGCCGGCGCCACATCTCTCGCTCTGGATGTGCTCTCCAGATGTTCTTCTTCCTCTTCTTTGGCGCCACGGAGTGCTGCCTCCTGGCAGCCATGGCCTATGACCGCTATGCAGCCATCTGTGAACCCCTCCGCTACCCACTGCTGCTGAGCCACCGGGTGTGTCTACAGCTAGCTGGGTCGGCGTGGGCCTGTGGGGTGCTGGTGGGGCTGGGCCACACCCCTTTCATCTTCTCTTTGCCCTTCTGCGGCCCCAATACCATCCCGCAGTTCTTCTGTGAGATCCAGCCTGTCCTGCAGCTGGTATGTGGAGACACCTCGCTTAATGAACTGCAGATTATCCTGGCAACAGCCCTCCTCATCCTCTGCCCCTTTGGCCTCATCCTGGGCTCCTACGGGCGTATCCTCGTTACCATCTTCCGGATCCCATCTGTTGCGGGCCGCCGCAAGGCCTTCTCCACCTGCTCCTCCCACCTGATCATGGTCTCCCTCTTCTATGGCACCGCACTCTTTATCTATATTCGCCCTAAGGCCAGCTACGATCCGGCCACTGACCCTCTGGTGTCCCTCTTCTATGCTGTGGTCACCCCCATCCTCAACCCCATCATCTACAGCCTGCGGAACACAGAGGTCAAAGCTGCCCTAAAGAGAACCATCCAGAAAACGGTGCCTATGGAGATTTGAAAAGGGGGCGATAGTGACTTCTGTGCAGTGCTCTGAGTCAGTCCCAAATACCTAAGGATCAAAGAGTCTCCCTTAAGGTCTTTCTTCACATTAGGGGAGGGCCAGCCTGTCAGAAAGACAAACTTATCTTTGAAAAGCTACCGTAGTCAAATGCGCTCCTCAGACCCTCACAACACATACATATTCTATTCCGCTTTCTGTTGCAAGAAACAAGAAACCCAGGATGGAGGATCAATTTCAGAAGCAGAGCAAGTTGACAACCAGGGATAAAGTTACAAAATATTATCCTTATCAGACTAGCAAGGTAATAAAATTTTCAGCCACAACAATGATCCTTAAAGTCATTTGACATTTGTACGTCCTAGGTAAGGCATTTGTTTCTTGGGTGGTACTACTGGTTAGTACCTTAGCAAACATAATTATACCTAATTAAATCTACTACCAGCTAAAGACAGATTCCTCAAGAAGTAAGGAGTGGCCACAAAAGTTTCAATGAAGGTAAGTTCTTATGGAAATTCATATGCCGCAGAGGTTAAGAGAACAGATTCTGATGTCAGACAGACTTAAAGTCAAGTCTTATTTTTTCCAGCTAGTTAGCTAAGTGATCACAGGTGAATGATATAATCTCTCTGAGCCTTAATTTTTTTAAATTTTATTTTAGATTCAAGGGTACATGTGCAGGTTTGTTATATAGGTAAATTTCACCTCACAGTGATTATTTAGTCACCCAGGTAATAAGCATAGTACCTGATAAGCAGTTTATTGATCCTCACCCTTCTTCTATCCTCCACCCTCAATTATGTCCTGGTATCTGTTGTTCCTTTCTTTGTGTTCATGTGTACTCAGTGTTAGGTCCCACTTTTAAGTGAGAATATATGGTATTTGGTTTTCTGTTCCTGTGTTAGTTTGCTTAGAATAATGACCTCCAGTTCCATCCATGTTGCTGCAAAGGACATAATCTGTTTGTTTTTTGTTTTGTTCTGTTTTGTTTTTATGTGAGCCTTAATTTTCTTATCTATAAAGTTGCGGTAACAACAGAGTCTAATTCATTGGGTTTTTGTGAGGATTTGTAGACTTGCAAACAATCAAGCTTAATATCTGGCACAAAATAGTATCTTGATAGATGTTTTTGTTAGCAAGTCAGACAGGTCAGCGCAAAGGCTAATGTTTGGCTCACATGGGGTGACTTTGCTGGGAAGAGAAGGGTATTCTTGAAATATCAGTGGCATTGGAACCCACAAGAGACCCAGAGGAAGGTGGAAGAAGAGGCTCTATACATCACTGTTAACAGAAACTGCTACCCAGCACAGATATGAGCCAAAAACTACCAAGACACGGAAGAGCAAATATAAGGGCTATGATATGCAGGAGAGTCAGTGAACTGCAGAACAAATAAGTGGAATAAGCTGAGAGGGTGAATCAAAAACAGCCATCTCCAAGAGGCAAGTATTTATTAATAATTAAAAGTGCAATCTACATACTTTATATCATTCCAACACTTTATTCAAATGCAACAGTATTTATTGCAAACTTTCTATGTGCCTATTGCTCTTTGGCACTGTGGAGAATATCAAGTACATACAGGGTGGTGATTCTGTCCAGAGAGCACTTGCTGTCCTGTTAAGAAAGCACTGATTCTCATGAAACTATCAGAGAACAGTTTGCAAAGTAAGAAAACACTCAAAATGTAAAGCGAAAAGACAAAGGTGTTACTCCCTGTCCCCACCCCCCAAAAGGGGTTGTGTGGCCTTCCTCAAACTCATTTTATCAATGTGGAAAACCTCACAACTACTGCTCTTCAATTGAACAAAACTGCAATAGCGAGGAACAGCATTTAAGAAGGGTTGCCTAAAGGATTGTCAAAACAGCTTTTCCTCTGATAATTTAAAATCTAAATCTTATCCCCAAGCTAAAGCAGATGAGCACAGAGCTACACATTTAAAATGCTGAAATATTTCCACTTCCTACATATCTCCATCAACTCATCTTTCCTAGAACTGGTCTTGCTAAAGAGTGTTTTGGCATTAAGCCATTGGTTTACATTGAGAAAGATTACAAGAAGCAACATTATGAAACTCTCAGAGGGATCATTTTTCTCATATCTCAGTGATAGGAATCACTGTATTTTTCCTGTCATATAAGCAATAACATTTCCTCACAGTTTTATGGAAGTACAATTGGCATATGACAAATTGTACATGTTTAAGTGTGCAATTTGATAAGTTTTGACCCATGTATGCACCATGACATTATAGGCGCAATCACGAAATGAACATATCCAGCCCCCGTGCTCCCTCACACTCCATTGTAATCTCTCTCTTTCACCCCTCCCTGCACTCCTCATTCCCAAGCAACCTCTGATCTGCTTCCCAGCACTATATTTTTCTTTTTTCAGAGTTTTATATAAATGAAATTATAAAATATGTACTCTTTTTAGTCTGACTTATATTTGGAGATTTGGCCATGTTGTGGTGTGTACAGCAGCCATTCCTTTTCATTTCTGAGTGATACTCCATTGTATAGATATGACATAATTTGTTCATCCATTCACCTGCTGAAGGAAATTTGGGTTGTTTTCACAATTTTTTATTCATTCACCTGCTAAAGGAAGTTCAGGTTGTTTCCAGTTTTTGGTTCATAGAATGAAGGTTCTATGAACATTTGTGTACAAAGTCTTTGTATGCTTTCATTTCTCTGGGGTAAATACATAGATGTGAAATGGCTGCATCACATGGGAAGTGTATGTTTAATTTTTTAAGAAATTAAGTAATCACTTTTCCTCTTAACATGACAGCTAGCAAGTTTCCACCTGAATTTGTAACTCATCTCCAGGAAATGTGCAATTCCTCACGATATATTTTTGAGATATCTAGTTTCTGGTCTCACTTGCTGTTGTTGTTGTTGTTCTATTCTACCTTTTTCTTTGTCCAGTCTCTCTCATCCTTATTTTCTGTACATTTATGTAACCCAGCACATTAGTCTTTCTGGAGCAAGACTTAGAGCCACCAATCAGTAATTAAAAAAAAAAAAATAGACAGGGGAAAGTATTGAATGGAAAATCCCTGGTTATATGGTTTGGCTCTATGTCCCCACCCAAATCTCATCTTGTAGCTCCCATAATTCCCATGTGTTGTGGGAGGGACCTGGTGAGAGATGATTGAATTATGGGGGTGGATGTTTCCTGTGCTGTTCTTGTGATAGTGAATGGGTCTCACATGATCTGATGGTTTTAGAAATGGGAGCTGCCCTACACAAGCTCTCATTTTTCCTGCTACTATCCATGTAAGATGTGATTTGCTCCTCCTTGCCTTCCACCATGATTGTGAGGCCTCCCCAGTCATGTGGAACTGTAAGTCCAATAAACCTCTTTGTTTTGTAAATTGCCCAGCCTTGGGTAAGTCTTTATCAGCAGTGTGAAAACAGACTAATACACCTTGGTAAAGATTGAAGACATGGGTTGTGATCTCTACTCCGTTACTAAAACTTTACAGGACCTAGAGCAAACTCTTTGCATCATCTTTTTGGTTTTCAATTTCATCATCAATAAACATAAAGGCTAAATCAAATGAGCTCTGGATTGAGTTCCAGATCCACTATTCTGTGCTTATTTGTCCCAAGGACTATATGCTTCTTATAGCTGATACTCTCACAAAGAACCAGAAGGAAGATTGCAGCAAATGCTCTTTCTCCACCATAGATAGCTACCAAGGGACCTTGAACTACATTAATCCTGGGCAATATAAGCACAGTCATTGGTTTTCAAGACAAACACCACTCAAAAGCTAGGGAGAGTCCATCAGTGATCCCCATATTGAGTCTTCCCCCACTGTATTCTACCTTCCTGAACCTCACATCTCCCTTACTCACACCTGCCATTGCCCCTGAGCAAAACTTGACCTGCTTCTTGAAATCCCACTGCTCTGTCCCTAATATTTCCTCCTACCAACCTTTCTCCCTGACACTCCCTTCCTCAACTTCCCTAATCCCATGGGACCCACTCACTATAGTGCACCCCAGCTCCTGATGGTATCTGCTACCAGAAGTATCCTCATTCTTTCTTTCTTTTTTTTTGACAGGATTTTACTCTTGTTGCCCAGGCTAGAGTGCAGTGGCACGATCTTGGCTCACTGCAACCTCTGCCTTCTGGTTTCAAGCGATTCTCCTGCCTCAGCCTCCTGAGTAGCTGGGATTACAGGAGCCTACCACCATGCCCAGCTAATTTATGTATTTTTAGTAGAGACGGGGTTTCACCATGTTGGCCAGGCTGGTCTCGAACTTCTGACCTCATGATCCACCTGCCTTGGCCTCCCAAAGAGCTGGGATTACAGGCGTGAGCCACTGTGCCCAGCCAGTATCCTCATTCTTTAGCTTTGCAGAACTGAAGTAAGAAGTGACTGTGGCATCAGGGAGGGAGGGTAGAAGTCAGATGGAAGGGAAGGGAGAAGGAGAGAAAGAAGAAACAGAGGCAGGCTGAAGAACTGAGCAGAGAAAAGAGAAAGAACAAAAAAGACCTCAGAGGAAGACTCACCGGCTCACAAGGAAAGCCATCTCTGTGCATCCCAGGCCAATCTCTTCACAGGGCTTGGAGAAACCTCCCAACCAGAGCTCACTCCCACAGTCTATGCTCACTGCTTCCCTGCATCAGCTCCTCCTGTGGCAGCATGGTCCCCCTGCGTTTCTGCTCCCCACTGAGCTCTCTGGGATTCACAAATCAGTGCCCTAGGGAGGGCTTGGAGAGCCTAGCACGTGGGGATCTTACACAGGGGCCAGGAAAGGGATGTAGGACTCAGGAAGAGACACTGAACAAAGGCTGTGGCTCAGTCCTGGAAATGGGAGCGTGTGCTTGTCCATTGCCAGCCTCTCTGCCTCTCTAGGTTGTGTGCCCTCACTGGCCTTAACTCTTTCCAGTCAGGGAAGACTAGGAAAGAGTTGGAAGAGGAAATATTGTAGAAGAAAGAAGAGAACTCAGGTACATCAGGGCCACCAAGAAACAGGGGCTCTGGGTCTCCCAGGGACATAAGGAGAAGGATTAGGAGCTGACCAGGCTTGCTACACAAAAGATTCCAGGGTTGATCCTCTGAGAGTTGAGAAAAACAGAAAGTGGGATCTCAGTGCAAACTTCAAGCTTCAAAGATGCCACCCATCATCTATTCAACTTTTTTTTTCTTTTGGCTAACCCTTTACACTTCTTTCAAGTCTGCGAATAATTATCAAGTTCCCACAGTGTGCCTTATTCTACATAGTGCTGGCAATCTGGTCAACTTCCTTTGTATTTCTCCTCTGCTCAGCTTTTCAGTGGATTCTCTTCATTCTCCTTCATTCTCACTGCAGCCCAGACCCACTTCCTCCCTTCCCTGAGCTTCCCTTGCCTATCTCCCTCCTCATCACCCAATCCCATTTCCTGCAAGAAGAGGCAATATTATTAATCTGTCTCATCTACCATAACCACCACCTGGTTTGTGCAATAGCATTTTCTGGATGTTTCCTCTCCTGGCAGCCAGGACTGACAATGTCACCTGCCAGGGGCCTGGAAAGCCAAGCCACAACCTTCTTAACCAATTAGAGGCACTGCAGAGAAGCAGCAGGAGTCAGGGCACTTGCACCCAAGAATGATAGATATATTTATTCACCACATATGTATGGATATAGTTAGAGAAACAAGCCTCAAGGCACAACGATTGACTGAGGTTAGACATTCGGCCACTTGAGAGAATGAGGAGGTGGAAGCACAGAAGTTAAAAGTCATCTCTCTCCCATTTGCTTCAACCTCAGCATGCCTGAAAAAAACATGGTTGATAATATACCAGTCAGTGACCAAGCCCTAATGAAATGACTGACTTACCAATACTGACTTCTCAGGAGGCTGATTTAGAGCCAAAGTAACTGCTGAGTTCTGAATAAGCAGCACACCTGGTCTGCATAATAAGATCCATTTTGCAATCACCCTCTTCAGAAAGCCAAATAATAGGTCAAAAGGTGGTTTAGAACCCAAGCAGCGGAAATAACACAGTTGAGGACTCTGTCGACCATAGGCACCCTGATGGACCTAAATAAATTACTCAACTTTTCACGAGAATATTTTACCTAATAACTGGAACTTATCATCCAGAACAATGTTTTCTGCCTCTTTGTTTTTCAGTTCATGATATTCCTGTGGACTGGCTTTACTCCTAATTTCCGACCCCAATAAGATCCTGGTCTAGTTCTTGGTATCTAGACCTAATTCCCCATTTGCATAAAAGAATACAAATGATAAACATAGAAACCCTGACCATCCTTGACTCCAAGGGTAAAAATACTGCCCTAGGCAATCATGATGCCTCTTATTTACTGCCTTTCAAATAGAAACTTTCTAAAGCAGCCATTGGGAAATAGTTCATTTTTGCAATGGACCACAGATACCTATACACATTGGGCTTATCATTTTGATCTTTATTCAGCTCCTAAAAATAGTCAATTTGAAAAATGGGGTTTGCATTGACAGTTTTATATTATTGATGCCAATTTGGAATTTTATACTTGATAATATTTATTTGTTGAATGAATTTGAACGAGTGGTAGAAGACTCTTCTGGCTGGAGCACTTTTAAGTCTTGCACTAGCATGGGTCTGGAAATGAACTGAAGGAGGACTAGAGATAAGTACAGGGGTGCGTCCCAATTGTGAATGAGAATGCAGGCCATATACTCTTTGGAGAATCACCATTATGGGCCCTCTGGCAGTATAAATGAGGCCATTGTAGAGTTATTCTTCTGTATTATCCAAAGAGAGGACCTAAAACAAATTAGTGAAATAAATACTGTAGGATTTCTGCTAGATGATGAGGCTTTTAATTCTTCCTGTTTCTGGGATGGCCTGGCTGGGCCTCCTTAGGAACTCAGCTCATTCCCCATTCCTCCTTGACACTGGATATGCATTCTTTGCATTCCTTGGCTTTCTCTCTGGTGTTCTATAGAAAGTAAATGAGTCACAGTTCCTTCAGTTCTTTCTTTTAGCCAGTCTATAGCACTCTACTGGTCATCAAAAAAGATCCAAAAGTGATCAACATGACCCTTTCTTTTTTTTTTTTTTTTTTTTTTTTTTGAGAAGGAGTCTAGCTCTGTCGCCCAGGCTGGAGTACAGTGGTGTGATCTCGGCTCACTGCAACCTCCGCCTCCTGGGTTCAAGCGATTCTCCTGCCTCAGCCTCCCAAGTAGTTGGAACTACAGGTGTGCGCCACCACACCCAGCTAATTTTTGTATTTTTAGTAAAGATGGGGTTTCACCAAGTTGGCCAGGATGGTCTCGATCTCTTGACCTCATGATCTGCCCACCTCGGCCTCCCAAAGTGCTGGGATTACAGGCGTGAGCCACCACACCCAGCCACACGACCCTTTCTAAGGAAGTGAAGATGGCACATGGAGACCAAGTACAGAAAGGACTACTGGGGGTCTTGGATGGCCCTCCAATGCTGTTGTCTCTCCAGTTCCTCTTGGATAATTCTGGTGTCCATGAATTATTATGTTGCCACATTTGGATGCCCCATAAGGGTCACTTGAGAAAATCATGAAATCTGGGAAAGGAAGGGCAAGTCATAGAATCCTGCCACTATAGAATAATGTCTGACAACCAAGTGATACATTCTGTTTAAGTAGGCACCAAACTGTCGGCAAAAGCCCCATTTTCGAGTTGGCCAGTTCTGGCAATTTTCTGTGTCCATTCTGCATGCCACTCAACTCCTCTAATGAATTCTTATTCCTTTTCAAGCCTTCTGTATTCCTTCTTATCATACTGGACACTTTGACCTCTGGTGTCCTAGAACTCCTGCTTCCCATGACTTCCATCTCCAATTCCAATAAACACCTTCTTTTTAAAAATTTCCTGATATTACCCAGTAGCTCTCATCCCTATTTCCCTTTGAAGTACTCATGTTTTTTATGATCCCTTCTCCCAACACTTTTCTTGCCTTCAATGTATTTTTAATGACTGGTGACCTCTTACCTCTCCTTCTTTTACTTTAACCTCTAACTTCTCCTAATCAATATGCCTTAAAACTCTTTCAGTGAAGGCAAAATGATGAAGAAAGTAGAAATATCAGTGGTTTCCAGAGGTTACAGCAGGAGTATGGGGTCAGAGAAGGAATGATGAATAGAAAGCACAGAGAACCTTGGGGCAGTCACACTATTCTGTATGTACTAGGATTCACTTGTCCAAACACATAGAATATATAGTACCAAGAGTGAGTCCTGAAGTAAACAATGGACGTTGGGTGATAATGATATGTCAGTGTAAGTTTATCAGTTATAACAAATTACCACTCTAATATGGGATGTTGTTAGTAGGAGAGTCCACCTAGGGAGGAAGGGCAGGAGGTATACAGAAAACCTCTCTACTCTCTGTTCAGTTTTACTATTTAAAGAAAAGGAAAGAAGAAGAAAACTTCAAATACCTCCCTATAATCCTATACTAAATGATACT
The DNA here is from genome assembly GCF_000001405.40 of Homo sapiens. Lineage (NCBI taxonomy): Eukaryota > Metazoa > Chordata > Mammalia > Primates > Hominidae > Homo > Homo sapiens. Next base: position 714,779 of record NT_167247.2, read on the forward strand.
CTAGCTATCTTGCCCCCTCTTAATTACCAGAAGTTTCTAATCTCTACATATGTTAAGTACTCAAAAAATATTTCAAAAAATCAAATATCAAAAATAAATTACTCAAGCTACGTCTCACAAAAAAGTATCTTTCTTTCCCAGTTATGATTTTTCTTCCTTCTTCTGATATCCTCACAACTGAACATTTCCTTCGAATACACCCACCCACCCATAAATGACCAATCTTTCTCTTTTTTTTGTTGTTTTGGAGATGGAGTCTCGCTCTGACTCCCAGGCTGGAGTTCAGTGGCATGATCTCGGCTCAATGCAACCTCCACCTCCCAGGTTTAAGCAATTCTCCTGCCTCAGCCTCCAGAGTAGCTGGGACTACAGGCATGCACCACCACGTCCAGCCAATTTTTGTATCTTTAGTAGAGATGGGGTTTTTCCATGTTGGCCAGGCTGGTCTTGAACTCCTGACCTCAGGTGATCTGCCTGCCTCAGCCTCCCAAAGTGCTAGTATTACAAGCCTGAGTCACCGTGCCCGGCCCAAATGACCATCTTTCTTACCACTCATCCACAAAGCTCACAAAACGAGAAGCTGCTCAAAACACTGAGATGCCCCTCTAGGCTGGTAACAGCGTGACTTAGAATAAGTCCTCCAACTTTTCTAGCTTTCTCACCGAAAAATGGGCCTGTGGCAGCACAGTTTTATGAGTAACTAAGATATGGGATGTAGAAAGACCCTAGAAGAGGAAAAAAAACACAACAATGGTCATTGTTAAAACAGGGGACTACATTTGTCCTTGGTTCCACCACTGTCCCACAGCCCCAGCTGGTAGTTTGGCTTCTCCCATGCAGCCTCCCTCTTAGGCCCAACCATAGTATCAAAACTCTCAACAGCTATCCCAGACCTGCTGGGTCATCCCTCACAACAGAAACTCAGTGTTTGGGTAGAGTGGAGAGGCTTGTAGTGATCTTAACTTTCCTGAGAATGCTCAGCCTAATTATGTCCCGGGTATAGAATCCAACCTCATCCTTGAAAAACTGAAAGCTGTCCACAGCTATAATCCTAAAATATTTTATTGGAATCTTAAAAGCAGACATATGTTCATTACAACATCCACTGCTCTGTTAAGTACTCCATCTGGCATGGCACAGAATATGGCAACAATGTCCAAGCTGAGAGACAAATCAACAGTGCAATTACATTCACAATAGCCACACACACACACACAATACCTAGGAAAGCAGCTAGACAGAGAGATGAAAGACCTCTACAACAAGCAAGCATTACAAAACACTGCTGAAGGAAATCAGAGACAACACACACAAAAAATGGAAAAAACATTCCATGTTCATGAATAGGAAGAATCCGTATTATCCAAATGGTTATATGACCCAAAGTAACTTACAGATTCAATGCTATTCCTATTAAACTACCCATGACATTTTTCACAGAACTAGAAACAACTATTCTAAAATTCATATGTAACCAAAAAAGAGCACAAATAGCCAAAGCAATCCTAAGCAAAAAGAACAAAGCTGAGGACATCACATTATCCAACTTCAAGCTATACTACAAGGTTACAGTAACCAAAATAGCATGGTACTGTTACAAACACAGATACATAGACCAATGGAACAGACCAGAGAACCCAGAAATAATGCCGCACACCTACAACCATCTTATCTTCAACAAAGTCAACAAAAATAAGCACTCACTATTCAATAAATGGTGCTGGGCTAACTGGCTAGCCGTATTAGGAAGATTGAAACTGGACCCTTTCCTTTCACCATATGCAAAAGTCAACTCGAAGTAAATTAAAGATTTAAAAGTAAAACCTAAAACTATAAAAACCTTGGGAGAAAATCCAGCAAATACCATTCTGTACATACAAATGGGTGAAGATTTCATGATAAAGTTGTCAAAAGTAATGGAAACAAAAACAGAAATAGACAAGTGGAACTTAATTAAACTAAAGAGCTTCTGCACAGCCAAAGAAACCATCAAGACAGTAAATAAACAGCCTACAGTATGGGAGAAAATGTTTGCAAACTATGCATCTGACAAAAGTCTAATATCCAGAGCTTATAAGGAACTTAAAGAGAAAAAAAATTTTTTTTAAATGGGCAAAGGACATGAACAGACACGTCTCAAAAGAAGACATACATGTAGCCAAGAAGCACATGAAAAAAATGCCCAATATCACTATTCATTAGAGAAATGCAAGTGAAAACCACAGTGAGATACCATCTCATATCAGTCAGAATGACTCAAAAAATAACAGATGCTGGAAGCATCGTGGAGAAAAAAGGAATGCTTACACACTGCTGCTGAGAATGTATGTTAGCTCATACATGCTGCTGAGAATGTATGTTGAAAGTGGTTTGGAGATTTCTCAAAGAACTTAAAACTGAACTGCCATTTGACCCAGCAATCTCATTACTGGAAATATACACGAAGGAATATAAATTATTCTACCATAAAGAGTCATGTATGTGTATGTGTTCACAATAGCAAAGACATGGAATCAACCTAAATACCTATCAACAGTGGACTGGAGAAGAAAAATGCATGGTACTTATATACCATGGAATACTATACACCCATGAAAAATGAAATCATGGCCTTTGCAGCAACATGGATCCTGATGGAGACCATTATCCTAAACAAATTAAAGCAGGATTGGAAAACCAAATGCTGCATGTTCTCACTTGTAAGTGGGAGCAAAACATTGAATACACATGACCACAAAGAAAGTAACAATAGACACCAGGGCCTACTTGAGTTGGAAGAATGGCAGGATGGTGAGGGTCAAAAAACTACCTATTGGTTACTGTGCTCACTACCTAGGTGACAAAATCATTTGTACACCAAACCCCAATGACACGCAATTTACCCGTGTAACAAACCTGCACCTGTGCCCCTTGAAACTAAAATAAAAATTAGGGGAAAAAAAGGAGAAGAGAGATAAAAGGGCAAACAAAAAAATTGTTCAAAAAATGTTGGCAAAATTTTTTCAAATTCGATAAAAATAGCAATCCACATTATCAATACCACATCTACATACATCATAAACTGAGAAAAACAAAGATTTAAAAAGAAAAATCTGAAAACCCGCTGAAGTGGTAGAGACATATTGCATAATAAGGAATAACAATAAAAATGACTGCCAACATCTCAACAGAAACAAAGGGAGTCAGAAGGCTATGAATTATCTTTCAAATGTGAAGAGAAAAAAAATCTGCCAACTTAGAATTACCCAGTGGGGGAAAATAATCTTTCTTAAATGAAGGCAAAATAAAGCCATCTGAAATTAAAAAGAAGCTGAGAAAATTTGTTGCCAGAAGATACTCACTAAAAGAATAAAAAAGGATAAAGGAAGTTTTTCAGGCTATAGAGAAATTATAATATTTGGAGTTTCAAATCTATGAGAAGGAACGAAAAACTTTCAAGATTGGAAACATAAAAGTGTATATAAAAGTTATCTTCTTCCTTTTCTTAAATTCATTAAAAGTCTAAAAATAATGATAATATATTACAAGGGTTGTAACATATGTAAAGTAAAACACGGCAATAGCTGCACAAAGAATGGGAGGAATTATAACTAATTTTATTATTATCAGATTTTTATATTCTATGTTAAAGGTATTGTATTAAGTCAGAGTAGACTCTTATAAGTTCAGGATCCATATGGTATCCCCAAGAAAAAAACTTGCACTTTAAATATAAAGACAGCTTAATCATAAATACACTTATAGATTAAAAATAAAATTATAATATAAATTATGAAATAAATAATAAATATAAATTAATATATATACATTAAAAATAAAATTCACCAGATATGGTGAATTAAAGAGGACAGCAAATCCTTCCTTCCTCCACCTCACAAATAAATTATAAAACCAGAAAAATTGTCAAAAACAATCATTTCAGGTGTCTGGAAATAAACCAAGGCAAATAATAAATTGAGAACCACTTTTTCATAAAGCAGTGCTAGAAGCTTAGGTAAGAATCATAGGTAACTGTGCCTGTCCTGTGAAAAGTGCTCCAGTACTACTCCAACTTAGTTGATGGTAGTTTTGCCAGTCAGGAATGGCCATGAAAATCAACAATTACACTATTAAAGAGGGTTGAGATGATTTGGAACAAAGATAAAAACTCATGCCTAGGGTTTATGTCAGTAAAAGTAACAAACTCAATCGTGTTTAAGGCTCAGGTATCCAGAGGTTACAGTTTTAATGAGGCGAACAGTGAACCTATCAGAAATGTAATGGGAAGATGCTGGGAATTAGATAGCTATAGAAGAATTAGATAAGATCTCTACACATTCCTGGCTGACTGGGAAACTACAGGTATGTACAGAAGAAACATGAGAGAAACCAGCATGAAGTAAAATCCAAGACAAACTTAAAAGCTCTCTGAATTTGAATATGGTCCCAGCACAAAGGCAGATGCATTAGCAGAGAATGGAAGCCTTTTGAAATCAAAAGTATTTGACCAAAACCTTCACCCAATCATTGACTGAACACTAAGCTGTGCAAGAACAAGGGAAACTTCTGGGATCCAAGATTTTAAAATATGAATTTTTAAGAGCTAGGTTGAGACCATGGAAGCCATAAATGGTGGAAGATACACAGTCCACAGATTATGTCCAATAATGTTAACAAAATAATTCTTAGAAAAAAATAAGAATATAAACTTGTCAATATAGTATCTAAAATGAGACATGCAAAGAAACAGGAAAGTATAATCAAGTCTTAGAGAAAAGACTGCAGTTAATGGAAACTGACTGTAAGTGGGACTGCTGTTGAATTTAGCAAACAGAGATTCAAAACATCTAATATAAATAGTTAAATTAAAACCATTTTTAAAGAATTCATGGACAATATAGTCTTTCATTGGGTAGGGAAGATCCACTATCAATATAGATGGGTATCATCCAATCAGCTGGGGCCCAGATGGAAAAAAAAGGCATGAAAGGATGCTCTTTATCATTGGTTATTAAGAACATGAAATTAAACACAATACTTACAAGTCTACTAGAATGACTATAATAAGAAACTGATGGTATAAGATGTTGACAAAGATGTGAAATACTGATTAAGTGTTGGCAAGAATATGTCAAAATTGACAGAGCCACTTTGGAAAACAATTTGGCAGGTTTTTTATAAAAAAAATTTACTATACAACCCAATAATTCCACTGTCAGGTAATATCCAAGACAATTTAAATCATATGCCTTCAATGACTCTTCATAAGAACATTATTAGTAACACCCAAAAAGTAGAAACAATCCAAATGTCATCAACTGGTGAGATCAGTGGAACTGAATAGAAAGTGCAGAAATAGAGCCAAACACATAAGATCTATTGATTTTACACAAAGACACCAAGATAATTCAATACAGGAAACGATATTCTTTGCAACAAATGGTACTGGAGGAACCAGATATAGGTATAAAAACTGTACCATTATGATTTGTTTAAAAAAGCAGCCATTTTTTTTATCGCTTCTCGGCCTTTTGGCTAAGATCAAGTGTAAAAAAGCAGCCATTTTCATAATATTTTATTATATGTATGAAAATGAATTATGACTCCTATATCACAACATACAAAAAAATTAACATGGGTCATATAAATAAACATATAAGCTAGAAATTAAAAGCTTCTAAAGAAGAACATAAAAGAAAATATTTATGACCTTAGAATAGGTAAAGATTTCTTAGGATTCAAAAAGCACTTAACTGCAAAAAGATAATTGATGAATTTTGAGTTAATCAAACTTAAAAGCTTCTTCTCCTTTGAAGACGCCATTCAAATTGAAACATCAAACCACAGACTGAAAAAATAGCACAGTGCATTTATTTGACAAAGGACTTTTATGCAGAATATATGAAGAACTCATATACTTTTATCATAAAAGGAAACACTATAAAATATGGACAAATGACTTGAACAGACACCTCACAAAAGAATATATAAATGACCAATGAAAAGATGCTCAATGACTTAGTTGTTGGATAATTGTAAATTTAGAAACTACTGTGAGATTAATAAGTCTAGAGATCTAATGTATAGCCTGAGGACTACAGTTGACAACATTGTATTATATACTGGAAATTTCTAAGAGAATAGATTTTAAGTACTCTTACCACAAGAAAAGTAACTGTGAGTTGATAGATATGTTAATTGGCTTGACCATAGTAATCATTTAACTATGTATATCAAAACATCATTTGGGAGGCCGAGGCGGGTGGATTGCCTGAGCTCAGGAGTTCGAGACCAGCCTGGGCAACATGGTGAAACCCCCTCTCTACTAAAACACAAAAAAGTGGCCGGGTGTGGCAGCATGCGCCTGTAATCCCAGCTACTTGGGAGGCTGGGGCAGGAGTATCGCTTGAACCCAGGAGGCGGAGGTTTTAGTGAGCCGAGATCGTGCCATTGCACTCCAGCCTAGGAGACAGAATGAGACTTGTCTCAAAAAAAAAAAAAAAAAAAAAAGGAAATCCTGTATATCCTAAGCATATACATATACAACAAAAAATTTTCAAAATTAGCCTGGCTTGGTGGCTTACACATGTAACTCAGCACTTTGGGAGGCCTAAGCAGGTGGATCACCTGAAATCAGGAGTTCGAGATCAGCCTGGTCAATGTGGTGAAACACCGTCTCTACTAAATATACAATAATTAGCTGGGCATGGTGGTACATGTCTATAATCCCAGCTACTCAGGAGGCTGAGGCAGGAGAATCACTTGAACCTGGGAGGCGGAGGTTCCAGTGAGCCGAGATCACACCACTGTACTCCAGCCTGGGCGACAGAGTGAAACTCAGTCTAAAAAAAAAAAAAGCCGGGCACGGTGGCTCACGCCTGTAATCCCAGCACTTTGGGAGGCCGAGGTGGGCGGATCACGAGGTCAGGAGATCGAGACCATGGTGAAACCCCGTCTCTACTAAAAATACAAAAAATTAGCTGGGCGTGGTGGCGGGCGCCTGTAGTCCCAGCTATTCGGGAGGTTGAGGCAGGAGAATGGCGTGAACCCGGAAGGCAGAGTTTTCAGTGAGCCGAGATCGCGCCACTGCACTCCAGCCTGGGCAACAGAGCAAGACTCCGTCTCAAAAAAAAAAAAAATTAAATTAAAAAGCTATAAAAGCTATAATGAGATATCACCTGATATCCACTAGAATGTCTATCACATGACCCTGAAATTCCACAAATAGGTTTTGACCAAAGAGAAATGAAAATACACATACACAAAAGACTTGTACATGAAAGTTTATAGCAGATTGATTCACAACAGCAAAAACTGGAAACCACCCCACACTGTTTCTCTATTACAGCATAAAAAGTTATCCCAAAACTTAATGGCTTCAAACAACAAATATTTATTATCTCACAGTTTCTATGGGCCAGCAATTCAGAAGCAGCTAAATAGTAGCTGGTGATTCTAGCTTAGGATCTTTCTTTTAACTTTTTAAAAACTTTTTGTGAATACATAGTAGATGTATCTATTTTAGGATCTTTCTTGACATTGTAGTCAAGAAGTCAGCTGATTGTATTTCTAAGATTTGGATGAAGCTGAAGGATTCACTTACAAGATGTCCCAGTCACATGTTGCACGTTTTTAGTAGGGAGCCTTAGTTTCTCCCCATATGTGTGTTTCCATTCACTGCTAGGATGGCTTCCTCCAAAGTAAACAATCCACAAAGAAGAAGTCACAATGTTACTGTGACATAGTCTTTGATGTCACATCCCATCGTTTCTACCAGATTCTATTTGTTAAAACTGAGTCACTCAGTACAGCTCCCATGCAAAGGTAAGGGAAGTAGGCTCTACTTTGTGAAGGGGATATAAGAAAATTGGGGGCCATATTTTAAAACAACCACAAACCTGAATGTTCATCAACAAGTGAATGGATGAAAAAATTGTGATATATTTAGGCAAGAGAATACTACTCACTGATATTTTTAAAAAAGAATTGGACTATTGATACACAAAACAACAGGGATGATTCTCCAAACTGTGGTACAGAGCATAACACACCAAACACAAAGAGTATGTGCTGAATGAATCTTTTATGTGAAGTTCTGGAAAAAGCAAAACAAAATGATAGAAATCAGAGCAGTGGTTGCCTAGAGCATGGGGAGAATTATTGTAAATGGGCATGATGAAATTTCTGGAGTGATGGAAATGTTCTATATCTTCAGTAGGGTAATGGTTGTCTGGATGTATACATTTGTTCACATTCAGTGAATTGTCCATTAAAATATGTGCACTTCATTATGTAAATTATACCTTAATTTTAAAAAGAGAAAGGAAATAAACCAAAGTCAGGGGGGATTGAATGAGCACATTCGAGGCTTGAGAGGAAGGCTGGAAATATGGGACACTCAGAAGGTGTGGATCAGGAGAGAATAGTGCCCTTTTACTCCCCAGTGACACGGAGAAGCAGTGGTGACCTTTTTATATGCCAAAGGGAACTCAGTTGCTGGCACACTTCCTTTGAATCTTCACATTCCTTCTTAACCATTAGTAGCTGTGGCCAATTAGCTGTCTATAGGTTATGGGGCACCTAGTCTTGGCAGAATTAATGAGCTACTTCTCTCTATGGGATGGGAGTCTTGGGATTCCTCCCCCCATCATCTCACTATGCCTTTTTTTCTGCCTTTAATGTCACTAAAAGAGAGGTTAACTTACTGGATTGAGGAAAAGAAGTCGTTAGCAAGAGTTCCATAGTAAAGCGCTAACTCTAGCTCATGTGTCTGGCAGAGCAATGGTGGAATGTGGTTAGCGCATAGCTTCTTCAGCCAGCCCACCTGGGTTAAAATTTGGTCTTTGGTGCTTACTAGCTATACTTTCCAGAACAAGATATTCAACCTCTACATGTCTTCAATTATTGATCTGTAAGGGAAGGTAATAATAGTACCCACCTTTTGAAGTTATAAGGAGCCGTAAATATGAAGCGCTTTTTTGAGTGCCCATGGAAGTAAGCACTAGCAATCAATACTCTTAACTGAAATCCAAGTTCCAATAATCATCAAGAGTATAACATTCCTCTTTAGTTTGCTTTTAGTTCTCATTGTGAGATCACAAGTGGAGGCTCCAACCAGTCCAGAAGTTCCTTTCTATGGGGAAGCTGTGGCAGCAAGGCCGTGAAGAGAGTCTGACTTAATTGCAAGTAAGTCACAAGTTTATTCCCCTACAGCCCATCAATTTCCACATGTTCTTAAGACAGTTCTGAATCAAACAGGGTCTACAATCCTGGCACTGACACTCATTGGCAGGGTAACCCTGGGCAAGTTACTTAACCTCTTTGAGACTGTTTGTTCTTCTGCAGAGATATTAACTGTCTAGCAGGGTTCTTTTAAGAAGCAGATATTCCAGGAAATTATTTAGCACAGTGTTAGTATATAGGACATCAACAGATAGTAACTGTCAAAACTATAAGTGGTTATTATTATTGAACTGTAGGGCAGAATTTGTCTCATAACTTTGTAGCAGTTAGTACATGACTGGCTCTTTGAGGACCAAAAAAGAATAAATTAATGTGCTTCTGTGTGGAGTTAATGGGATGTAGGGAAAGTAGTGCTTGCCTATTATTGGTGTCAGAGAAAAGGACCAGAAGAAACAGGGTAAGGAAAAGGCATGTTATTAAAGATAGAAAATAGGAGAGTGCAGAGGGTCAAAGGAAGATATAAACTGAAGAGATTAAGAAAAAACATACAGTGAGACAAGTTGCCAAGAGAGTAAGAATGTAAGAAATGCTGCAGTTTATGGATGAATAAAACTCTGGACAATTGCTGAGACACAAAAGATATGAGGCTGCAAAGTTTAAAAAGGAACGATACATTTAAAATAATCAGAATAGTGTTTACTTCTTCAGTGGGAGAGAAGGAGATGTGATCAGGGAGGAGAACACAGAAGACTTCTAAGATACCAGTAATATTTGATCTGTTCTTAAATCAGGAGGAGATTCAGGTACACCATGTGTTTATTATTCCATAAAATCCATAGATGTGTTTTATATACTTTTTGTTTATATGATTTTTAAAAAATTAAGGGAACAAATCTTATCCTCAAGGAGAGACGTAATGATGGAGGAAGGAATATAGAAGGAGACAAAAAGGAGGGAGTCTTGATGAAAAGGGAGATGGGAGGCAGCTTTTAACACCAGACAGGGTCCTGTGATGCAGAGGTGATTGTGCCATCCCATAAAGTCCCAGGGCACTGTCTGCCAATGAGACCACCAACTTGCTTGCCCTAAATGGCCACATCCCCTAAACGGCCCTCCTGCCATTGTCTGTGCTCAGAAAACCCTCAGTTTCTGCCTCTTACCTGCCAGGGTGGTGCCGCATCCCACCCCCATCATTGAGCTTGCCTCATGTGTCTCAGCACAGTCTTTTACAGCAAAAATGCATGTCACCTCCTCCTAAAGGCTTTCCGTGGCCCACCCACCCAGATTCCTCCTTTATTGTGCAGACTCTTTCCTAACCCACACCTCATCTTAATTTATTTGCCTTCAATTCTGGGCGGCGGTGTTGGGGAGGGTCTCAATTTTCCCATGTATTTCCCAGTGTTTATTGAATACATGAGGCCATACTCTTCTAGTCTCTCTGCTTCTCATGCTAGGAACTGAACCGACCAGCCTATACTTTAAGGCTTGTTATTTCACTGACTAAGGAAAGGCTACTTAAGAGGGCAAGCTCAGACATACATAATCTGGAGTGGATCTTCCATGGGAAAACACGTATATAACAGAAATTATTGGCAAAACTATAAGTATGGTCTACAGAGTAAGTAATAATATTTTATTATTTATTTAGTTAGTTTTGAGACAGAGTTTCTCTCTCGTTGCCCAGGCTGGAGTGTAATGGCACGATCTCAGCTCACTGCAACTTCCACCTCCCAGGTTGAAACGATTCTCCTGCTTCAGCCTCCTGAGTAGCTGGGATTACAGACACCCACCACCACACCCCGCTAATTTTTTTTTTTTTTTTTTTTTTTTTTTGTAGAGACGAGGTTTCACCATGTTGACCAGGCTGATCTCAAACATCTGACCTCAGGTGATCCGCCCGCCTCAGCCTCCCAAAGTGCTGGGATTATAGGCGTGAGCCACCACACCCGGCCAATAATACTTTATCAATGTTGGCTTTCCTGTATTTAGTAACTGAGCTGTTTTTACACTAAAAAAAAATTCTATCTTAGAAACATGAAGAAGTGAAGAGGCATTATATATACAACTCACTGTTCAGTAGCTCAGGGTAAATATAATTGCATATGCAAAGATAAAGATGTAATGATAAAAATGTCAAGTGTTAGCACTTTACTAATATAGATAAAGAACATTCAGAAATTCTTTAAATTACTCTTAAAATTTGGGGGTATGAATTTTTATAAAAATAATGTTTTAAATCTTAAATAGTGAATAGAATTAAGAAAGTAACAAATTCTAATTCCTTCCTTTTTTTCTTTAAATTCTTCTAGATCCTGAATAATTTCTACTTAAACGTCCCAATATCAACTCTCTATTTTGCTATTGACATAATCTTATTTGAGAGGCAAAAAATTTTAAAAATTATATCATCTTTTTAATTTCTAAGCCCCAGAACAAGACAATTGGCAGCATTTTTTTCATGTCATTTTGCTACATTCTACATAATGTTAAGTTGAGGTTAGGGATTTTCATTTGTGGAGGAAGCTCTTACATTTAGTTTAATGAATCATAATTTTTTTAATGGAGAAGGAACAAAATACCTCATTGATTTTTCTATGAGTGGAGTTAATACACACAGCGGAGAAATCTCTTTGTTAATTCTACACTCTGCCTCTGATTGACACCTCTGCAAACAAAGATAAAGTAGATAAAACATGAATAATTCCAGGAAACTTATGCCCCAGAATACAGAATAATTTTGCATACATATGAATAGTAGGGCAATTCTATCAAATGATTCTTTTCTAATTCTTTATGGATGTACATAATGAAATATTCAGAACTACCACAACATTTAGAATAAGATAGAGCCTAACAATTTATTGTTGAATTAATGAAGATCGGTTAATTAATCCATGTTTTACATCAGCTTTCTTTGCCCTCAACCAGGAAGTCAGAGGCACCAATGTGAGGTTCCACCTGCTTTCCAGCACATTCTTGGTTTCCTCACTTCTGCTAGACAACGTTTGATCAGAAGGAACAGGGAACGAGAAGGAGCTGCTGGATGACGATAAGCCTGGGAAAGGGAGGCTGGGTGAGCAGAGACAGAAAAGAAACACCTACCTGCTGTGACCTCACAAACACCCAGGCTGAGTTTTGATAAGACAGGTTGAATCACACTGGGGTGACAGCCTCATCCCTCCAGGTACAAACAAGAACAGGCCATGGTTAACCAAAGCTCCCCCATGGGCTTCCTCCTTCTGGGCTTCTCTGAACACCCAGCACTGGAAAGGACTCTCTTTGTGGTTGTCTTCACTTCCTACCTCTTGACCCTGGTGGGCAACACACTCATCATCCTGCTGTCTGTACTGTACCCCAGGCTCCACTCTCCAATGTACTTTTTCCTCTCTGACCTCTCCTTCTTGGACCTCTGCTTTACCACAAGTTGTGTCCCCCAGATGCTGGTCAACCTCTGGGGCCCAAAGAAGACCATCAGCTTCCTGGGATGCTCTGTCCAGCTCTTCATCTTCCTGTCCCTGGGGACCACTGAGTGCATCCTCCTGACAGTGATGGCCTTTGACCGATACGTGGCTGTCTGCCAGCCCCTCCACTATGCCACCATCATCCACCCCCGCCTGTGCTGGCAGCTGGCATCTGTGGCCTGGGTTATGAGTCTGGTTCAATCGATAGTCCAGACACCATCCACCCTCCACTTGCCCTTCTGTCCCCACCAGCAGATAGATGACTTTTTATGTGAGGTCCCATCTCTGATTCGACTCTCCTGTGGAGATACCTCCTACAATGAAATCCAGTTGGCTGTGTCCAGTGTCATCTTCGTGGTTGTGCCTCTCAGCCTCATCCTTGCCTCTTATGGAGCCACTGCCCAGGCAGTGCTGAGGATTAACTCTGCCACAGCATGGAGAAAGGCCTTTGGGACCTGCTCCTCCCATCTCACTGTGGTCACCCTCTTCTACAGCTCAGTCATTGCTGTCTACCTCCAGCCCAAAAATCCGTATGCCCAAGGGAGGGGCAAGTTCTTTGGTCTCTTCTATGCAGTGGGCACTCCTTCACTTAACCCTCTCGTATACACCCTGAGGAACAAGGAGATAAAGCGAGCACTCAGGAGGTTACTAGGGAAGGAAAGAGACTCCAGGGAAAGCTGGAGAGCTGCTTAATATACTTTCGAAAGTAAGAAGAGTTTCTTCAAGATTTATGAACATGTTAAGTTTTCCAGACTACTACCCTTCCCACATACACCTGAGCCACTGTGGTGGGTCACAGTGTGGCTATGTTATCTATGAGAGGGAGAATGAGAAAGAGAGGGACAGAGAGATAAAAGAAATTGGGTGAGAGGAGATAGGTAGCTCCATAAGGCACACAAATTCAAATATTATCATTCCTATCACTGTCCATTCTTAATATTTCTATCCTCCATTCTGTTCTTTTTACTGTCATCACTTCTATAGATTTCCTAACTCCACCATGCCTATTTCTGGTTATATAATTGCTCTCCAATTGTCATGTCAGTGTAGGGGAACTACTCCATCATAGCATTCTGGACACCTTGCATGTATCTACGTAGGTCATGTAAGCAAAGGCTTGAAGAACAGCTAATCTGAGATTTAGAAGAATGCTTTTTGATCCTCCTGGAATATGAGAGGATGGGAGGCCCTTTAGAACCTGCCTCAATGCCATCTCTCACTCTCCTTCTTATATCCCTGGGAGTATGTCATGTGACAAGTCTTTACTGTCTCCCAGGTTTTGGATGGAGCATGGGGTTTTCTGCCCCACACCCTTTAGGATATAGCTGAAGAATATAATGAGGAATAGCTGGATTCTAGAACTGACTCCTCACCAGTGGTATATTCCACAACAGTGTCACAGTCGTCTGGCCCCTTTGGTTTCCGTGTCATCCTTTTTGGTGTGTAGGACAAGGAGCCAGGGAATTGGCACGTTTGGCTTTTACTTCTTTTTTATATGTAAATAATAAGCCATCTAAGTGTAAAAGTGGCTCATATCTTCTCCAGCCAAATCAGCTAGGCCATGGCCTTGCCTTGCTTCTCATGAGTGTGCTTGACAGTCATCACCGTCACTCTATCTTCATTTCTGGTTCTTACCGTGTTAGCTTAGTTCATTCAAGCTACTATCACAAGCTACACATAAATTGGGTGGTTTATAAATAACAAACATTTCTTTCTTACAGTTCTGGAGGCTGGAAACTCCAAGATTAAGGCAGATTTCATGCCTATTGAGGGCCTGCTTTCTGATTATAGAAGGTGACTTCTTGCTGTGCCCACACATGGTGAAAGGGACTACCAACTCTCTGGAGTCTCTTTTATGAGGGCACTAATTCCAATTATGAAGCCTCTTCCCTCATGACCTAATCACTGCCCAAAGGCCCCATGTTCTAATGCCATCATCTTGGTGGTTTAGGATTTCAACATATGAATTTTGGAAGGACATAAGCATTCAACCCCCTGCACATGTCTTCTTTCCTACTTCCTCAAGGTTCTTTCTGTCCAGTTGCTCCTTCTTCTATTGACCCTTTTTTGCCTTCTCTTTCTCCTTCACTGCCTCAAGTTACAGCCAGAGGAAAGGAGGAACTAAAACTTAGCAAATCTATAATCACATGCAAATACACAGAATGGATTGTTACAACCAAAATGCAGGCTCTATTGTTTTCAATTTAGCAGCCTTTCAAATGTATATGGTTCTGGCCACATTAAAGTTGCAAATAACACTTTTTTTGAGACTGAAATAAAGGTGAAATATTGGAAGGAAAAGTTTAATGTTTTATTTGTAGTATTTTTTTCCATTTTCCACTAAAGAGTCCAGAAAAAAAAAGCAAACATAATATAACCTTTGAGTTATAACAGAATATTTCAACAAGAACTTTGTTGCTATCAAGTAACCATATAGTATAGGTTACACAGAACTCCTATCTTCTGGATTAAGACTCCGTCTTCAAAGTATTTGGGCACCCTGGTTACTGAACATGAGCCAGAAGAAAATGAACTGCTTTTCCTTAAGCATCTCTCTACCCCTGGGTCACCTCCAGTGGAGTGGTATGTCAAGAAATGTAATTTGTCCTTTCTGATGCCATAATCTACCATATTTTTTTAAATTAAGTCATGCCAGGAGGAGATTTCTCTGCTCCTCATCACATGTTTCCACCAGAAACATGGGCAGCTCCGCATCTTGGGCTTCACCACCTTTAAGGTGAGGTGGATGGTCTTCTTCTTGGAAATTTCATAAGACGATAGCATTTTCTTGGGCTTTGGGGTCTTAAAGCCCAGCAGAAAAACCAAGTCCTGCATGGGAACCTTGGTCTTAGACCAGAGCTGTTCACCTACCTTCTTCACTCCATTTTAGCAGCCAATGTCATTAATTCCCATTCCTCACAATTGACACTCATTTAGGCAATTCTATATAAAGTTAAAATATTCTTCAGAAACGAAGATGAAGTAAAGATATTCTCAGTGAAAGTAGGTATCACCAACTCATCTGATTTAAAAGAAATGCTTTTAAGCATGGATTGCACTGCTTCAGGCAGAGAGGAAATAAAACCAGAGGGAAAATCAGAATATCATGAATGAAAAAGGAACAACAGAAAGAGTAATTATCTGGGTAAATGCAATCGTATATTATTCTCTTTTTGAATTATTTAAAATATGTATCTCTGTTGGAACTAAAAAGTACAACACTGATGGGGATTCATACAAATGTAATACATATGACAATTACTGAATAAACTAATAATAATAAATGGATCTATTCATTCTAAGTAGACCATGAAAGGGTAAATATTTATATCATAATCCCTAAAGCAACAATTCCAATAAAACAAAAAACCATACTGTTGTTATAGGCGTTTGAACCAGAGTGACTCCATCTTGAGTAGTGGCTGGGTAAAGTAAGGCTGAAACCTGCTGGGCTGCATTCCCAAAAGGTTAGGCATTCTCAGTCAGAGGATGAGATAGGAGGTTGGCATAAGATATAGGTCACAAAGATCCTGCTGATAAAACAGGATGCTGTAAGGAAGCCGGCCAAAACCAAGATGGCAATGAAAGTGACCTCTGGTCCTCCTCACTGTTCATTATACTCTAATTATAATGCATTAGCATGCTGAATGACACTCCCATCAATGCCGTGACAGTTTACAAATGCCATGGTAATGTCCAGAAGTAACCCTATGTAATCTAAAGAGGGGACGAACTTTCAGTTCTGAGAATTGCCCACCGTCTTCCCAGAAAACTTATGAATAATCCACTCCGTGTTTAGTATATAATCAAGAAATAACTGTAAGTATACTCAGTTGAGCAGCCCATGCCACTGCTCTGTCTATGGAGTAGTCATACTTTATTCCTTTACTTTCCTAATAAACTTGCTTTCATTTTATGGACTCGCCCCAAATTCTTTCTTACATGAGATCCAAGAATCCTCTCTTGGGGTCTGGATTGGGGCCCCTTTCCAGTAACACAGTGACATCAACAAAAATAACAGAGTAATGACTTCCAAAAATGACCTACTTCCTAAGAGTAAAATGAACTATGGAAGAATTGTCAGAATTAATATTGTTTAGAACTCTAGAAATTAACCAAAGGCTTGCTGCAATCTGGGGAGTGTTTGTTCAAGAATAATAGCTGAATCTTGATAAGAACAGTGAGCTCTGTGATGTTTTAACTGGTTCCACTCCTGTTCCTTCCTCCTCAGCTCTTAAAAACCAACGGTCCACAATCATGGTGAAAACCAGCAGACATGAAATCACTGGAGGGGACACAATAGGGTTACAGATCCTTTAATCCCTTATTTCCAGAGGACTGTTATTATTTTACCTGTCTGGTTGTTCCCTAGAACTCACAATGCTATCCTTATTTGACTTGACTCAGAGCTATCCCAGAGAGAACAATGTATTTCCTGGGGAAATGAGTAAAAAGAATCATAGGCAGTTGTTGAACATCATGGTTGCCGACGGTCATAAATAACAGTTGGAACAAACAATAGCCTAACCAAGAACTTAAAAACGAAATGTCAGGGAATGAGATGCCCATAAAGGGGATTGAAAAGCCTTAATATACTCCAGAAAGTTCCGACGGCCACATGCATGCATAGATGTGGGCATGACAAGTGCTGCATATATGCTTTGAACAGACCTGAGCAGGCTCTAAGCTCTAACCCTGAATAAGTTTGAGGCACTGCACAGACAGGAAATGAAGGCTAGGACACAGTGTAAACTGCTTGGTTGGGCTTTGAAGACCTGTATCTACCTGCACACAGAGCCTCTCTACATACACTGGGAGACATTACTTCCAGGAACCTAAGGAAATCTTTGTCCAGTCTTTACCTGGCCACTAAGCTAACCAAGCAGAGACTTCAGTGGCCACGTTGAACAACAACAACAACAAAAACAAAACAAAACAAAAAAACAAAAAAGAACAGACTTGACAGATAGTTTTTAAAAACCTGATCAAAAAACATCCACTAGCAATAGTAAAATCTGGGAACAGAAAAAATATGACTTCCAGAGTTGCCACATTATACTGTTTAAAATGCTAAGTTAAAAAAGAAAGAACGAAATAATACAACATGCAAAGAAACAATAAAGTAAGGCCCATACACAGAAAAACAAGCAGTTAGTAGAAACTGTCTCTGGGACCAGGCTCTGAAGGAGGTGTCTGCCTCAGTGCATCCAAAACAGCCAGGTAACCTTTGCTTTGGGACTGAAGTAATGGCTCTGATTCTGAGATGAGAGCTCACACTAGCCCTTAATTTAATCTTTACTTGAGGTGAAATTCAATGGATTATTAGAATGGGCCCTAATCCAGTAGGACTAGTGTCCTTATAAGAAGACGAGATTAGGATACAAACACCACAAGGGACAACGATGTGAGGACACAGGGAGAAGATATCCATCTAGGAGCCAGGGAAAGAGTCCTCAGAAGAAACCTATCCTGCCCACTCCTTGATCTCAGACTTCCTGCCTCCTAGAACCGAGAGAGAATAAACTTCTGTAGTTTAAGCTACTCGGTTTGTGGTCTCAGTCACGGGAGTCCAAGCTGATGATCACAGTTGTGATGAGAACTTTACAAATTGAATCATGGGAAGTCTTGCAATAGTGAGATCTACGACCTGGTAGATCCTATAATCCTATAATCTGAGATGCTGATTCTACAACTCTGAGCTGCTAACGCTTTGCTTCTGGGTCACAGAAGCTTCTGGAAATAAACTTGTCCCACAAACTGATAAATGCCTGTGATTTTTCTAGAAATATGCCACAGGCAACCCTGGCATCTGCAGTCACATGTCAGTATATCAGTGGGGTTTCAGGAGAAGTTTAGGGATCAGCTCCAAGTGAACCTAGTGTTTCAATCTTCCCTCCTTGCTGGGATGATGGAGTCCCCTTCAGTCAAGGCTCTGTTGAAATGAAAGGGTCTGTTCCCAGTTCCACTCTTCCCACCCAGGGTTCTGGACTGTTAATGGTTGTCCTTTTTTTGTTTTCTTCCCGTTGATTCTTTTACCATCTTCCTCCTCTTACTGATTTTGCGTGAAGGGGGGTTTTGATGGAGGTAAGGTAGCTGATAAGAAATGAGGTAGTGAGAAAACTAGTGAGGGGTCTTCTGGCTGTCCCCAGACAGTCCTCGTGTGGTCCCCAGCCCAGCCTGCAGGTTCTGGGCTGGCTACCTCTTGGCCTCTGTGCTGTGTGTCTAGAGCTGGCCTCTAAGGGAAGGGCCCTGTGAGACCTGGCAGAACAGGGTAACTGGTCCAACAAACATCCCTCCTTTCCTCTGGCTCCACAGCTCAGGATTAGATCTAGATAGCATGTCCAGTAGGTGCCAGACTACCTCATTATATCCTGTGAGATGGGCCCAGAGGGCCTTGAGGTGGGTAAGCTTGAAGCTGGGCACCCAGAGCCTGAGACTGACAGTTCCTCCCTCCCTGTATCCTGCAGGAGGGGCCCTGTCCCAACAAGAGCCCCAGGGCCTGGCCTGAGGGTGTGGATGTGGGGAGAGGAGGGTCTGTGGGCCCAGGAGGGGGCATTTGTAGGGGACATTGAGTACTGCAGCTCAGAAGACATGAATGACAGGGTGGGAGGTGTCTTCCATGTCTGTCCATGGCACAGCACCCCTGTGATTCCCAAGGGCTGCCAGGGGCCCATTCATCTGAGCTCTTTATAGATCCTACATATGAGTCCTTCATCAGATGTGAGATTGAAACCACTTCCTCCAGCCTGGAACTTGCCTTTTCATTCTCCCCACAGGGTCTTTCAAAGTGCACACATCTTATATTTTGATGAAATCCAATTGATCAATTTTTTCTTTTATGCATCATACTTTTTGTATTCATCCAAGAAATATTTTCCTAACCATAAGTTACACTGATATTCTCTTTTCTTTTCTTACATACAGCTTACAGCTTTAGGTCTTACATTATGGTTTATGATAAATTCTGAATTAATTTTTATGTATGATGCCACGTATGGATTGAAGTTCTGTTCATATGTGCATATGTATATCCAATAATTCTAAGGACCGTTTGTTGCTAAGATTGTCCTTTCTCCACTGAATTTACTTTACACCTTCTTCAAAATCAATTGAAGATATATGTTAGGGTCTATTCTGGACCCTCTTCTGTTCTGTTGACCTATTTGTCCATCCTGTTACCAATATCACACCATCTGGATTTCTGAACCTTTATAATAAGCCTTGAAGTCGGGTATTATAAACTGTCTCACTTGCTTCTTCTTTTTTCAAAGTTTTTTTTTTTTTTTTTAACTATTCTAGGTCTACTGCATCGCCACACACAGAATCACTTTCTCATGAACATACATACATGTGCACCAGAAATATAAATATATGCACATCAAGACCAAGTGAAATTTATCCCAGGGATACTAGGCAGGTTTAACATGAAAAATGAGCCAATATAATTCACCACATTAACAGATTAAAAGGCAAAAACATTATTTCAGCAGATTCAGAAAAAGCATTAGACAAAATCCAATAGGCTCATAAAAAATTTCAGTCAACTAGGAATAGAAACGAAGTTTCTCAAAATGATAAAAGGCAGCTACCAAAAAAAAAATCCTATGGTTGATATTTAGTGGGTATTACCCTTAATAATGAAAGACTGGATGCTTTCACCCCAGATGAGGAACAAGCCAAGAATGTTGGCTCTCACCACTTATTTCAGCGTCTTAAGAAGATACCATCAGGGCAAAGGACTCCTTCCTTAAATAGACACAGATTTCCATGTGGAGTCATTATTCTCTTGCTGGATGTATGTCTTTTACCACTTCTCAGTCTGCATATCTCCTGGTGATGATTTGTTTCATCTTTTTTGTGTCTCCAAAAACCTCTTTATTTTGCCATCTCTTTGGGAAATATTTTGACTGTGTAAAAAATTTTAGGCTGACAAATTTATTTCTTTTAATATTTTAAAGAATTTTCTCCACTGTCATACAACTTGCAACTTTCCAACAAGAAATCTGCTTCATTCTTATCTTTGATTTTCTGTACATATATGTCTTGTTCTTCTCTGGCTGTTTGTAGGAGGACTCAGTTTCCTGGGCATAGATATGCACGGGAAAGATGCAGTAACTACATCAAGTGTGGTGTTGTCCAAGGGTGGATAAATAGGCCAACAGAACAGAGCAGAAGGCCCAGAGACAGACCCACATAAGTCTAAACATGATTGATAACCAAAAATCAGAACAATAGTGAAGGACTATATTTGTTATAAATGTGCTGGGACCATTGGATAACAATCAGCTAAGTGGGCCAAGCAGCCTTTTGGCTTAGGCTGAAGCAGGATAATAATGTTACCTATTAATAGAGTGTGAAAACTGGCTTCATGTTTTCACAGTGATTAGAGCAATATTGAGATACAGTAAATCATCAGTGAACATATTTGCTCTAGTTGCTATTGCTACTATTCATCTTCCTGTCCCGTGCAGCGTCTTATGGTTACCATGATTCAAGTGCCTCCTGGTGAGGCCGAAACTCCACAAGACACTCTGGTCAGTCCTGGGGTACAGTTTCTTCCAGGTGGCAGAGGCTCAGTCCTGGTCACCCGCTGATCCCTTCTCAGGATGTGCCACACAGTTCTGCCCTACTGCGGGGTGAATGCTGGGATGCCTCTCTCTTTAAAAATTCCAAACAAGGGAACTGGTGTGAGAGGGTGGGTGCCTCCACTCCCTCAGCCCTTATTTCCAGGTGGGGATCACCCCAGAGGAGTAATTCTTGAGATGTGGTCCCCAACACCTTTTTAGGGGAAGGGAGGCCAACATAATCTTCAGGTAATACTTGAAGTATTGAAGTGAGTCTGTGTTTCTCACACTCATGCACTCCTGAGTGAAAGTGGAGTTTTCCAGAGACTGTATGAGGTGAGATGAAGCCGCCAACTGGAAAACTACACCAATGCAGAAGCAGCTGTGAATGTCCAGCTTGCTGCTGGGCCTCTAAGAGGTCTGCAAAATACAAAACCATCTTGCTCTTCTCAATAACATAACTTTTTAAAGAAAACATAGTTATTTTTTCTAAAATTTATTCATGTTTACATGGAATAGGCATACAATTTATGTTCTAAAGGAGTTAATAAGTAAACATTTGTAAAGTTCTGAGTTATAATTACTAATACTGTAAATATTGAAAGATACAACCCTGATCCACAAAAGTTCTTTGAGCTGCTCAATACTATTTAAGACTGAGAATCTCAGGTCTATTTTAAGCTCTGGGCTCTCTCTCTTTCCCCGCACTTTTTCCCTCCCGGGGAGAAGGAAAGAAACTGATGAGTGAGTTTGGAAGAATAACCTGGAGTGAGTGCTCCCTTCACCAGTGGGTGGTGAGTTCCCCAGAAGGACTGCTTTCCTCCAAAGAGAGATGGGCAGGAAGAGGGAGGAGGGATGGGATCCTCTGGAGTAGGTACCATTTAAGGGGCACTTTTGAAAGTCAGTTTTTTAGACATCCAAGCCCCTTTCTCCAGTTCAATTTTAGGAGCAATAGAAGTAATGCATTGTTCTCCATCTGACACTGTCCTCATTCCTTCATTCACTTTCATCAGTAGTTCTCAATTCCAGAGGGAAGGAAGGGGATTACTTACTAAACTGTAATAGTCCATACCTAGCCTTGACATTTTTGTTTTTCTGAGTGAGTGAGAGAATTCAGGAAACTGAGGACTGTCTGTGTTGCCAGGAGCTCATCAGCTGCAAGGATAATAGAGACATTTCCACAAAAAACTAAAGAACCATAAGCCAGATGCTCACCTCCAAGGGAACTGTTGGCCCAGGGTAAAGGCACATAAAATGCCCAAATTGTATCCCCTGCCTGAACATAGCAGCAGCCCAACTCTGTGAGATCAACCTGCCTCTTACTTCCAGGCATCCAAACTTCACGGGCTAAAGTCCTAACCCTGAATGTGACAATATTTTGAGATAGGGCCTTTAAAGAGATAATTAAGGCTAAGGAGCTCATAAGACTGAGGTCCTAATCCTAAAGAATTAAAATCCTCATAAGAATAGAAAGTGTCCCCAGGGATGTGGGTACACAGAAAAAGGCCATGTCATGACACAGGGAGAAGGCGGCCATCTCAAGTCAAAGAGGGAGGCCTCAGGGGAAGCCCACCCTGCTGATACATTGATCTTGAACTTCCAAGCTCCAGGACTCTGAGAAAATAAATATCTGCTGTTTGTAGCCTAATCTATGGCATTTTGTTAGAACAAAACACGCTGACTAAAGACAGGCAGCCCGGATCAGCCCTTCTGTGCTCTAGGGCCAGGGTTTCTGCCATTCACTTATCAAAGGACAACATCAAATTATGTAAATCAAACTCTGTTTCAAATTCTAGTGTGATGTGAAACAAACTAATAGGAGATATGAACATGTCCCTATCAATTTTGTCATTTACACTAGGCAGAAATCAATATGATCCAAGTAACAGCATTTAAAGAATTGCTGTAATCTAAACATCTCAGAATTGCTTTAGAATGTATCACATTGAATATCTAAAATAAGAGAATGTACATTGCTTACCAGTATCACTGGCACATTTACAAACCTGAGCAAGTTTTCGGCAACAGAGAAAACAGTGTGAATTTCACATAACAGTCATAGTATTATACAAGTGACATTTTCCAAGTGAGTAAAAAACTGACAAATCAATTACAAGAACACTGGGAACAATCTCCAAAGACGTGTTCGTCGAATTCTAGTTAGAATATGGTTGGGAAGCCTCAAGAAGGCAGAGACAATGAAAACATGTGGAAACATGCAAGGTGGAAAGGTGGACTAGTGAGCGATGGATAACATCAGATGATGGGGGGTTAATGTCAGACTTGCAGGGCATTTTGCTACTTGCTGGGAATTTGCTAGGGTAGGAGGAAGGTGTGGCCTCTGCCCTACTGGGGCTTCAAGTGCAAATGAGGCAGGAGTACAATAAACTGATAACAACACACAACACAGAATACATAGAAAATAATTATAGACAATTATCTTCACATTAAAAGAAACAAACCTTTTAGAGAAGAGTCAAAAAGGGGTGGAGATTTAAATGGGGTGGTCTGGACAAACATCTTTAAGGAGTGAAGGGTGAAAAAGAGTAAAATGTACAGATAGTGTTGAGGGAGTGCTCTAAGCAGGGAAGGGAGAAAGGGACCTTGCAAGGTTGGGCGCGAGTCTGGTGCAAACAAGGGAGAGAGTGAATCCTGTGTGAGGATGTCATGGGACAAGGTCAAATGGTGCACCTGAGGACAACTCAGGGGGTGGACACCATCCTGAAATCTAAGAGTTACGCTGGCTGGGGTGCAATTGAACAAATGAAGCAGGGTGATGTGCTGCTGTGATGGCTATAGAGCATTGACGGGATGGAGCTGGGGCTGGTCAGGGGCTCTCATTAAGGTTCTGACCATGGTGGGTGCCGGGCAACACCCTGGTCAGGGTGGGGAAGAATGCATGACATTCTGCAGGGTGGGATTCCTGTGAAGAAGCACAGGCGCTAGATTGTGTGATGAGTCTGGGAAAAACACAGAGAGTAGCCTGTGCGTGGAACCTGGAATGAGCAGAGTGAAACAGCTTGGAGAAACCAGGCTGTAGGCCAGACTGCCAGCGTTAGATCTCTCCACAGTGAGCAACGCCAGAAACAACTTGTTATGGCACTCTTACTGAATCGCTTTCCTGGCTTTTGTAGGAAGGGATGGATGGAAACTTGAGGCCATAATGGTGGAGGAACATCAGGATCATGAATCAGTCTCTGCCCAGGGGTCCCCAGGAAGGATGGACTGGGGTGACAGAGGACAGAACTCCGAGCAAGGTGACTGAATAAGGATGAATGACACTTGTCACTCTCAGAAATATGGAGCTTGCAGAAGCCAGGAAGGTTGAACTAGTTTACAGTCCCACCAACAGTGTAAAGATGTTCCTATTTCTCCACATCCTCTCCAGCACCTGTTGTTTCCTGACTTTTTAATGATCACCATTCTAACTGGTGTGAGATGGTATCTCATCGTGGTTTTGATTTGCATTTCTCTGATGGCCAGTGACTATAAACTAGTTCAACCATTGTAGAAGTCAGTGTGGCGATTCCTCAGGGATCTAGAACTAGAAATACCATTTGACCCAGCCATCCCATTACTGGGTATATACCGAAAGGATTGTAAATCATGCTGCTATAAAGACACATGCACACGTATGTTTATTATGACACTATTCACAATAGCAAAGACTTGAAACCAACCCAAATGTCCAACAATGATAGACTGGATTAAGAAAATGTGGCACATATACGCCATGGAATACTATGCAGCCATAAAAAATGATGAGTTCATGTCCTTTGTAGGGACATGGATGAAGCTGGAAACCATCATTCTCAGCAAACTAGTGCAAGGACAAAAAAACCAAACACCGCATGTTCTCACTCATAGGTGGGAATTGAACAATGAGAACACATGGACACAGGAAGGGGAACATCACACTCTGGGGCCTGTTGTGGGGTGGGGTGAAGGGGGAGGGATAGCACTAGGAGATATACCTAATGTTAAATGATGAGTTAATGGGTGCAGCACACCAACATGGCACATGTATACATATGTAACAAACATGCACGTTGTGCACATGTACCCTAAAACTTAAAGTATAATAAAAAAAGAAAAATAAAATAAAATAAAATAAAATAATTAGCTGGAAAAAAAAAAAAAAAGAAGAAGCCAGGAAGGTCTGCTTTGCTCCTGACCTGCCTTTCCAGAGGGTTTCCATGGGAATTGAGAATAATGGGCTATCAACAGAAGCAAAGTAATTTTGTCTTGAATTCAGTCAGAAATCTGGTTACTCTGAAAATACACAAAGGTAATAAATAATCTCAAGAACATTCACCCTGCTCCTTGGAGGATCCAGCATGTTTTCCAGACATGATCCCTTTTACAGCCTTGTGCATAGGCAGTCCCTGCCTTTGTGGAGGAGCTGAGCCCCCTAGAAGAGCAGTTTGTTTCCAGCTGTGAGGCTGAAATCTGCCCTGGGATCGGGGGCCTGAAACGCCTCATTTTATCCATGCCTCCATCTCACTCAACAAAGCCCTCTGAAAAACAGCCTTTAGGGACTCCCTGTGCCTCTTCCTGTAGAGTTACTCAGCCAAGAAGTAGATGACTAGGTGAGGCATGCTGACCACAATGGACAGTAGCAACAGGAGGTCAAAGGCAAGGGTCAGAAACTTTCCTGGCAGGCACACAAGGACAACTAAGGGCAGGACCCAAAGGAAGAAGCTGATGATCACAAAGCAGACAACATGATAGGTCCTGATGGGGGAACACCACTGGGGACAGCACAGACCCCAGATGATCAGGATCAGCTTGGACATGCCCATTACAAAGCAAATAAGTACATGACATGTCATAAAGCCTCATGAAATTGGTCACATGCCAAGCACTTCTCCCAGTACTCACAGACCTGGCTAACTGCATACAAAGAAAGGGCCAGGGCCCACCTCACCATGGCAGAGGTGTGCTCTGGGCGGTGGCAGCACCAGGTGGGACAGAGGGCACAGAGAAAGCTCTCAATACTCATGGCCACCAGGAGACAGAGACCCACTGTGTCGGAGAAATAGGAGACAGGATCCAGAAACACAGCCACCTGCAATGCCGCCTGGTGATACAGCATGAGGATTTTCTCCAGCAGGATCACAGTTACACAGGAGAGGTTGACCATATCAACAGTGGCCAGGTTAAGGATGTAGGTCACATAGGGGCTGCTCCAGACCTGTGAGTAGAGAAGCCAGCAGATCACATCATTGCCTACCAGTCCACAGAGGGCCACCAGCACTGTCAGGGAGAAGACCACCTGCCTGTCCACCAACCACTCACCTCCCGTATGGCTCATGTTCACATGTCCTGAGGTCTCAGTCTCATTGTCCCAATCCAGCTTTCCAGAGAGGGTTGCGAGAAGCTAGGCTATGGTGGGCTACCTTTGCTGCCTGCGCACATCCTGCAAAAACAAAGGCTGGTAACATACCAGGTCTGGAGAGGAGAGTCAGGGTTGCCCTCTGTCCTCAGAGGTTCCTGCTGAGCCTCATGAGATTGGCAGGGATTCTGCAGAGCAGAGTGGAGGAAAGGAGCAAGCTTCTTGTGGGAGACCCATCCCTTCCCTCCCAGATTCTCCATTGCAGGATGCCCTCTCATGCATACCCTTACCCCTCTCTCCACCGCATTCAGTTATCCCTGATGCTTCATGCTGTGCCCAAGGCCCAGTGTGTATCCCGTGCACCCAGATTATCTATAAGGCTGCATAAAAAAATACATTTGTTTACATTAGCCCATAGGGATGGTTCTCCAACTTTCCCACTGGTACAGGCTGTTTTTGTGACATCGTTTTGGTGGGGGCACTGAGTGACTACTTTACCTTGAGGTTCTGAGACTCCTTGAGTCCTGGATGGGGAGGTTGCTGGTCAGTACTCAAGGGAAGGGCTCCCAACCTTGCTCCTGCTCACCTCTTCTCTGTTAGCTCTCAGGCCTCCTCCCTGGACCTTTGCACATGCTGTTCTCCTGCTTGGAAGAGCCTCTGTGCCTCAGTGAGCTCGGTCTCCTCCTTCCAGTCTCTGCCTCAGGGTCACCTTCCAGGTGATCTTCTGCTGATCAGCCTTTAAACATTGCACTCTTGACCTGCTGGCAGTCTATGATATTCACTTACTTGCTTTTGTGGGAATCATGCCCTGGAATGGAAGTTCCATGAGAATTTACTTTGTCTTTAAAATTCTGTTCACTGCCTTTTCTCCAGCCCCTGGAACAGGGTTTGACACTGAGGAGCTACTTGGGGAGGGTGCCTGCAGAGGACTTAAGTTGCTCTGTTACATGTAGGTGAGAGCAGGGGACCCTGCACACCAGAAGCTGCTTCATGGGGTCCCGAGGGAGACATGCACTTGAGCCATGGGCTCTGTCCACTTCAGGAGCAGGCACTCCGCTTCAGGCTGCCAATCACAGGTCTTTGTGTGAAGAATTGTGCAGGGAGGGCAAAGGTACCACTTTGCCTTAGAATTTCCTAGTTTGTATTCCTGAAAATTCCTTGTCCTGAATATCCCGATAGCCCTGGGAAAACCAAGCTGGTTGGTCACCTAACTAAAAATGAAACGGGAGAGGATCAATACCTCTTCTGGGAACCCACAGCTGAGTCAAACCTAGTAACCTGGGAGTTCAGGCCAAGGGTATGAAAGCTGATCTTATGTGGGCAAATCACAGCTATCTTTGATAAGCAGTGGATCCTTTTCTGCCTCAGTATTCCCAGCTATCTAAGGGTTGCTGTTATTAGCTGAATTGTGACCTTCTAAATTCATATGTTAAGGTCCTAACCCCTAATACTTCAGAATGTGACTGTGTCTGCAGACAGAATCTTTGAAGAGGTAATTATGTTAAAATGGGTCTTTAGGTTGGGCCCTAATCCAATAGGACTGGTGTCCTCATGAGATGAGGAGATTAGGATTAGTTAAACACACAGGGACAACCATGTAAGCATGCAGGGAAAAGACAGCCATCTACAAGCCAAGGAGAGAGGTCTCAGAAAGAACCGACAGTGCCGACCCCTTAATCTCAGAATTCCAACCCCCAGGACTGTGACAGAATAGACTTCTATCATTTAAGTCACTCAGTCTGTGGTCTTAGTCATGGGAGTCCAAGCTGATGATCACAGTAGTGAAGAGAACTTTATACATGGAATCATGGGAAGTCTCAGAATGGTGAGACGAACCTGGTCCTACAACCCTGAGCTACTGAAGCTTTGTTTATGGATCACAGAGGCTTCTAAAACAAAGATTGTTCCACAAATTGATGAAAGCCTAAGATATGCCAGGAAATATCTCACACGTGACCCTGTGATCTGCAGTCACATATTGGTGCATCAGTGGGGTTTCAGGAGAGTGCTAGGGACCAGCTCCAAGTGAGCCCAGTGTTTGAATCTTCCCTCCTTGCCAGGATGATGGAGTTCCCCTTCAGTCAGCAGCTCTGTTGAAATGGAAGGGTCTGGCCCCAGTCTCGCCCCTCCCTGTGCCTGTTGCCTAGACTTTCTTATCTGAGGCCAGGAGAGGAAAGCAGATCCAGCTTATATCTAATCTGGTCATAAGACGAGGCTTGGGGCTTAGTAACATTGGTGTCCATGGAAACATCAGGCTGATGTGCGGTTCTGTGCCCAGGCCAGGGTGTCAGAACTCGTGATGGTGACAGAAGAGAAACTGCAAACAGGACTCCATGGCCCACCCCAGGCCACCAGGGCACCAAGCAGGAGCAGCTGGGCTTTGGTCTCCAACAAGGAGAGGAGATTTATAGATAAAATAGTTTCATGGGAAGAAGTGACTTCCCCTCCAGCCAGAAGAAAAGATCCGCTATGGAGGTGGCATGTGGCCTCAGGGGCAGAGTCATGCTTCCCATTCCTGAGCTCATTGAAACCCAGCTCATGCCCAGAGACGACCACTGAGCCCAGTGACTGAGCAGTACATTCTTCATTGTCACCTAGGAGGAGGAGGCAGCCCTCCTGGGGTGGAGAGGCCTCGGCATCTGGTGTGGCCCCAGCACTGGGCATAGAGACATCCTGGTACTTGGAAATGTCATTTGTGGTCTTGGGAATGTCATTTCCAAGTTGGGTCATGAGCCAGGCTCCCCAAGGAGTAGATACAACAGGCTGGATCCTGGGATTCAGGGAGCCAGCGCTGTTGGAAGTGCTCAGTTTGGTGCAGCCAAAATAGCCAAGTAGCCTTTGCATTGGGATTGAAGTATTTGCTCTGATTCTGAGGCGAGAGCCCACCCTCCCCACTTAATTTTTATCTGAGGTGAAATTCACATAACAGAAATTAACCAATTTAGAGTGCACAGTTCTGCCTCACTTTGCCTCTTCACAATATTGCGCAACCCCCAACTCTATCTAGTTCCAAAACATTTTCATGCCCCATAAGGATGCCCTTAGCAGTTACATCCCTTTCTCCCTCCCAGCTCTTGGCAACCACCATCTGCTTTCTGTCTCTGCGCATTCACCCATTCTGGACACGTCCTATTAGTGGAATCAAACCTTCCGTGACATTTTGTTTCTGTTTCTTTCACTCAGCCTCATGTTTTCATGGCTTGTTCATGGTGCAGCATGTGCCAGAACTTCATTTTCTGTGTTAGATGAGAATTAAATACGAATATAGAAGCTGGGAAATTGGAAAATCTGAAAGGTTACACCCAGAAGTCATAGACCACACCTCAGTAACACAGTGGCTCAAATCCTACTTCTAACAGAAAAACACACCCTCTGCCCATCTACACAGCCAGGGCACCTGTGAACCAGGGACCAGAACACAGAAGTAGCTCACCCACTGGGGCTACCTTGGGAACCGCAGGCCCTCCTTTTTCCAGGAAACTGGTTTCTATCCTGTCAATCTTCAAATGCACCTTCCTCAGTAAAAAAAAAATCACAAGGTTTTAAATTTTTTTAAAAAATGAGTCTTTGAGTTAAAATGCTTTGAAAATGAAAAAAAAGGTAGAGACCTTTTTTCTCATACCTGGGAGGACTTGGACGGACTTGGTATCACAGAGGCCAACCTCCTGAGAGATCAAAGTTCTGCCCTCATGTCAGGAAGCTCTCTAAGCATATCTGCTTTGAACTGGGTCTTGACAAGCAGTTATCAAGTTCCCTGTGTCCCTTAGGTCTTCCTGTACCAGGGCCACTTGCATATCAGAGCCCAGGCCTTTAACTGAAGCATCTTTATCTCAACATCTCACGATATCCCCCAATCCTGTCTGACTCTATTACTCTGTCCTTAAGAACTGTCCCCTGAAACAAAGAAGAATCTTTAAGAGAAGTCAGTCTCTCCACTTTAATGCATCTCCCAGACTGAGGTCCAGCCCAGCCCAACCCATCCTAGAAGGCAGAAGAGGAAAGTCAGGTCAGCATTTTCCCAATGAACTCAGGAATTCCAGTAGCTCAAACGTGCTCCTTGGATTTTGTCATGAATTGAATTGCATGTTTTGTAAAGTAAAATTAATGTAAGAACTTTACTTTGCTGTCTTCTCAAAGATCAATTTGCTCTTTCTTGATTTTCTCTAGTGCATGTTTGTTTTTGTTGGAAAATTAGTCATGAATGATCCATAAACATAATGTAAAGAAGTCTTGGGAATGTTTTTGTGCTGTGCCACTTACCAAGCAGGTTCTGACACAACATATTGGCAAATTCTTACTGAAAGCCAGATCAAGCTCACACTCCATGTATCCTCATGCTATTCCCCTCCGTTCACCTACAGCTGTTTGTGAAGGAGCCAGCTGATCATTTCATATAGACTTTTGTTCACATGTGGCTCAACTTGAGAAAAATGAGATGGATGCAAGGCTCCTTTCGTTGGTTTCTCTAGCAATTCATGCATTTCTAGCTTGAAGTTGCTTCTTATCCCTGCAGGAAATAATCTTTTATTATATTCCCTCTTAAAACCTTGTGGTTAAATGTGATTCACATAGTGGGGCAGATGGTTTCTGTATGGTTCTACAGTGACCAGGAAGGAGAGATATATAAGAATGAAATACACTATGATCAAAGGGTGACAAGATGTTAAAATACACCCCTCCTTGTCCTTCGGTGCTGACTGGCTGTTTACCTCACTGCAGAGATAGAATCTGAGAAGACCTCAAGGTCACATAGGGAATGTGACTTTATGGGACAGTACTGATCCTCCCTACAAGGGAGCCATTAAGGGTCTAGAGCAGCTGTTACCTTTGGTCCTATCTCCTCTATATTTCATGTAGTTTTTATATTCAAGAGATTGTGGATCTTGAATTTTTTTATTATATGTACCCAAATTATTTTTTCATTATTATTATTTTTTAAATTATACTTTAAGTTCTGGGATACATGTGCAGAACTTGCAGGTTTGTTACATAGGTATACATGTACCATGGTGGTTTGCTGCACCCATCAACCCATCGTCTACATTAGGTATTTCTCCTAATGCTATCCCTCCCCTAGACCCCCACCCCCAACAGGCCCCAGTGTGTGATATTCCCTGCCCTGTGTCCATGTGTTCTCATTTTTCAATTCCCACCTATGAGTGAGAACATGCCGTGTTTGGTTTTCTGTCCTTGCGATAGTTTGCTGAGAATGATGGTTTCCAGCTTCATCCATGTCCCTGCAAAGGACATGAACTCGTCCTTTTTATGGCTGCATAGTATTTCATGGTGTATATGTGCCACATTTTCTTAATCCAGTCTATCATTGATGGACATTTGGGTTGGTTCCAAGTCTTTGCTATTGTGAATAGTGCCGCAATAAACATACGTGTGCATGTGTCTTCATAGTAGCATGATTTATAATCCTTCGGGTATATACCCAGTAATGGGATCACTGGGTCAAATGGTATTTCTAGTTCTAGATCCTTAAGGAATCACCACAGTCTTCCACAATGGTTGAACTAATTTACACTCCCACCAACAGTGTAAAAGCCTTCCTGTTTCTCCACATCCTCTTCAGCATCTGTTGTTTCCTGACTTTTTAATGACTACCATTTTAACTGGCATGAGATGGTATCTCATTGTGGTTTTGATTTGCATTTCTCTAATGACCAGTGATGATAAGCCCTTTTCATATGTTTGTTTGCCACATAAATGTCTTCTTTTAAGAAGTGTCTGTTCATATCCTTCACCCACTTTTTGATGGGGTTGTTTGTTTTTTTCTTGTAAATTTGTTTAAGTTCTTTGTAGATTCTGGATATTAGCCCATTGTTAGATGGATAAATTGCAAAAATTTTCTCCCATTCTGTAGGTTGCCTGTTCACTCTGATGATAGTTTCTTTTGCTGTGCAGAAGCTCTTTAGTTTAATTTAATTAATTTGTCAATTTTGTCAAATTTTGTCAATTTTAATTAGTGTAATTTGTCAACTGAACTAAAATTTGTCAATTTTAATTAGTTTAATTTGTCAATTTTGGCTTTTGTTTCCATTGCTTTTTGTGTTTTAGTGATGAAATCTTTGCCCATGCCTATGTTCTGAATGATATTGCCTAGTTCTAGGGTTTTTATGGTTTTAGGTCTCATGTTTAAATCTTTAATCCATCTTGAGTTAATTTTTGTATAAGCTGTATAAAAGGGGTCCAGTTTCTGTTTTCTGCATATGGCTAACCATTTTCGCCAACACTATTTATTAAATAGGGAATCCTTTCCCCATTGCTTTTTTCTGTCAGGTTTTTCAAAGATCAGATGCTTGTAGATGTGTGGTGCTATTTCTGAGGTCTCTGTTCTGTTTCATTGGTCTATATATCTGTTTTGGTACCAGTACCATGCTGTTTTGGTTACTGTAGCCTTGTAGTATATTTTGAAGTCAGGTATCGTGATGCCTCCAGCTTTGTTCCTTTTGCTTAGAATTGTCTTGGCTACACAGGCTCTTTCTTGGCTCCATATGAAATTTAAAGTAGTTTTTGCTAATTCTGTGAAGAGAGTCAATGGTAGCTTGATGGGGATAGCATTAAATCTATCAATTACTTTGGGCAGTATGGCTTTTTTCACGATATTGATTCTTCCTATCCACAAGCATGGAATGTTTTCCCATTTGTTTGTGTCCTCTTTTGTTTCCTTGAGAAGCAGTTTGTTGTTCTCCTTGAAGAGGTCCTTCACATCCCTTGTATGTTTTTTTTTAAGAAACAGAATCTCACTTTGTTGCCCAGACTGGCATGGAGTGAAATGATCTCGACTCACTGTCTCAAATTCTTGGTTTCAAGAGCATCCTCTGTTCCCACTCTCTCATGATACCTAATACTGGTGATTATCAGGCTCAAGTCCTGCCTATAGTCATGTATCTGAAACACAATTGGGATTCTATCCAGGGACTCTTGTCCACAGGACACCCCTAATAAGATTGGCCTCCCCCATATAGTGTATCTCTTATGCTTTTCTACCTTTGAGAACCAGCACTATTTGCTTCTATCACAGTAAAAGCCACACTCAGATAATTTTATAAACATAAATCTAGGCCCTGGTTTAACAACAATGGGCATCAATGTATGAGGCAAGCTTATCTAGTACTAGGATTCCAGTTTGCTGTGTAGCATTCCCATAGAAGGCTGTCTTTGCCTTTTCATTCAAGGATAAGAAAATATTTCCAGTTAGAAATGTTTTTGGCTGCCAAATAGAGAAGCTCAATTAAACTAATTTTAGCAGTCAGTGATGTATAATATTGAAGCACAAGACACCTGTAGATAGGGCTGCTGCAAGATGTTCAAGTCAGTGGCACAATGTCTTGAAAAAATTAGAATTATCCACTTTTACTTCTGGCATCTTCAGAATATTGTCCTCATTCCTCACTGGGCATGTTTTCCGAATGCTTAGGATATGACTTCATACTCAGAATATGATATAAAAAATGCGAGAAAAAAGAACTTCCTTTCCTTCCATCTCTTTTTATATCTGTGAAAACTCTTCTTAGAGTCATACCACATAGAATGTCCTGCGATATCTCATTGGAATGCCCTCACCATAACCAACACTTAGGCCTTTTTCACCTACCCCCAAATTATATACACCTCCCTCCCTTGTCCAAGTTAAAATTAAAATATTTGCATCTATTTGAAATGCATTCATTATTTTGTCAAGAACTGTATGTACCTAGTATCATCTTGTTACTGCCTCTAGCTCCATTCTGGCACCCACGTGACAGGCATTTAATTCCATTCATTCAGTGAGTGTCCTTTCCAGCTAGACATTCTTGGGTAAAAGAACAGACAGAATCACACTTGTTGTCAGGAAAGTAAGTTCCATCACTCTCAAGCTCACAGTTCTCTGTTCTTCTCATTGGAAGGATTCACCTAATCTATTTAGTGAATTGTCCATAGACACTGGAACTTCCCTCTGGGAGATTTTCCTTATTTGGTTTATTCCGTGGCCACACCTGGGTGTTTGAGGTGAAACACCTTTCTAATGTTTGTTCATATTTCACAATCCCATTTCTTTTGGCAAAAGGTCAGGGTTCAGGTTTGGACCTTTGGGTCTGAACATATGATGTTATTGGCCATGTTATTTTCACTTATTAGTTTGATTTTATTTGTTTTATTTTTTCCTTTTATTTTAAGAGGTGGGGAGTAGTAATTTCATTAAAAACTTTTGTCTTACAAATTCCCTGGAAACAATCTCATGAAAATATTTATCAATGTAATTTGTGTGTGTGTGTGTGCGTGTGAGAAGATTCCTGTTCCTAGCTATGGGCACCAGTTCCTGCTAAGTCCTACTTCATGGCTTTGCCTTGGAGAAGTACATAACAGCTACAGGTGTGAAAGTGCCCAGTCACCCAATCCCTCCCAGATGCATCTCTGCAGTAGGGACAGTGGGATTTTCTGCCTTGGGAGCAGGTAAAACCAGTATTGTTGCAATAAACACCCTGTCACGGATATCACTTGGTAACACTATTTTGTCTCTGTAAAATGGAGCAATAAAACTTTAAACGTTGATTATAAGTGTATGTGTGTTTATAATTTTAAGGTACAGTACTCAATTTTTCCCCAACAAAAGCAATAACTTAAACTCACCACTTTGGTTGCAGAAGACATTAAATCCTCCATATTCTTCTGTGTGTCCAGCCATTAAAGCTTATTAATAACAGGGGTAGAAAATCATATCTCATTATGCAGTGCTCCTGATGACTAACAAAGTTGAATAATTTAACCGTTTAACAAAAAAGATTAAAGTGGGCTTATACTTCACACTATCCTCCAGTAAAAAAAAATCAAATTGATCAAATATTTACATGTTTACAAATGAAATAATTTAATAGTATAAGACAGCATAGATTCATTTTATATTATCTCATGTAGGTAAGACTTCTTTAATCATAACTCAATACATAAGCCATAAAAGACTGACAAATTCAAATTTATAAAAACGGTGTGCTTGACAATAACATGTTTTTAAAATCATAACCGAAGTAAGTGACCAATGAAAATGTTGGAAATTGTATCTGCAGCTCAGACAACTGAAAAAGGACTAATCTGCTTATAGATGGAGAGCTAACAGAAGTGGAGAGACAAAGACCTGTCCACGAGAAGTCTCATGCCCCTTCCTTCACTCTGACACCTCCTTAACATGCTCCTGAAATGTCAGCATCATGAGACATGAGCTACACAATGATGCAGTATGGGAATTAAGAGGTAACCATATATTTTAATATCAGACTTGAATGAATCTTCTTTGTTTTGAGTAACATGTACACATAATTGAATAAGCACATATAGAAATCATTAAAAAAAGTTATTTGACAAATTACACCTTAAAAGGAGACTATACATTATTTTAAACACCATGGTGGACAAAACTGACCATGTCTTCAGCCACAGAGTAAATCTGAAAGAAATACAAATAATAATATTAATAATAACATTTTGTTGGTTATATTATTTGACCACAATAAAATAATATATACAATAACTAGAATTTAAAGCATATATATATATAAAGCAATATTATAGAATGGCAATTCTAGTCCTTGAAGGATTGTCTAAAATCACAGATATAAAATTAATAAGGCTTAAATAAAGGGTATGTACTTAAAGGGAATGCAATTTTTATTCAAATTACAAAGAGGTATTATTAAAACAACTTATTATGTACAAAGCACTGGGACATTAAACTGAATCATGAAGTAATGACTTCAACCTCACAAAACTTCTCGTCTTCTAGGGGAAGCTTAAAATAAGACCAAAATGGTGGAACCATTACAAATTACAATAATGTTGTAAGAAATAAAAGATCAATAAGACCAGCCAGAGAATGTGATCATAGAAATGCTCTTAAAGTTGACCTTTTTAACTAGAGATAAAACATGGAAAAGGCAAAAACAAGGAAAATTGTGAGTGACATAATTCCTCACAGAGGAAAGAAAATTTGCAAAAAGGATGTGTTCCATTTAACAAAAGAAACCCAATATGAGAGTTTTGTAAGCAATGTAAGCAAGATGAAGAATTAAATGGTATTAAGTTGGAGAGAGGATGAGGTAAATTTGCTTTCTTCAAAGTAAAAGGTTTGGGTGTAAATTCTAACCTAGTGAGGAGGGATTATATTATCCAACGTAATGTTTTTGTACATTTATTCAACACACTGCAACATATTCATCATCCTTACTAAATAATTGTTACACATGTTGTAAATAAAATCCAAGGAGTCCTGTATATTCATAAGGTTAATTAATCCTCACACCAACCATGCATATTAAATACCAACTTTATCCTCCTCTTGCATAAGATGAAACAGAGTTACAGAGAGTTATTTGCCCACAATAACATGCTTTGAATGGGAGAGCCAAAGTTTGGACAAAGGCAATCTGGGTCCAAAACCCTGACTCTTACTCTTATGTGATGATGCCTCTTGGTAATTCCGACAAGCTCAAGCTCTATCTAAGGAGGAGATAGACAAAGGGAGGAAAATCTGTGGCTGGATTTGGAGGATGTTCCAGGATAATGATTGAGAATAATGCATGGCCTTTTGTATGGTCTTTATTTGGGATTCCACAGGTACCAGGAAAGTCTCACTGGGTCCCATTCCCCTCATCGTTGGAACTGGAGCACATTCAAACTGGGCTTACTGCCTAGGAAGGAAGTTAATGTCTCTTCCAACCACAAACAGCAAGGGGTTGTTTTGAAAGTCCATGAAAGCTGAACTTGATTAGAATAAAGCATTGATTTGATGCAGCAGCCTTATGATGCAGAACAGGCTGGGTTACTATGTGTACAATTCCCCAGCTCAGATGTGGGAAATTATGTTTCCACATCGACCCTGTGCTCCCTGGGAAGAAGGTTCTCCACATGCTGAGTAGAGTGTGGTTGCTCCATTGGGTCGATGCCAGCTGCCTTTTTGTTCCTCCCCACCTCTGGCTTATCTGCTAACGCCCGTTGGAGAATCACTCTGAGAGATTCCTTCAGCCTTTTCTTTCTGAGGCTCCCCACAAAGAAATAAATGATAGGGTTGGCGCTGCTGTTTATAATGAGGAACAAGGAAATTAAATAGGAGGTGGTGACAAACATTTTGAAATCTGTTATGAGGGGTGCCACGCTCAGGGGTAGGGCCCAGAGTAGGAACATGGGGGCCGAGATCTGCACCACCGCATAGACCCTGGTGGCCTTTTGCTGCTGGGAGCAGCACAGGAATCTAATGAGTAGAGTCAGACTCGACACACACATCACAAGTGAAAGGATAGCATGGAAGAGCCCAGAAAGCTTTAGAAATATGACACATGCCTTTACATGTTTCCAGTAAGTTAGGAAAAGTGATTTTACTATGTTGATGCAAAAAGGCAGGCCCCAGATGAGGGTGCAGACAACATTAGATGTGTATTTTGGGCGGTGGCATCTGTACCAGATGGGGAAGAGGACACACACACACCGCTCTGTGCTGATGGCCACCAGGAGACAGAGACACACCTCAAAGGAGAAGGGAGACAATATGGCCAGGAAATCAGGGATAAAAAACACGACTCCATGATAAGTTAGCAGAGTCACCTGTAAGAACCCCACTGCCGAGCAGCAAAGATAGATCACGTCAGCAGCGACCAGGTGGAGGATGTATACCATGTAGGGATTCGTGGCCCCACAGCAAAGCAGCCAGAAGACAGTGCCATTCAATAAGACCCCACAGAGGGAGACCAGCACAGCCTTGGGGGCAATGATATTCAAGGGCAGGGCCTGCTGTCCCACTGCCATGCTCATCTGCATATGTATGGTTTCATTCGTCTCATTTTGAAGAAAGACGCCACAGAGCTGAGATACCAGGTTTGGGTTCTGTGCCTCCTGGTCACCACTGTGGAGACAAAGGCTACATGAGAGAGATATCTGTGACTCAGCAAACACTGTCCATCCAGCCCTCTGGCTGAACCAGCAAATTTTCCCCCAGACCATGGGGTGCTGGGACCTGAGTGGGCCACAACATCACAGTCAGGAGCAGTGGTCCATCTAGTGGTGTCCTCTGGCCTCAGACCCCTTGCCTCTACATTTTCCTAGGCTGGAATAGAACACCCATTGTTGGGTGTGCTTTTTAGGAACAGCTGAACATTAACTACATATCAGAGTGGATGGGAGTATC
This sequence comes from Homo sapiens, assembly GCF_000001405.40. Lineage (NCBI taxonomy): Eukaryota > Metazoa > Chordata > Mammalia > Primates > Hominidae > Homo > Homo sapiens. Next base: position 753,461 of record NT_167247.2, read on the forward strand.
TGCTCTGCAAATAGCTCTCCATGAATTTGTGATCTGTTCTCCCTCCCCTAACACATCTCCTGTTGTACAGGATGCCCCAGGCCTACCCACATAGACCCAATATCTTGTTGTTGGGCACTAATGAGGCACTAAACATTGGGAATGGAGATTTGTGTCTAGTCCAGGTTCTACTCATGAGACACTAGTGTCTCATCTCTTTTTTTTTTTTTTTTTTGAGTTGGAGTCTCACTCTGTCACCCAGGCTGGAGTGCAGTGGCGCGATCTCAGCTCACTGGAACCTCCACCTTCCAGGTTCAAGCGATTCTCCTGCCTCGGCCTCCTGACTAGCTGGAACTACAGGCACCCACCACCATGCCCGGCTAATTTTTTTGTATTTTTAGTAGAGATGGGGTTTCACCATATTGGCCAGGCTGGTCTCAAACTCCTGACCTTGTGATCCACCTGCCTTGACCTCCCAAAGTGCTGGGATTACAAGCGTGAGCCACGGCACCTGGCCATGTCTCATCTCTTTCAAACCCAGTCCTGGGCATCCTTGGGTAGCCATACAGGATGCAGCAGTGCCACAGTATGGCATTTCCCTGGGCTCAGACAGGTACAAGGGAGCACTGAGATTTCCAAGGCAGGCATTTCACAGCAGTTGGCACCAAAGAAGTCCTTTCTATGGCTGGCAGGACTTGACCTGGAAAATAAGGAAATCTGCGTTTCTCCAGGGGCGTGAGTCTCAGGCAGTGTCTGTGTGGGCATCATCGACTGCTATGCTCCAAATGTCAGCTGAGGAGAAGGAAATGAACAGACTTAGGGTGCAACAAATACAAAAGAGGCCTAAGAATATTAATATAAATATTAATATAGAGAATAGTATTTTAATGCTATGTAAATATATTAATATAGAGAGACTAGCATATTAATACTATGTAAATATTTATATATTAATAAATTATATTAATATAACATTGCTATATTAACATGTTATTAATATTGATGTTAATATATTCACATTATATATTTATGTTAATATATTAATTATATTAATATAACATATTCTCAATTATGCTATCAAGGATATTGATAATTAATATTGACATTAGTTTATTAATATTTATGTATTTATTTATTGCTGTTGTCCCAGGTTTATTGAAAATAAAATCCAGTGACTGCTGTATATTACAGCATTGGAGAAAGAGTCAAACAGCTCCACGAGGCATTTTGAAATTCATCCCAACTGTAGGCCGAGTGACCTGCAGGTTGGACAGGCTGCCAAAGTCCAAAAGCTTCAGCATTTCCTTAGTGTCAGGATCTACTTCGATGATCTCCTGATCCAGGGCTGAGACCTTGGGGACATAATTGTCCCTCCTTTCTTTCTCCTCCTCCTGTAGCTTGATGGAGATACCTCTCACTGGACCTCTCTGAATCTGGTTCGTCAGATGCGTGACGCAGCCTGCTCTCCTGTTGTGGAGCTTCTTGCTGAGGATAATGGGGATCTCCTCACACACACTTGTTTGTGTGGAAGTCATTGCCCAGGCACATGTAGTACTTTTCTACGATGACCTAGGCCACCTTCGTCACAGTCTTGATGCCAACACGACCCATGTTGGTGGGTCTTTGGTCATTAATATTAATTGATATTAACATTATTCAGTTTATTAATAATGTATCATTAATAATATTTATACAATATTAGTAAAATAGTTTATCAGTACATTTTAATGTTGATATGCTTTCAATATTAAGATATTAATGTATTATTGATTACATGTGAATATATTAGCATATTAACAGTATATATTAATATATTTGGTATACTATATTAATATTATTTATATGATATGAATATGCTATTAGTGGCATATTAATAACAATATATTAATAATATAATGTGATTAATAGTTGTATGTGATTATTAATTATTTATGATTATATTATGATTAACAAGTAGTACTATTATATCTTGTTTCTAATGAATAATTATTATTAATATTCAAAAAACTAATAATAATTGTTATTTTTATAGAATCTGGAATTGTGGAGCAGACTTCGCAAGGCTTCTCTGACCTCTGCCTCCCGCTCTGGGATCTGTGAAACACACTGGGCTCTTCTTCTAGACCTCCCTTTTTGAAGCTCCTCCAAAGACCGTTTCATCATCTCTACTCAACAGTCTCCTCAGGAAATTGCCTCTTCAGTAGGCAAATGTCACTTGCCACAAACTTATCTTTGGCATGAGGATAAGACAGTGCTAAGGTAGAACTGTCTGTACCTTCTTTGGGTTTACATTGTGATAACTGCAAGGAGAAAAATAAATTGGGCTGAGTGGATAGAAAATGATAAGGGTAATGGATGTTTCCTAGTGGGATAAATGAGGGGAGTTTCTTAGTAGGACATGGAGATCTGAATGACCTACTGGAGCAACCAGGTGACAGCCAGAAGGAAAGAGCCACAGGCAGGCTCAGCAAGTTCACCACCCTGGGGCAAGTGGCTTCATCTGCTTTGTTAATCTTTGATGCTCCTGTCCAGAGAGGGCCTCTTAAGCAACTTGAGTGCAATAACTATTTTTCTATTATTGCGTTAATAAACCCCAAGAAGGTCCCTGCAACTCTAGAGAGTTAAAGACTTATAAGCCATTTTCAAGATTGGAGAATATTCTTATCTCAGCCATCAGTGGACAGAAAGGGGCAGCCAGGCCCCTTCAGAGCAGCACTGAGCTACTGTCCCTGGAGTGGTGGGGCCTGACCACAGCTTCCTCTTTCAACCATGGAATCCTTATCACTATTTTGCAAACACCAAAGATGTAGCCTCAGATGTGAATCTACTCACATGCTGGAAGTTTGTCCATGATGTTGAGAGCTCGTTTAAGTGGAAGATCCTGGATGAGTGCAGATACAGACTGTGAGCAGGAGAGCTCTGCTCTGTCTCTTTTCAAGACTCTGAGACAGAGGCCAAGAGCCTAGCATGCAAAACACCTCAGACAATGCATCCAGGGTAGGGGAGAACTGATATGAACCATTCACCCTTAGCCAAAAACCTGCTCACCTTGGGCAGGTGTGGTACCTCAAGGCTGACCACAGACTAGAGGAGATCTCATGTGTCTTCCTTAGAGAGATTCCTGTCCACCTTCCTGTCTCAGGAAGATGGATGGAATCATTTCATTGGAGGATGCCAACATCCCCTGTCCAGGGCCCACTGCCTGAGCCTTGGACATTTCGGCTGAGCTGGCTAGGCCTCTGAGAATCAGCCCTGATGACCCTTGATGCCCCACTATGGAGTCCAGAACACTGAAGAACTTAGGATGCTTGAGAGGTGAAACGCTCTGGGCCCAAAGAGATCAGACCATCCTTTCCTGAGATCCTGAACACTGATAATGACTTCTCATACTTTAAGACAGCTTCACAGATGAAGTTGGCAGAGAAGCTGAGCTCACTAAAGCAGGATGTATCTGTAACAAGAAAAAAATCCTTAAATGAGTTGCTATAGCTGATCCATGGGAATGCCCAAAAAGATGTTACAGATTTCACTAGGGCTTAATCTTAGTCCTGCAGCACCAAGTACACACTCTTCCTCCTACTAACCTGGGAAGAGCCAGTTCAGGGGAGAACGGGAGGGAATAACCCAAATGTCCATTAACAGAGAGTGCCAACAGCTTCCAAAATGTGTCTCCAGTCAAGGACAGGCCAAGATGACTCATCAAAGAAATGCAAATCAAAACCACAACTAGATAGCACCTTACGCCTGTTAGGATGGCCATTCTGGAAAAACAAAAGATAACAAGTGCTAATGAGGATGTGGAGAAAGGGATCCCTCACACACTGTTGGTGAAAATGCAAAATGGCGCAGCTGCTGTGAAAAGCAGTATGGAAATTCCTCAAAAAATTAACAGTAGAACTGCACCGTATGGTCCAGAAATCCCACTTCTGAGTATTTGTCCAAAAGAATTGAAATCAGGTTTTCAAAGAAATATTAGCACTCTTATGTTTGCTGCAATACTATTCACAATAGCCAAAATGTGGAAACAACCTAAAAATCCATCAAAAAATGAATGGATAAAGAAAATGTGATATAAACATAAGATAGAATAGTATTCAGCCTTTAAAAAGGAAGAAATTTGGCCAGGTGTGGTGGCTCACGCCTATAATCCCAGCACTTTGGGAGGCCAAGGTGAATGGATCACGAGGTCAGGAGTTCAAGAGCAACTTGACCAACATGGTGAAACCCCGTCTCTACTAAAAATACAAAAATTAGCTGGGCATGGTGGCAGGTGCCTGTAATCCCAGCTACTTGGGAGGCTGAAGCAGAGAATTGCATGAACCTGGGAAGCGGAGGTTGTAGTGAGCCGAGATTACACCACTGCACTCCAGCCTGGGCAGGGGAGGGAGACTCCATCTCAAAAAAAAAATGGAAGAAATTCTGTCATATATGACAACATAGTTGAACCTGCAGATCATTATGGTAAGTGAGATTAGCCAGTCATAGAAGAATAAATCCTGCATGCACTTAAATAGGGTATCTAAAATAGTCAAATTCATAGAAACAAAGAGTGGGATGGTTGTTCCCTGGGCTGTAGGACAGGAAGTAGGGAGCTAGTAGTCAGTGGGCATAAAGTTTCAGTTTAACAAAATAGATAAGCACTAGAGCTCTACTGCACAAAAGTAGTAGTTGCCTATAGTTAACAACAGTGTACTGGAATGTTTTTGCAACTGAAGCTGCTTCATCTTTTTGAGCCTCTGGTATTTCCTCTGCAAAATTAGAATACTGATAATACCTACTTGTGGGTTTGAAAATTAAATGGGTGGATAGCATGTAAGTGCATGGAACAGTGATGAGCATATAGTGAGAGATGAATGAATAAATACTGTCCTGTTGGGACAGATGAATGTCAATAAGCAAATGCAGTAAATTGGATCATTTCAGACGGTGCTTACTACTCTGAAGGAAAAAAAAAAGTGGCAGTGGGATGGACTATCTTAAGGAAAACGGGAAAGACAGTGAGCCACTTAGGTTGGTCCTTTCTGAGCTGACAATATTTTCTGGCTTTTTCAGGAAGCCAATCCTGGGAATATCTAGAGGAATAGTGCTGCAGGTAGTGGGAACAGGAAGTACAAAGGCGCATAGGAAGAACAGTCGTATGGTTGAAGAAAAGAAAGAAGGCCAGTGTGGCTGAAGTTTAGGGAGGGAAAGAGAGAGTGAGAGAAATAAGCTTTTAGAGAGGTAGGCAGGTGTGGAATCATATAGGCCAAGATAAGAAGTTTGAATTTTAAGTGCAATGTCCAGGTGTTGGAAAGTTTTAAGCTCAGATAATAATATTATCTGGATTTATTTATTTCTTTAGAGACAAGGTCTCACTCTCTCACCCCCAGGCTGGAGTGCAGTGATGCAATCACTGCTGACTGCAGCTTCCACCTCTCCAGCCCAATCGATGCCTCCACCTCAGCCTCCTGAGTGGCTGGGACCACAGGCGTGTGCTGCCACATCTGGCTAGGTTTCTTTTTTAATTTTCTAATTTTTTTCTTTTTGTAGAGATGGGAGTCTCCCTTTGTTGCCCTGTGCTGGTCTCAAATTCCTGAGCTCAAGAGATCCCCTCCACCCCGACCCCACAAATTGCTGGGATTACAGGGATGAGTTGCCATGCCCAGCCAAGGATTTGCATTTTAAAGATCACTACTGTGCACTTAAAATTATTAGGATAATAGATCTCGTGTCAAGAATTCTTACCAAAATGAAGCAAAATTCGCACACAAAAAAAGAATAAGCAAGGATGGATTCCAGTCCCCAGTCCTCAAATGAAGGGTTGCACTGTCCTGATAATGTTCTTTCCCTTGGGGAAAACACATCTAAAATCCTTGCAAAAACTCCTCCGAATTAGAGAGATGAGAAAGAGAGTCAGATGAAGAGAGAACACAGTTCTCATCTTACCTGTGACATTTTTCCTGGGGGCAGGGGTAAGTCAGGGGGCAGTGAGGCTGACACAGACACAGAAGGACAGGTGACACCTCTGTGGACCAATGGTCTGGAATTGTCTTCCTGTCCTCTGAATATGAGCTCTCTCTTGGGCTTCCAGAAGTTACTGGACCTTGAGCAACTTTGATCAAGATTCCCATGTGCTCCTTGTTTTTCTTCTGGCCAATGAGTGGCTTCTATCTGTGGGGACAGATAGCTGAGCATCCCGAGGTTTATCACATGGTCAGCTGCTCCACTGTGGCTTTATGTGCCCAGGCAGGTCCTTCCTGTCTCCATAGGGCTCCTTTCTCTTACTCTGGTCAGAGCTCCGCATAGCCCTGGCAGCCCCTGACTCCCTCATCCTAGGGACAGGGAATAGGGCCTTGCAAGGAGTAGACCCAGTTCCAAGTTGGATATGTTGAGTCAGTTTCTAGTGAGCTGAACTTCATGGCATTGCTCTTGATAAACACAAGATCAAGATCAAATTCAGAGAACCCCTCAGGCAAAAGCTTTCACCATGCTTCACTCCCAAAGAAAGCACCCCTTGAGGGGTGTTCCAATACAATTTGTGCAGAGAGAAGCCAGTAATGTGGCCCTTTCTTCACCTCAGTAAGAAAAGCTTGGCCCTAGCCCTCACAGTTTGAAAAGAGTGTCCTCCTATTACAGGCATGGGTATGTATTGGGACTTCTGTGTCCACATTTCACCTGCATTCTCAACTCTCAGGGACCACAGCAGGTCTGAGAGATTCTGCCTGTCTTTCTGACACACATCGGGTCAACCCTGTGCACTGACTGATGTCTTAGGACTCAGATTCGGGGTTGCCATGAGCTCACTGTCATTTTACCTTCTCAGTACTTTTCCCTTGCTCTGATCTCACCTGCCACATTCACTTTAAGAATGCACATTTCTAGATTATTGATTTTCCAACTGAGTTGTCCCGAGGGCTGATGTTCTGTAAACAGTTATTTCATTTTCTCTGTTCAAAGATGGTTTGTACCCACCATCTTCATGTAACAGTTTCTTGGTCACTTACCATGTGAATATGCAGTCTCTGGGCATGGAGTCCCCTGGACTCTCAATATCTTGTGTCCTGTTTTGCCACCTGATCCTAGTTAGGACAGGCACTGAAAATCAACACCAATGACGTATTGTTACCCTGAGAGAAAATGTCTTGCTTAAGTGTAGAATAACATTTTCTGTTGTCTCTTGTCACCCCTCCTAGCCTTTTCCCCACAATCCCACAGTCATGTTGATGCATGCTGAAGGGTGTTATGCCCCACTCTGTTCCTCCCACACTGACCGGCTTTTCTCACCCATCAGCTCTGAAGTACAAGAGGCTCCTGGACTTCAAGGTGCTCTGCAAGCTCCTCACCTGTATCTGCCTCCCAGTTTCCACAGTGCCCTTTCATGGCCTTTCTCCTGGACATACGAAGTGTGCTTCTCAGAGGAGTTTTACTTAGTGGAATTATCTGTCTCTTAAAGTGTAATCTGTATCTTTTGAATGAAAAAAAAAAAGACCTACATTTGTTCTCTCTGGTATGCAGACACCAGACTCTTTTGTGACCCCTGAAATCAGTTTCTCTGTTTCTGATGAACTCTGGAGGTTTTGTCACTGCTGCTGCACTGCTTTACTTGATTCCAGGAATTCGTCCTTTGTCCTCTGTGGAAGTTTTAGTTCAGGTCTCATTTTTTTCCCTTAAGCACAAGACCCCTCCCTTAATGTAACACCACACGTTCTCCAGCGCAGGCCATCTGTTCTATTGAAGCGATTCCAACAGCTTCTGCAATTAACTTGTCAAGAGAAGGAAGAAAAGAAAGAAATGAAATGGTCAGGTATCCCTTGAAGATTCTGATGGTCACACAGAGGGAAAGAGCCTTGTGTGTGGGACCTTGAGTGTCAGGCCACCTCTTCTCCAAGATGGGCAGGGTTTGGTCCATCTTCCCAAATGGAGCTAAAGATCCATGCTGGAAATTTCCCTGCTCTAGAACAGACAGCTTGGAGTGATGAGTCATGATGAAGACCTTTCTATTGATTCTTCATTGCTGGGGTTTCCAACCTACAGGGATGAGGACTGATGCATCTGTGAATGAGCATGCCATTCCCTGGCAGACACCTGAGTTCATTGCTTGCTAAGAACTTGGTTCTACATCACTTCTTCTGAAATAGAAGGGCCTGCTGGCTTGTCAGCAAATAAGCAAAGTTTGGCTTGCTGTTTGGAGAAGCCTAATTTTATCAGTGTCAGCTCAACATTTAAATTTGAAAAAGGAAATTCAGCATAAGCAAGGTTCACATTCAGGTGTATGCTTAAATTCTAGGTATTCATCTCATTCATGAACTCAATCAGTAGCCAGAGTTTCCAGGATGCCTAGGGATTGCCCCCAAGGATCAGTGCTGGTTTGCAGCTACAATACCAGAGTTTGACTCTGATGCCACACTCTGAGGGCAGTCCTCACCTATTGTGATAAAACCCTTCAGGTCCTGTGGCGTAGCCATGGCCCATCCTGGACATGTTTAACTTCACCCACCAGGCACCCATCTCACTAAGAAGACTTTGATGTTCATGAGAAATGAATTTCTGCTGCCTACAGGAAGGAGATAGGACTTCTCTGAACCGTTGAGGCTCCTGCTACCTCCAGAGCAGGCAACAAAGATTAGACCCTGCCAGGAGGGAAGCACACCAGATAAGGATGGAGAATTATCTTGACAAGGGGCATGAAAAAAATTACTGGATGACAAAAAAAATACATCACCAAAGATCAATAAAACATTTGTAGAACACCCCACGGAGATGTGATCTGCCCACTGTACAGATCAGAAGAGCTTCCTTTCTTCTTCTGCGTCAGAAAATATCTGCTTGCTGGTCAATGTCCAGAGGATGATGTGAAGATGGGAAAGGACATTTTCCCTGGACACCATTTCTGAAGTTACATCTCTGTGTGTGCTTTCATTGGTGATGCCATTTCTCTTTGCTTTCTCTTCTTTTCTTGGGAAGACTTCTCTGTCTACATTTGTATATTTATTTGGCTGACTTTCCCTGAATTTGCTGCCTGACTGAGTAATTTATTTCAAAATAACTACATGGCAAGCTGTTTTATGCTGTTTAACTAAATCCATTGATTGAAGCATTTTCTGACACCTGGCCGTCCACATGGAGATTTCTCTTTTCCAGTCTTCCTAGTCTGGAAAAGACGTCACCATCCACAGGAAGTGTTTGTCATTGTACCCAATCTGGTCTCAGTAGCACCATTTACATACCAATAGTGTAAATCTCTGTGTTTCTTATAGACACATGATATGGTTTGGATTTGTGTCCCCGCCCAAATCTCATATCGAATTGGAGAAGCCTGGTGGGAGGTAACTGGATCATGGAGGCAGATTTCCTCCTTGCTGTTCTCATGACAGTGAGTGAGTTCTCATGAGATCTGATGGTTGAAAATTGTGTGACCTTCCCCCTTCACTCTCTCTCTTTCTCCTGCCACCATGTGAAGAAGGTGCTTGCTTCCCCTTGGTGTTCTGCCATAAATGTAAGTTTCCTGAGGCCTCCCAGTTATTCTTCCTGTTAAACCTGTGGAACTATAAGTCAGTTAAACCTCTTTTCTTCATAAATTAGCCAGTTTCAGGTAGTTCTTTATAGCAGTGTGGTAATGGACATAATGGACTAACACTATCTTGTTCTCTGGTATCTTTATTAAAGCATTTTCAGTGTCTGCTCATGCTCTCTTCTTTAACAATAATGTGCTTTCTGTGTTTATTCCTGTGACATGCAGCAGCCAGCACTGCCAGCCCCCATGGCTCTGCATGTCCCCACTGAGGTCCTGTTCCAGTGTCTGCAAGTCCCTCCTGATATTAACATATAACCACTGGCAATTATCTCAACATTTCTATTTTCTAAATAATTTTCATTTTAAAATCCTCCAGTACCAAAAGTTGTTTAAGACAAAAACAAATAGTTAATTTCCAGTTAGCAAAGCTTTCTCTTTGTATTAAGTATGCTTTAATCACATATTCAAAAACATGTGGTTTCTATTTTAATAACTTCTAAAAAATAATTTGGATTTTGTTTTGGGTGGATTATATTGTATGAAATCCCTTGTCTTTTCATATTTTGACCATTGTATTTTAATGTTTTGTAGCATGTCTTAGAATGAATGCAGGCATTCCTTTGGAGCATATATCCAACGAAAAGGAGTGAAATTACTGGGTCAGCAACTTCTTTTTTTTTTTAATATTTGATTAAATGAAATGTTTTACATCTCTCTGTTCCTCTTGCTCTTCTGTACATTATCATTCTTGTGGCTTTTTAAATTCAACTTTTAATTTTTAGATAATTGTAGATTCACATGTAGATGCAAGAAATAATGCAAACAGATCCCATACCCAGTTTTCCAGTGGTAACATCATGCAAAATTATATTATAATATTTTTAATGTGGGTGTTTATCACTGTAAACTTCTCTCTTAGAACTATTTTGCTGCATCCCATAAGTTTAGGGATGTTGTATTTCCATTTGTGTTTGTCTCAAGATAGTTTTTAAATTTGCCTTTTGGTTTCTTCTTTGACATACTGATTGTTCAACATGATATTATTTAATTTTCAAAAATTTGTAAATTTTCCAATTTTCTTCCTGTTACTAACTTTTAATTTATTACCATGGTGGTCAGAAAACAGACTTGATATGATTTTAATCTTCTTAAATTTGTTAAGATTTGTTTTGTGGCTTAATATATGATCTATCTTAGAGAATGTTCTGTGTATGCTTGAGAAGAATGGTCATTCTGCTGCTGTTGAATGTAATGTCCCATAAATGTCTCTTAGGACCTCTTGGTCTATCGTGTTGTTCAAATCCAAAGTTTCCTTTTTGATTTTGTGTCTGGACAATCTATCCGTTGTTGAAAGTGGGGTATAAAAGTTTCCTGCTAATGTTGTGTTGCTGTCTGTTTCTCCCTTCATTGTGTTCATATTTTCGTTACATATTTAGGTGCTCTGAACTTGGGTGCACATACACTTAAAATTGTTATATTTTCTTGATAAATTGACTCCTTCGATCATTACAAAATTATCTTCTTTGAATCTTGTGGCAGTTTTTAACTGAAAGTCTATTTTATCTGATGTGTGTATAGCCACCCCTCTTCTCTACTAGCTACCATCTGCATGGAACATCTTTTTCCATCCCTTCACTTTTAGCCTATGTGTGTCCTTAAAGATATATTGAATCCCTCAGATGCAACACATAGTTGGATCTTGGTTTTCTTTTTCTATTCATTCAGCCACTCTATGTCTTTTGATGGAGAATTGAATTCATTTATATTTAAAGTGATTATTGACAGATGAGGACCTATTACTGCCATTTGTTCAGGGGTTTCTGACTATTTTGTAGATATTTTGTTCTTTCTTCCTCTTGCTGTATTCCTTTGTAATTTAATGATTTTTTTGTGTGGTAATATGCTTTGATTTTACTCTTTTTGTCTTGTGTGTACCTACTACAGGTTTTTGTTTGTTGTTGCCATAAGACTTACATAAAATATCTTACAGTTTTTAGTCTATGTGAAGCTGCTAATAACTTAACTTCAACTGCATACAAAAACCCTACACTTTAACTTCTTCTCTCTACACATTTTTATGTTATTCATGTCACAATTTACATCTTTTCATACTCTGTATCCACCAACAAATTATTATGGCTATAATTGTTTTATTTTATCTTTTAATTTTATACTAGAATTAAAAGTGACTTATGCCATCAGAGTATGAGAGAAGTCTGAATTGTACTATATTCTTATTTTTACAGTGAGTTTTATACTTTTGAAATGAGAAAAGTTCCCTTGTTCCCCTCGCGGGGCACGTGATGGGGGTGTGGCTTGCTTCTTCAGTGCCCCACTGCTCAAACCTCTAGGGGAGCATACAGATGGGCAGATTGTGGGGCTCCGACCCCACGGTGGCATCTAGGGGTGGATGTTTACAGCTCCTGAAGCCCTAGGAGGAGAAACTTCTCATCTGCTAAATGGGGCTCCCTTGCAGCTCTGAGGTTCTGAGATCTTAATGTGTGCACTGTGTCTTCAGTGCACACAATACCACCCAACACAAATTCAATGCAATTGATTCCCCAGCAGTTGAACTCAATCACAATGCCACTGGCCTTGTTCTAAAAATTAAAGAACTGCTGCAGGAAGGGCCCTATAAATTTTGTCATCATAACTGCCTGAGCCAGAGATGTGGGGTGTTCCCTGCCAATCAGGGCAGAACAGGTTGACATGGGCCAATGAAGCCCAGAGGTCCTGGAGGAGATGAAAGTCACACAAGCCCCCTCAGAGATATCTGCCAACGTCAGTGTTGGGGTCTCTTCTGAAGGACGCTGTCTGTGAGATTGGGAAAGGTACCCAGCAGCCTTGTTTCTGTGGCCCAATACTTTTTCCACCAGACTCCTTCACGTGCCTAATTTGGGACATGGTTTCTGAGCTGCAGGTGTTGCCCACTCCAGCCCAGAGATCCCAGAACATCCTGCAAGCTCAGACGCAGGATAAAGGGCCACAGGAGCAGGAGCCTCCTCTCTCTGGGCAACTTCAGACTGTTTCCCCACTGTGCTGTCCTAGAAGGGGCTGATGCAGTGAACAGAGCCCTTGGGGCAGGTGGGGCCTGGGCTCAGCTGCAGAGACCAGGGGACGGGCTGGACCACATTCTCTTTCTGCCATATGCAGCTGCCTTACACTACAAGAGGGGGAAGAAGGGAGCTGAGGAGGTAAAAAGAGAAAAGACCCAGAGCCAGCGGGCTTTGTCACATCGGCTGTGACAGTTAAACCTGGCATTACTCGTAATTGCTTACATTTACTACACATTCATACAGAGGCCATGCTGTGGCTAGGCGTCTCTGGGCTAAGAATGTCTTATTCATTTAGAACTAGTACCTCGGACTCTGATTACGGGCCTTGCTGCGTGTAAGGAACAGCACTGCTTTAGCATGAAGCCTAGCCTATTGTCAGTGCTCAGAGAGCTCTGACACCAACAATTGGTTTTCCTACAAAGAATCACGTAATATTTGGGTTATAGAAGCAGGGCAGTGCTAACTGGATGTCCTGAAAGGAATGGACCTGGCATAAGAAGGGATGGAGAGCAGAATTTGAAAAGCATCCAATCCTGAAATTGGGCTGGAGGGAGCATGTCCCAAGCCTGTTAGGGACTGCAGGAAATTCATGACCAGTATGAAGGTGAAGCTGGGCACCTGCAGGCAGGCTGGTCTGCTCTCTCTGCTGTGACCCTCCTCAGGGCAGGCTGTGCTGTCAACAGGTGTTGTGCAATGCCAAGAACCCATGAGAATTCTCACTACGCCAGGGTTTTGAGGCACCCCTGTTCCCAGGTTCCTTCCTAGAACCCTGGTCGCCTTGGGATGACTGGGGGATTCTAGTTGACTACCCAAGGAAATCTGAAGCTTGGGAAGTTTGCAATGTTAAGTCTCGGTCCAGAGTCGGACCTGGCTCCGCGCCTGTCTGGCAGCAGCAGCAGCAATCCCTATCCGGGTCCAGAGCCCTGCCCAGTGGATACTGTGTGGTGTTTCCACAAAGTTGCATCTTTGAGCACCTCACAGAGAATCTGGAGCCTCTCAACCAGGACAACGTGAGAAAAAAATCTGAAGAAAAAGGCCCAGGTGCTTGGGGTAAGAACAGCCAAGCAAAGGGCAGAGGCTGAGTGGGTGCCAGGAGGACACTTTGTCACTTTGGAGACAGAGCCTTTGGCTTAAGGAGTTCCAGGCTGCTCTGGAGGCGTCGGGGGAGGCCTCTGGGACCACCTAGTCATTTTCCGCAAGAAAGTAAGAGATTTCCCAGTTTTGTGCTCATGGGGAGCATTCACCTGAGATATAAAACTTTGGCTGCTTAACTCATTTTAAGGGAATAATAACATATTTGCATACACTTTATTTGGAGGCAAAAGAAAAAAAATAGTCTGTTGAATAAATTATTCTAGATTTTACTTCCCAGGGATTTTTTTTTCTTTCTAAAAATTATAGACAATTCATCTCCTATTCTCCCTTCTTGAGAAATTAACCATTTGAAAACAGATATGTGCCCTTAGTCTGCCTTCCAATATCTCTCATACGATCCATGATTTTTAAAGAAATACAACTCCATTGCATGACCAAAGGGAGGAGGGGGAAATGGAAAGAAGGAGCTGGGCAACACAAGCACCAGGGGGAAGGGCCTGGGGCCCAGGGCCAGCACCTCCCTACTTGTGGGAGCCTCAGCTGTTCCTTCAATCCCCAGGCCACACCTAACCTTGGGTTGAAAAGTGCTTTCTGGGCTGACTCCGCTGTTAGAACAGGTAGGAGGTTGCTTGGTAAATGTTGCAAGAATGTGAACTCTTGTGGTAGAAATATTCTGAGGCTGATTCAGAGGCTGCCTGGGACCCCGTCACAGCTCTGGGGTCTGTCTCCCACAAGGAGCCATGCCCCGAACAGAGGTACCTGTGTCCACTCATCCTGCAGAGAGTGGGAGCCAGTTCCTGCCCCACCTGCTGTCTCCTAAGTGCTTCTTTGTGCCCAGGAGGGAGAGGGAGCAAAGGGCATGGGAACCTCCTGGGCTGTGACCAGTCATCACCTGGGATCCCACTGCCACAGCTCAGAGCTAAAGACAGAAACACCCAGCATTTCACTGCACGCTGATCTCAGCCAGCACTGGGAAGGGCTGGGAGCATGTCCTGCGTGCTTGGTTTCCCATGCCCCTGAGACGCTTTTCCTGCTTCCGCACTATCTCCTTGGGTTGCACAGAGAGTTCCAGCACTCCGCTTCCCTGGGGAAACTGACAATGACTGGCCCTTGATTGACTCACCCAGTGAGTTGGTTTCCTGGGGCCATGGTAACAAACTACCACAAACCAGATGGCTTTAAAAAAAAAAAACAAAAAAAAAACAAAACAAAACAGAAACTCATGCTCTCCCAATTCTGGAGGCCAGAGGCCATAGTCTGAAATCCAGGTCTGGGCAGGGCCAGGCTTTCTCTCCCAGCTCTGGTGTATCCTGGCAGTCCTTGGCTCTCCTTGGTTGCAGCTGCATCCCTCCCACCTCTGCCTCCGTTTTTGTGTGACATTCTCTCTGCCAGCATCTGCCTGTTTCTCTTGTCTTGTACCTACACCAGTCATACTGGATTAAAGGCCCTCCCTGCTCCACTCTGATCTCATCTTAACTGACATCCCAATGACATCTACAAATACCCTATTTCCAAAGAAGATCACATTCCCAGGTATCAGGGGTTAGGACTTGAACATATCTTTCTGAGGTCACACCAGGTGACCCTTCTTCCCTAACAGACCATCCAGATCCTCTGTGGCTTTGCAGTTATGAGCATGGGGATCCTTTTGGCATGTACTTCCTTTCCCTGTCACTTTGGCCCAGTGGTTCTCACCTTGGTGAGGTCTGGATACCCATTCGTAGGAGCCAAGTATGTGAGTAGGATGGGTGTTCATGGAGGGTGGTCTCTGGGATGGAGCAGGGCACAGACAACTGATATGCTACCTAGCAATGTCTCTGTGGAGAGCAAAGATGCAGGAATGGAACTTGTTTTGAGGGCAATCAGCCAGGAGTGAGAGAAGGCCTGGCAGGAGAAGGGGTTTTGCCAATGGGAACAGAATTGATCATCTGGCTCAAATATCAGTTCTTCCAAAATCCTCATAGTGCCATCCTCGAGGGCCCTGGGAGCCCTGCAGCTTCTCTCTGGGGTGACAATAGCATGTGTAGCCTCAACAGGGACACTATAAGAATAAAAGAGTGTGCTATTACTATTTATGCCATGATCACAGGAATACCCAGGACTGTCCCTGACACACTGGACATAGGGTCACCCTACTTCTCCCTAAGTTCAGGTGACACAAGGAGTAGGAGTGAGGTGGGCAGACAGCAAGTGAGAAATGGGGTGGACAGGGCACACAGTGGGGTGGCCAGGCTGGTGCATTTGTGGCCCTGTCTATGGGGCCAGCAGGACCAGTGGGGTCAGTAGAGCATATACTGAGCTTGAAGAGGTGGCATGGAGCACTTAGAAGCTCTATCTGCTGCTTGTCATCTCTTGGCATGTGGAAGGCCTTCTGCAGAGTTACGCTCCAGACATAGCCTCGGAGTCCTGAATATCCCCCAGGCTCCTGGAATCAAGGAGTGTCTTAGACGGCTTGAGCTGCTTTAACAAAAATACCATAAGCTGGGTGGCTTATAAACAGCAAGCATCTATTACTCACAGTTCTGGAGGCTGGAAGTCCAAGATCGTGACACCGACAGATTTGGTGTCTGGTGAAGGCTGTTGCTTGTTCATAGATAGAGCGTTCTCGCTGTGTCCTCATGTGGTGGAAGGGCAGAGGAATCTCTCTGGGTTCCTTTTATAAAGGAAGTAATCCCATTGATGAGGGCTTCACCCTTACGACCTACTCACCTCCCAAAGACCCCACCTCCAGATACCATCGCATTGGAGGTTAGGTATTTAGCACATGAAATCTGGGGGCAACAGACATTCAGGCCACAGCAAGAAGCTTCAGGAGAAAGCTTTCAGTCTTGTGAAATGTGAATGAGGCTTTCCCACAGCCTAGACCTGTCTTCACGCCCCAGCCGCAGCCTCTTGCATTCACGGTGGCTTTTGAGCATCCTCTGACCACTGAGTCACAAACCTCCCTGTTCCCTCTCTATCTGGCTATTTTCTTGGTAGGACCAGAAAAACTTTTTTTTATAGTCTTGCCACCATGCCATGTAGTTTTCGTACATTGCAGCTATTTCAAATTACTGCATTACCACAGAACACTTTTTCTGTAATAACCCAGAATCAACAGTTTTTTTCTAGCTGTTAACCTGGCCTCAAAATCTTCCCTTTATTTGGGCCCCCTTTTTCTTCTGTCCTTAACTCTGACTCTGGTAGAGCCCATGGAACTGACAGTTCAAAGCCCGCGTGGCTTTTCTCTCCCCACCACAACATCTTCATCTAAATAGAGTCTTGTAACATTTACCTGCCCTCTCTCCCTTGAAAATCACTGTTCCCTGGTCCCTGTTGGGGAGCCTGGGCCTTAAGCCCCTTTGTCTTTGCCCTAGAAGAACTTCCTCTCCAGCTGAGTCAGGTTCTCATGAGATTCTAGGGGTGGCTTGGCCTCCTATATCCACTTCCCTCAACATTGGCCTGTAGCCACATATGGCCTGGACTTTGGCCCAGCTTCCAGCATGCCCAATAATGTCAGCCCTGTGGGGAAGTTCCTGGAGGTGTACAAGGACGTGACAATTCAGTGGTAGGGACATCGGGGTGCTTGTTCATGTGGAAACTGACTTTACCATTTTCCTCTTTTCTGAGTAGTTTATCATTTCTGGATTGCTGTCTGTCATTTTGGGAAGAAAATCAAACAAGCATCTGGTGAGTATAGGAACAACAGTGCCTCACTTACTAAAAAGAGACTTTAGCGGAACCTCATCCAGTTGGATCTTTCCAAGGTTCAGACAAAGGAACTGAACCCCAGGTTGCTGACAAGTGTCCTTTGGTCAGTGGCCCTGTGGAAGTACACAGGGCCCACTGATCTGGGGGACACCTTTCATGATCCTCATTTTGAAGAGAGTCCTGTACCCTCTCCAGGCTCTGGGTGGCTTTATGGGAAAATTCTGCCTCATCATGACACCCTTTGGTGTTCACTGACCACCGGGGTTCAGGTCCTTGGTGAGCACAGGGGAAAGAGGACAGTGAGAGCATGGGCTGTTAGTTGTGCACCACAGCCTGGGTGAGAAAAGCATCAATCAAAAGAGATGAGCCTTGCTGGTGGGGGCCAGGAAGGGTGCAGAGTGAAAAGGGGGTGTTCAGTGATGGGTGCACATCTGATTGACAAACTTTTGCAGAATCATTTCCAGGCCTTTCTTAGGAGGCTAAGAGGCATGGGTTGGGGGACAGAGATGGGTATGGTGGAGATTCTGGTGACCTGGGATTTGGGGGTCTCCCTGTCCTGACACAGAAGCTGCCAAGAAACTGGCAGCCAAGCCTCAAGGTGGCAGTGCCAGGTTTGGACACTGTCATTCTCTCAGACCTCCCTCAAAGGATCAGATGCCCTTCTTCATCCCCACCCTCAGCCTCCCCTGAGCCCTCCAGGAAAGCAGCCTGTGTGGATCCCCTAAACAAGGGCAGGAGCACCAGCCCTACAGAGCAAGCAGCAGCTGGGTGAGGCAGACGGCGGCACAAGGTGGGGACCACGGTGTTCCAGGGCCACTTAGGCTCCTAGGAAATTCACCCGCCACCATCCTCAGGGACCTCTTCTTTGAAAAAAAGGGACTTTCTCAGAACATTCTGACAACACGAGTTGTGAATCCCTGGGGCTGTATGGAGAAATGGCCCACGACCTTTTTCCATCTCTTCCCCCATCACTGCCCAGCTCTGAGATTGAGCCCCTGGGAAGAGGGCCCGGATCTTTGCCAGAGGCTGCTGGGCATACCTGAGCACACGTGCCATGGGCTGCTTGTGACGGGCTGGAACACCTAGCCCAGGTGTCCCAGAAGCCACCACAGACATCAGCCTATTCCTCCCCTGGTGTTGGTCTTTGAAAAGTGAGTCTGGACACCGCAAAACTGGAATCCAGGTTTCCTACTTTCGAGGGGAGGTAGCACCCCATGGCGCAGCTGTGATTCTCAGCCCTCCTCTGGGCCGTGCCCCAGCCGGGATCTGAACATCCACCCTCGGCCCCAGGTGCTGTTGCCCCCACACTGAGCCCTCGTACCCCATGCTCCCTGGCCCTCCTGCCAGGGCACCCTTTTCACAAAGTGGAGTGGATGAAAAGAACAGGAAAGAGCACCAACCCTGCTGCTGTCCCCATATGACAGAGGCTGCTGTGGGGGCATCTGTTGTACTTGGGTGAGCAGGCCCCTTGGCCTCGAGCTCTACCATGCAGGGGTGCTGCAGACAGAGCCAGGTGATAGGAAAGAGCATGTCTGGGAACCCACCTGATGACAGCCTCAGCTCAGGATGAGGCAGGAGGCCTCTGGCTAGGCTTAGGGGAGATGGCTGGAGGAACCTCCTCAGGGTGCCAGTGGACTGGGTAAAGCCAGCAGGGGGCTTGGAGGTCAGGGAAGCTGTGATTTATCAAGCACTGTGGGCATTGCAATATTTTCTCTGTTCGGTTCAGTCCAATGGGACATCAGTTCTATACATATCTTCCTCTTCCTCTAGCCCTGCTCAGTCCTGGGTGGAGAAGCTACCAGAACCACATCTCCTGTCTGTCCCACCATAAGTCTCTGCTTCATTCACGCTTTCATGTGTCGTGCATCAAGCAAGCATTTGCCTGTAGGCTTGGGGAGCTCTGAGAGGGGTTGAGAGTGAACAAAATTAATCAAATCGTATAACAGAAGAGGAAGTCCCATCCTGCCGAGGATCCTGGATGTGAGAACCTGCTGCTGGCCTGGTGGGATCGTGGTGCCCCAGGAGCATGAACTGCTCAGGAGCAGACCCTGACCAGATCCCCTGCAGGCCTGGAACAGCCTGATCAGCAGCCTCCTAAGCCCCATGGCTGCCACAGTGGGCCTCATTGTCCTTCCCTATCACCTAGCCGGGGTGTTCCCAGCTGCCAGACAGTGCCAACTGGTGGTGCCTGCCCATCAGTGCCCCAAGACAGCCACTACTTTTCGAAGAATGAGACCACCAGCTGCTTTGTGGCCAGCTCCAGCTTACTGGTGAGTATTTTTAGGTAGAATCTTCCAGACTAGTGAAGTCTTTGAGATTTTCTGCTTCTTGTTCACTGCTTCCTTCTGATGTGGACCATGCGGAAAGAGGCAGAACACAGGAACCCACACATGGGAGAATAGCAGGCATTTGACTGGACTGTGCCAAAAGAGTTGTTCAAGTACAATATCAAGCAAGACTGTAGTTGCAAAAAGACATAACCAACAACTTGGTTTCAATTTGAGCACCTTAATAAACAAACTGATTTAACTGTCATAGTCTCAAGGGATGGGTTTTTCCAAGCAAGAACTCTAGGGTCAGGGTAGCGAATTGCTCAAGAAAGGCCAAGAGCTCAGGGAGACATAGGAACCTCATAAACAGGGTGGCCACAGGCTGGCAGTGCCCAGGTTCAGCCAGGCAAGAGCCACAGGTCAAGGGAGGCTGCAAGAGGCTAAATCCTAATTCCATCACATGCACAAAAATGGATGGGATGGCCAAAAATGACCCCAAAAAATCAGGAAACAAATACGGAATGGGCTTTTTAATTGTTGTTTGCAATCAGAACTTTATGAAAATGACAGAATGTGGTTTCGCATTCTCTGTTGCATTAGAGCCAGTCTGAGCATCAGTATTTGCTCTAAAATGTGTTTAGTCAATAAAGTCAAGAGAACATGTGTGTGGAACACTGAGAAAAGAAGGCAGAGGAAGTTTGCATTCCTGCAGCCATAGAGGGGGATATTCTAGGGGTGGAGAGGCAGCAGGCAGGGGGAATGTGTGCACAGCCTGGCCGTTGTCCCATCCCCT
This sequence comes from Homo sapiens, assembly GCF_000001405.40. Classification (NCBI taxonomy): domain Eukaryota; kingdom Metazoa; phylum Chordata; class Mammalia; order Primates; family Hominidae; genus Homo; species Homo sapiens. The sequence continues at coordinate 773,837 of NT_167247.2, forward strand.
CATCGCTGGCTTCAGGCCATCCTCCCATAGATGGAGCAGCTATAATGGGAGTGGAGGGTTGAGGGGCAGGGGAGGCATCTGCTGAGCGGCTGGATGGGGTTTGTGTAGTGGGTTAGGATGAGCTCCTCAGAAACCAGCCTGAGCTCTCTGGCTCAGGAGCTTCTCAGGAAGAGCTGAGAAGCGGCAACCCCTGCCTGAGGGGTCCTTGTGTTCATTTCCCATGGCCACAATAACAGAGGACCACAAACTGGTGACTGAAAACAACAGAAGTGAATTCCTTCACAGTTCTGAAAGCAAAGTCCAAGATCGAGGAGTCGGCAGGGCCGCTCTTTCTCTGAAGGCTCTAGGAAAAAACTCTTTCTTGTCTCTTCCAGCTTTGGGGAACTCCAGGCATTCTTTGGCTTCTGGACACGTCTTTCTAACCTCTGTCTCCATCCTCATGAGGGCTTCCCCTCTGTTTGTCTCTGTGTCCTGTTCTCTTCTTATAAGAACACCAGTTATTGCATTTAGGGTCCACCCTAAATCCAGGATGATTTCACCTTGAGATCCTTAACTAATTGCACCTACACAGACCATATTTCCAGATAAGGTCACATTCTCAGGTTCTATGTAGACATGAATTTGAGGGGGGACACTAACCCACTATAGTCACAGTCTGTACAAATAAATTCTAGATTCTGCCCACCTGTGGCCTTACCTGTTCTACTTGGAAGTCATTGTTCCATGGAAGGTGACCCAGGGAAGCAGAATTGTTCTCCTCCTCAGGCAGATAGCTCCTGGGGACTGGCGTGAGAATTAGCAACTGTGCCAGCACATCACTTTGATTGGTCAAGGTGCCCCTTGCTGCCTCCCAGCCAAGCCAAGCAGGCCCACCCCAGGGAGCATAGGTGGGTAACAGGTGCTGGCGCTCAGTTTACAAAGGAAGGCCTTCTGCCTCACCACCTCTGTGGACCTGCAAACCGCCCTAAGGGGTGAGTGGGAAGTCCCCATCTTACAGAAGATGAAATTGAAACCCAGACAGGCGGAGACTCTCCCTGGAGGCCAGATGAATGAAGAGTCAGGAGGCTCAGCTCAACCTTGGGTGTCACCTGCCACCTGTACTGCTGTCCCTGGAGTGGCCCAGGATACTAGGATATGACACTGTCTCCCAGATCATGAGCAGGTTGAGTCAGGTACGAGGGAAGAGGAGCCAGCAGATGACACTGTCTAAACCCATCTGGTCATCTCAGGAAGGCAGAAGGGTTGGCCAGTCCAGCACAGACCTCGTGCATCCTGCATTTCAGAGGATCCTGTCTGTGATGCTCCTCTTCACGGCATTGGAGCTCAGTGTCGCTATCCTTTCTTCTGTCCTCTTGTGAAAAAAGACCTGTTCAGATGTCCTCAGGGTGAACCTGCTGTGCCCTGGGCTCTGGGGCCTGGGTGGTGGCACAGGGCATGGTCCTGGGGCCAATGGCAGGTGGTACTAAGGTCGACCCATGAATCTTGACCTTAGTCGAAGTCGACAGGTTTTGTTGAGTGAGGCAGCAGCCGGCAGAACAGGATGAGAGCAAGTGCCCAGGGTGGAGGAATCACAATAGGAAGCTATGGGACCAAAGAGAGCACATCACACATCTGCTCACTTAGCAAAGCAGGAAACAGGCTAAGGTGCAGAAGCCCTCTGGTCCCTGGAACCCTCAAGTTTTTATATTTGTGTATCCCTTGTCTTTTGTTTCAAGATATTTTTTAATTTCTCTGGTTTGATTTTTTGGAGATAAAAGGCCTTCCACTCAGCGTACAAGGCCTGTTCACTTGCTTTGTCCTCTCCAGAATGTGTTTCCTGACCCAAAGTGACACAGTGATCACCAGCATGCCCCAGGCAGCATTTGCTGACACCGTCCTGGAGATGAACAAGGAGTGCACCCTTAGTGTGGGGGCAGAGAGAGAGAGAGCACATTGTCTGCAGGAGTCAGCTGAATGATCTCACAGACCCCACCTGCTGGGCTCTTCCATTTTATCACAATTATTCCGCCTGTTCACGTGCAGAGAGAACACTTGGGGCAGATTTTAAGACCTTAGAGAGTAACTTGTTTACAAATAAAATATCTCTTTGATGATGTATTTGGATTCCATGTCATTTTGCCACATTTCTCTTAATTTACTGGACACCAACAATGATATAAAAGTTAAGATTTTAGGAAATGTAGAAAATTTCTAAATAAAAATCAAAAAAGAAAATAAAACAACAAAATGAAGAGCTGCCTGGGAGAGATGAACCCATGGTCCCCGTCTTCACGCTAAGATGCAAAAGAGCAGAGCTTCCAGCTTCCAACTGGAGCTCCCACACAAAATACTGGGGAAATCTTCCTCCTTCCAACAATGGTCTTCCTATTGATCCTGAGACCTTGCTGGCAACCAGCCGTGTCTCTGCCCCTCTTTCTGTGCTCTCGTGACTCATCCCAGCTTCTCTCTCTGTGCCCCTTTCTTGTTCCCCTCTGCCCATTTCTCTTTTTATCTGAATCCCCAGATGCCCCTGCACAATCTGAGTGTGCAGAGTGGCCCAGCCCTCCCTAGGAAGGGAAAGCACTGGCCCCTTGCTTGGAGAGAAGGCAGAGACTGCTCTCCCACAAGACTGTAGTGCCCTAAAACCCCCTGATCAGCTCACACCTTGTTTCCTGGTGGCCAGGCCAATGATGAGGTTCACCACAGCCTACCTCAGCCAGGGACCTTATGACTTAATAGGGGAAGAGCCACAGAATATAGCCACATATATGGGCAGAAGTCCTGAGATATCCATGGGGCTGGATACTAAAGGGTCTCCATTTCCAAGTAGAACCTAAGGTTAGATGAGAGAGGTTTATTATCAATGCAGGAGGATCCTCACAGGATACAGGATTTAACAGCCTAACAGGGATTCCAGAAGATAGTTCAAATCAGATTCAAGGTAAGCTCCTGTAAGTATGGAAAAAGTGACAACTCCCCACGAAAGACAGAGGTGAGAAGGCTCAGAGAAGTGGATATGCTGGGGTGGATACACTCTGTAAATCCAGAAAAATCTACCTGCTGCCTATTTTTCAATTGTTCAATTTGCCTGTTAAATCATCTGGGCCTGGTCATGCTAAATTTTTTTAACTACCAATTTTGATTTACTTAATGATTGTAAATCTGGTTTATCCATTTCTTCTGTTTTTTAATTCACTCTGCATTGATATTTATACTACAACTCTCCAAACACTATTTCACAAATCAAGCTTCTATAGCAAAAGTAGGAAAACGTTTTAAGAAATTTTATTTTACCTTGTCAATGACCAAAAACACACAAGACTGGCATCCTCACCCAATTTCTCTAGACTTTGTTTCTGGGATCATCAGCTATCACATGTTGTATTAGTCCGTTCTCACGCTGCTATAAGACAGCCTAAGACTGGGTAATTTATAAAGGAAAGAGGTTTAATTGACTCCCAGGTCTGCAGGGCTGGAGTGGCCCCAGAAAACTTACAATGCCAGCAGAAGGGGAAGCAAACACCTTCTTCTTTACATGGTGTCAGCAAGGAGAAGGGCAGAGTGAAAGGGGACAGGGGGAAGCCCCTTTTAAAAAACCATCAGATCTGATAACAATTCACTATCACAAGAACAGCATGGAGGCAACCTCCCCCATGGTTCAATTACTTCCCACCAGGTCCCTCCCACAACATGTGGGGATTATGGGAACAACAATTCAGGATGAGATTTGGGTGGGACACAGCCAAACCATATCACATGTCTTCAATTTCTGCCTCCTAAAAATGACATCTTTGCCAGGTGTGGTGGCGCACACCTGTAATCTCAGCAGTTTAGAAGGCTGAGGCAGGTGAATCACTTGAGGTCAGGAGTTTGAGACCAGCCTGACCAACATGGTGAAACCCCATCTCTACTAAAAACACAAAAAACTTAGCCTGGTATGGTGGTGTGCACCTGTAGTCCCAGCTACTCAGGAGGCTGAGGCAGGAGAATTGCTTGAACCCAGGAGGTAGAGGTTGCAGTGAGCTGATATCACATCACTGCACTCCAGCCTGGGTGACACAGCGAGACTCCATCTCAAAAAACAAAACAAAACAAAAAAATGACATGCTCAACCTTGGTCTTTCCTCAACTGTCAACTCTGAGTGCTAAGAACCTAAAAGATATCTCTGCTTTACTGCACAGCAAGGTCTTTGTTGTGAGTTGGGTTGTGTCCTCTCAAAATTTGTATATTGAAGTTCTAACCCCCAGTATCTCAGAATGTGACTTTCTTTGGAAATAGTGTCTTTATAGAATTAAAATGAGATCATTAGGGTGGGCCCTAAGAGGATATTAGGGCACGGACACTCACAGAGGGACAACTGTGTGAAGACACAGGGAGAAGACAGTTATCTACAAACCAACAAGAGAGGCCTCAGAAGAAATCAACACTGCGGACACCTTAATGTCAGAATTTTGGCCTCCAGGACTATGAGAAAATAAATTTTTCTTGTTGAAGCTTCCCAGTCTGTGATACTTCGCTATTGCAGCTCTAGCAGACTAATACACCCTTCAAATTCACCAGGGCCAAATTGAACCCACCATTCTCCTCTAAAAATTTCTTTTGCTTTCACCATTTTGTTTAAGGTCCTCACTCTTCCCATCACTCAAACTCTGAAAGTTCTTTTCCCATAGTGAAAAGGCCTAATGAAGGTGTTTCCCCATGGATTCTTTCCTTTTAGTTCTGTCTTGTGGACTGCAGCTGACTCAGCCCTGAGGGTGCCCTTGATGTCCCCGCTCAATTAGCATCTCTACCATTTCACCATTGCTTGCATGAGACAGTCGAAGGGTCATGAAAGCTTCTGTGATCTGGAAGACGTATTCTATAACAGTAGCGTTTCACAGCAGAAGCCAGACTTGCAACATTGCAAAGATCATGGGATTTGGAAGCAGAAAACCTGAGTTTCTATTTGGACTCTGCCACTTACCAAGTGTAGAACTTTTGGAAAAACCTTGGAAAGTCTTCCTATCTCCATTATGGATCAAGAGTGTGACCTTGGTTCACCCTCTCACCATTCTTTCCTTAATTTTTTTTTCTTATAAATAATAGCTTCCACCTTCCACCCTGCAGAGCAATTGTAAACTTCATAACACATGCGAAGCGCTTGACTCAAAAAACAGGAAGCACTAAGGACTGTTAATTTAACTGGCATCTCATTACTTTTATAAGAAAGCCTAGCATAAAGAAAAGGTGTGTCCACTGTTATGGGTTGAATTGTGCCCTCCCAAGAAAGATACATTGAAGCTCTACTCCCCAAACCTCAGAATGTGCCCTTATTTGGAAATAGCAGCATTGCAGATGTCATTAGTTAAGACAAAGTTATACTAGAGTAGAGCAGGCCCTAATCCAATACGGCAGGTGTCTTTACGAAAAGATAGCATGTGAAGACACAAACATACAAAGAGAAGGCAACCATGTGGTGACAAGAGGAGAGACTGGAGTGATGCTCCTGCAAGCCAAGATTGCTGGCAAACCACCAGAAGTTAGGAAGAGGCAAGGTAGGATTCCCTTACAGGTTTCAGAGGGAGGGTAGCCAGCTGACACTTTAGACTGCTAACCTCCAGAGTTATGAGACAATAAGTTCCTGTTGTTTGAAGCCGCCCAGTTTGTGGTACATTGTTGCAGCAGCCCTAGGAAACTGATACATCTACACAATGCAATGTCCTTCAGCCATAAAAAGGAATGAAACACTGACATTGGCTATCATGTGGATGAAATGTGAAAACAGCATGTTCAGTGAAAGAAGCCAGGCACAGAAGACCACATATTATATAATTCCATGTATGTAAAGTGTCCAGAATAGGTGAATCCATACAGACTAAACACAGATTAATGGTTGCCAGGGGCTGCAGGAGGGGAGAATAGGAACTGACGGCTAATGAGTATAAGCTTTCTCTTAAGGGTGATATAAGTGATCTGGAATTAGATAGCAATGATAGTTCCAAATCTTGTGAATATATTTAAAATTAAATTGTGTAACTTAAAATGGTGAATTTTATGTGGAATAATAGCAATAAAATTCAATAGAATAAAACAAAATGAACGACATGAAGCCCAACACCTCACTGGAACATGCAAAACCCTTCCTTTATTCTCTGGTGGATCCCATTTCTCGCCATTGTTCAGTGCTCTCTATGCCCCACCATGCTGTCCTACTCTCTTCATCCTCTGCCTTCTCCCATGCTGTCTGCCTACCTATAGTCCCTCTTTCCCCACGCCCTGTTTTGTTCCTGTGCTGCCCCTTTCTCACCCTGTACTCTTTCACTTTGAAGTCACTGCCCCAGAACCTTCTCTTTCACTCCACGATTGGGTTGTGTTGACCCACTTGCACATCATATGTTTCTGAGGGCAGAAATGTTGGCCCATAATTACAGTTGTCTGGTTATGTCTCTGTCTCCCTCACTAACATGCAAGCCCTACAGAAGCAGGAGCTGTGTCCAGCATGTTCACCAGGGTATCTTCCAAGTGTATCACATGATACTAGGTGCTCCGTAGACACCTGCTCAATGTCATATAGGTTCTTGGTCTTCTCTTCCAAATAAGGTAGAATAGTTATTTTTCATTTTACAGGTGAGAACATTCAAGTTGAAAGAAATGAAGAGAATATTTGATGTCCCGCAATACAGGGGAAAGCCGTTACTGCATCCCAGGAATGTTTGACCATAAAGCCCTTCCTTGCCCACTAGGCCAGGTATGTCCCATCATAGAGCCCCTCACCCCACTTGCAGGTTACCCTTCCAAAGTGCTGTTCCAAAAGAGCTCACCGAGACAAGGTGATATTGGAGAAGTGATAGACACATAGATCTATGGAAGACATTGGGAAGCTTGGGAATAAACCCACACAATTATAGCTAATTATTGACAAAGGAACAGCAGCAATTCAACAGAGAAAGGAAGGTCTTTTCAACAGTGTTAAAACAATTGGACAGTCTTTTTTTATTTTTTAGTTTTTGGTTTTGTTTTTGTTTTTAAGACGGAGTCTTGCTCTGTCATCCAGGCTGGAGTGCAGTGGCAATCTCGGTTCACTGCAACCTCCGCCTCCTGGGTTCAAGCAATTCTCTGCCTCAGCGTCCCAAGTAGCTGGGATTACAGGCGCCTGCCACCAGGCCCGGCTAATTTTTTGGATTTTTAGTAGAGATGGGGTTTCACCATCTTGGCCAGTCTGGTCTTGAACTCCTGACCTCGTGATCCACCAGCCTCGGCCTCCCAAAGTGCTGGGATTACAGGCGTGAGCCACGGCACCCAGTCAACAATTGGACAGTCTTATCCAGAATAATGAATCTTGATCTAAACCTCCTAATTTACATGTAACAAATTGCATTAGTTACAATATTAACTCAAAATGGATCGTAGATCTAAGCATAAAATATAAAAATATATAATGCTTAGACTAAAACATAGGAGAAAAAATTTTTCCAATCTAGTTAGGCAAAGAGTTCATAGATGTGACACTGAAAGCAAAGTATAGCAAAAGGCAAAAATAAATTCAATAAGTTGTACTTCATCAAAATTATAACTTTTGTTCTGTAAAATACATTGTTAAGTGAATGAAAAGATGAGCTGTAGATTTGGAGAAAATATTTTAAAAAAGCACACGTCTGACAAGGACTCATATTCAGAACACTTAAGAATGCTCAAGCCAACCCAATTAAAACAATCAATTCAATTCAAAAACAAGAAAACAAAACCAGTTTCAGAAATGAGACAAAGACTCAGACATAAACTTCAGCAACGAGGGCACGCAGCAGGCAGAGCAGCCCAGACAAGGTACTCAATACTATGACTCACTAGGGGACTACAAATCAAAACCACAGTGAGATCCTGTTACACACCCATTAGAATGTCTAAAATAAAAACCACAGACACTAGTAGTGCCGGCGAGGATGTGGAGCAACAGGACTAACACATCGCTGCCAGGAAAGCAAAATGGCACAGCTGCACTGGAAAGCAATTTGTTTCTTGTAAGGTTACACATATACTTACCACGGGAACCAGCAATCTCAGCCCTGGTATTTCTCCTAAAGACATAAAAGCTTATGTCCACACAGACACCCGTACACAAACTGTTATAAAAGCTCCAGTCATAATAGGCAAAACCCAGAAGCAAACTAAATGTCCTTTAACAGGTGAACATGTAAACAAACTATGGTGCATCCATACAATGGAGTACTGTTCAGCAAAAAAAAAAAAAATACTACACTGTATACACACACAGGTACACACACATATATCTCCTAATGTTAGCAGAATTTTTTTAATGTGTAATACAGCATTGTTTACTATAGGTAGGATGTTATGCATCGAATCTCTAGAATTTAATCATCTTCCATACCCGAAATTTTACACAAGCTGAAAAGCAACTCCTCATGTCCCTCTTCTCACCTCCCAGTAACCCCCATTCTACATTCTGCTTCTATGAGTTTAACTATTTTAGGTACTTTATCTCAGTGGAATTATACAGTATATGTCTTTTTGTGACTGGCTTGTCTCACTTAGCACAGCGTCTTCCAGGTTCATCCATGTTGCAAATGGCAGGATTTCCTTCTTTTGCATGGCTGGATAATATTCCATTGTGAGGATAGCCTCCATTTCCTTTCATCTCTCAATGGACATGAGGTTGTTTCCACATGGCTGTGTGGGAGCAAGGGGGTTTCTTAGCCACTGGAGCGTCCCATTGGGATGGGGCACTGGTGGTGACCCCTAAGCAGGGATGTGCCCTAATGGACTTGCATCTGATAGGGTCTCCAGGCCACTATGGCCCCATGCCTGGGTGAGGTTAAGAGTTAAAGAGTAGAAAACAGGAGGCCAGTGAGGGGGCATTTTTGGGCCCATGGGAAGGTTTCTGAGGAGATGGAAGGGCTGCAGGTATAGGTTCCCAATATGTCCCCACCCCAGTTCAATTTCAATGACCAAGGGAGATAGCAGAGGTAAAGAAAACAGATAAGAGGGGGTCACCTGACACCTGGTGGACAGAAGCTGACATCCAAGAGGTGATTCCACCCACCTCCCTCCTGAGCTTCCTCCTTCCTCAGGTCCAGTTAGGCAGGGGACCTGGTCAGTGGTGCCTAGTCACCTGCCACTGTGTGACCTCAGACAGGAGATTTGTCCTGGGAGCCTCCTTCCCTTCATCTATAAAAGGGGAATGGACACAGCAGCCCAGAAGGCTTCGAGGAGGAGGAGGACGTGAGAAGGTGTGCTGAATCCTGCCCTGCTGAGCATGTAGGCCTAAAATTTTACACACAAACTGAGTCCCTATGAGGAAAGGGCAAGCCCTCTGCCCTCTGCCCTTCCTATGTCTGCATATCCAGAACTGCCTCAGGTGGAGAGGGCAGAGACTAGGGAGCACCCATAGATGCTCTGATGCTGGCCACAGCCCTTGGGGGTGACAGTGATGAGGACCTGGGTGCACATGTGGTGGAGCAGCCAAGACCAGCCAGAGAAGAGACACACTCATGCACACACGTGTTCACAACATACACATTCACACTCACACACAAACACATTGAATGCATGCGTGTTGACAGTTCAAGGAGTAGAGGACACTGGACCTGGGCCCTGCTGACCCAGGCAGGGCCCCACTCTGATGGGTGCTGTAACCCCAGACGTCACTGTTGCTGAACATCTGCCTGCCTCTGAGTTGTGGAGCAGCTGGAGACACACAGTGGTGTCTGTGAGTGTCTCTGTGTGCAGGACCCTTTTCTAAGTGAGAGGCACATCTCAGCACAGCTGACTGATCATTCTCGGGTAAGTGTGACCTGCTGTCTCCCCTTCCTGCTGACATGGGGGCAGATGCTACCAGATGGCATCACTGGCCTCCGGGGCGCTGTGGAGGGTAATGTCGCTGAGCTCCCACCAGGTGCTTTCTCTTCACTGACCATGTATTGCAGCCGTCTCATTCACCCTCACACTGACTTCGTGGAATGGGTGCTAATGTACCCATTTGAAGATGAGATGCCTGAGGTCAGAGCGGAGGCAACTGACCCAGGGACCCAGATGTGACTCTGGACTGTGATCTCAGCCCTGCCTTGTGCTGTCCTGCACTCAACTCCTGACCTCTGCAGCCTTCCTGCCTTAGATACAAAATCTGCTGAGGATTCTGGACCCCAGTGGGGGTAGAACCTGGCTCTGGAAGAGCCACAGGAATGGGGGGCCCTGTGGGTGGGGTTAGAGGCATCCCTCAGTCCAAGTCTGTGCAAGAAAAAGTTCCCCAGAGGCAGGGATCTTATCCATTCAGACTTTAAGTGTGGGCTCTGATGGTTACTGTGGGACCCACCAGGCACTGGAGTTTTCCAGTTTGGGAGCAGAGCTGGGAGCCCTCTGCCCTCGAATAGTTGTGGAAAATGAAGAAACCCTGGAGGTCTGGCCGAAAGGTGACAGTCATTCCTCCTGTTCTCTGAGGCCTGGGGACAGGGGTTTAACCTGCAAGGCCCTCTCTCTGACCTGTCCTCCAGACGTATCACCTTCCCTTTGTCTCAGGTATTCCCAGGAGAGATGGCCCCTCTGGGTGTTCTCCAGAACCTGTCCCCAAGAGTTCACTTGTTCTTTGGTGACCTGGGAAAACAAAGCCTCTTCCTGTATCAACTGCTCAGGACTGTGGAATCTGCCCTCCCTCCACCAAAGGGAGGCTGCTTTGGAGACAATAGATCAAGCCTTCTCCGAACCAAACATCCTCCTTCTTGACTGGTGTTATTCTTCAAATGGATTCACTGGCCACAGTGAGTAAAGATTTGAGTGGAACAGAACACTCATGAGATTTCTTCTTTCCTATAGAAAACTGGGCATCTTCATGGTGTCTGAACAATAGCAGGAGGCTGATCATATAGAGATTTCTGGTTCCTGGCCCTAGTCTGCCTCCAGGTGTCCATTATAGTCATCATGGCCCTTCACCCTGAGCAGGTAGATGCCGTTCATCCTGCTGTGGAGTGTGTGCCCATTTCAGGACATTTAGGGACAACAAGTCTTGTTGTCTAGGTCTCCTTGTTTTAAAGTCCTCAGGAAAGGGCCCACCTCTGGTCAGGCCCAGGGACTCCAGAAATCCTGGCAGAGGTGGGGCCATTTGGCTTGGTCCCATTGTCCTGGGGGTGTTGGTGAAATGAAGTTCACCCGGCTGGCATCTGGGAGCAGATGTATGGGGTGTTCTCTAAAGCTCTCAGGTGCCATGTAATTTTGGGAGTATTTTGTCTTATAGGGTGGATATGGACAAAGACATGGATATCCTGCTCGCCCAGGAGTAAAGGGACATCATTGCCAAGTATAAGCAGACACAGGTCAGGCTGCTCCCTCCAGGAAGGCGGGTCTCACCTCTCCCTCTGTTCCCTGGTCTGATGGTCCTGGACTCCTTCGGGATGCAGGGCAAGGATGAGCTGCCCACACGCCCATACCCAACAACTTTTATTTTGGCCTCCCTCACCCTCTCTCCCTCTGCCTTGCAGGTTGCTGATCCAGGGCACCAGTGGACACAGGAGATGAAGATGTTTACATCTACAAGGTCATCAGTCAGCTTGAGATTCCACAGTGAGTCAGTCTTCTGTCCTCCCAACCAATTGCCAAGACCAGCTCGGTCGTGGAGACCCTAACCCAGTGGCGCTAGAGGAATTAAAGACACAGACACAGAAATAGAGTGTAGAGTGGGAATCAGGGGCTGATAGCCTTCAGAGCTGAGAGCCATGAATGGAGTTAGACCCACATATTAATTGACAGTAAGCCAGTGATAAGCATTGCTTCTATAGATTATATATTAGCTAAAAGCATTCCTTATGGGAAACAAAGCATTCTTAGCGAGGAGCAGAGAAACAGGCCCTGGCTGATATCTGCAGCAAAAGCATGTTGTTAAGGCAAAAAAGCATGTTGTTAAGGAATCCCCCTGCAGATGTGGAGTCAGGCATGGTCACTCCTGCTGGACGTTAAGAAGGTGAAGGCTGAAAACCCAAGTAAGTACCAGGTATGGTCCTTCCACACTCAGCCACAGCGGAAGAAACAGGCCAGGCCATGTCAGGAGCCCAGGTCTCTAGCTAGAGGAAAAGTCAAGCCTGAGTGATGGTCAGTCCCATATCCTAGGCACAGACGATGGCATGGGAACCACAAGTGAACTGGGCTCTGGTGACCCTCAGTGGCTTTGGAAATAAGATAGAGAAGGATATTTCTGCAAAAAAAAAAAAAAAAAAATCGTCTTTCCTTCCAGAAGTGCTGAATGATTGCTGTTTGTGGTAGTGAGCCTTTTGTCTGTTATGAGGCTGGTTCCTTCCTGAGGAACCAGCCCTTTAGCCCTGCCCTAAAGAAAATAAAGGAGCAGGGCTCCTATACAGGGCTCTCACTGTAAAGCAACTGCGGGAGAGTGAGCCCCAGGGAAGGACCAGCCCCATCCTCATCCACCACAGGTTATCAGTCCAGGTGGCCACTTAGGGAAGGGAAGAGGGTCTTTCTATGGGCTCACACTCAGGAGGGCCTAGGATTTGGGAGCAGAGGGAGCAGAAAATAAAGCAGCAGGGCAAGATGTCCTCAGCGAAAATAAACCAGATTGACCTGGACATGAAGTGCACCTTCAGACACCATGTCATGTTTTGGGAGCACTACAGAGTCAGGTAAGGCCTATGGGGGATGGAGGGTCCCAGGGGAGACGGAGGAATTCAGAGGAATAGGGGCATCCCATGCAGGAGTCCAAGATAGGACGTGACAGAGCCCCCCAAGGGCTCTCTTGGCCAGGGAGCAGCCAGCATCACAGAGCATCTACTGAGCTCCAAACCATGGGCCGAGCTGGGGCATGTGGGTCCAGAACCCAAGTGGCTACTGAGGAAACAAGCGGTAGCAAACACAATCATGCTGCATGGTGAAAAGTTCTCTCTATGACCCACAAGTACCTGAGGTAGAGACCCACAAGAGGGGCTCAGACTTCACAGGCAACACTGACAACACCAAACACCATAGAGGATGTGGAGCCACAAGAACTCTGTGCATTGCTGCTGCAAAATGCTGCTGCTGCTGAATGCAAAATGGTACAGCCGCCTTGGAAGACAGTTGGGAATTGCTCACAAAGCTAAATGTACTTGTACCACGTGACCACAAGTGTCATAGACGTTGACCTAGCTGACTTGAAAATGTATGTACACCTAAAACCTACATGTCACATTCACTGCCTTATTCATTATCACTAAAACCTAGAAGCTACTGAGATGACCTTCAACACAGGTCCCAGGGGAGATGGAGGAATTCAGGGGAATGGGCGCATCCCATGAAATGAGGTTATACCTGTTTGGTATAATAAAATTACAGGTTAAATCTATAAATATAAATTATAATTATAGATTATTAGGTTACATTTATTTGGTATAATAAAATTATACAGTAGGTATTGTCAAATATGAAATTAATATCTAATGATTGTATTATACCAAATAAGGCAAATATGTGTCTTTTGGACTTAAGGGGACCTAATATCAAAAAAATTAATGAGTCAAAAGGACTGAATTTAGAATTTAATTTTGAAAAAATCAAATATCAAAACTTTAAAACACCTGCTATCACAAAATAGGATCATTGGTCATTGGTCATTGTAAAATAAGTCATTCATTTAACCAAAGTGATAACTCAAAGATTTCAAAAAAAAAAAAGTCAAAAGACAAAACCATTACTCTTTGAGAGAGGAGACTTAATTTTCCAAACAATAAGCCCTAATAAAGATAGCATGAGGCCAATGAAATCTGTTTCTCAAATCTTATAAACAAATCTATTAAATTTTAATGATCTTCACCATACTATATAATTTCCAAAAACCTTTTTGTAACATTTTATAATTTTTTAAATGAAAAAGTGGGTTAATACTCCAAGAAAACCTTGTTAATCTGACACAGGAGCTCAGAGGTTAGTCTTGCATCAGTGAGCCTTTGATACTAATCTTTACAGAGAAACTGTAACCAAGATAAAACCAATTTTATCTTTCAAAATAGGCTCTTACAATCGCATGTACCCACATCTTCCACAATAGCCCCTGGACTTTGAGGGGTAAGATAGTTTCAATTTCTGGCCCTGTGTTTCATGAGTGCAGTTTCTTTTGATTATCATCTTCTCCTGGTTCTGAAGATACGGTTTTAGAAGCTTTCAGTGTTTAAGATTTAGCAGGACTTGGTGTCCTTTTTAGATACAGGAGTCAAAGCCCTGTAACTCAACAGAACAAGGACTTTAAAAGCAATACAGAACATTGTATGGATGTTAATAACTTTAATTTTTTAAATCTCAGTTTTCCTAGGCAAATAAAAAACTTAATGACATAGGAATTGTTTCAATAAAATATAAAATCTGTTTGTTAGGCCAGTTACCAAAAGGCAAAAAATAAATAAAAGACCTGCAGCAATTGCTTTTCCCTAGACTTCAAGTCAAAACTAATGAAAATGGTACTTGAATTAGTTAGATATAGGAAGGGTGTGTCTTGCATCATAAGTGAAAATTTTCAGTTTCATAGAAAAACTTCAAACCAAGAGCACAGAATGTTATATTGGAAGAAAATATTTCCTTTAGACCTTTAAGATAAAACACTTTTAGCATCATGTCACAGTAGCAGTTAGAACCTGAGGAAAAAAAATTATAGAAACTGACAAGAAAGTTGGAGAGAGCGATTATCTCAGGACTTATGAAGGGGAGAGAAAGGTGAAAACAGTGAGATTCAATAAAAGTTGAAATCTGGGGTAAAAAAATTAAAATATCTTGTAATTTGTTAAGAGTAAATTAATATCTTAAGAAAATTTTGTTCTTCTAGCCCATTCTTGAGTGGATTAGCATATTTTTAATATACACTAAGTGCAAAAGCACAGTCTCTAGAAAGACTAATTTCCTTTTAATTATAGCCAACTTGATCAAATAAATTCTTTTCTCATAAAGTCTCTTTTTACAAACCTTACTATGACTTACACAAGCCACTTATGACATGCCTAGACTTCCTGTTTTATCCTAAACAGCTTCTTTCCTAAATAACCAATCATTTTATCTTCTTTTTCTTTTTTTTAAGATTTCTTTGTTGTTGCTGCTGTTGTTGCTGCTGTTGTTTCCTTGAGACAAGGTCTCTCTCTCTGTGTCACCCAGGCTGGGGTGTAGTGGCATGATCACAGCTCACTGCAGCCTTGACCCACCCAGGCTCAAGCAATCCTCCCATTTCAACCTCCCAGGTAGCTGGGACTATAGATGTGCACCAGCATACTCAGTTAATTTTCTGTGTTTTTTGTATAGACAGGGTTTTACCATGTTGCCCAGGCTGGTCTGGAACTCCCAGGCTCAAGCAATCTGCTCACCTCAGCCTTACAAAGTGCTAGGATTACATGCATGAGCTATTTGCATCCAGCCATTTTATTTTAGAACAAACATTTACCATGCAAGATTTTTTTCTCATATAAAATTTTCCTTTTAACCTTTCTTACCAAAAATATCTCTTTATATTTTTAACTGTCTTTATATCGCTCTTATTTAGTGGTTCCTTTTATCTTGTTTCATAACCTTTAAATAACCTTTGAATTCAACAAAAATTATTTTCCTTTAAATAAGAACATATTCTTAGCAAAATGTTTTTCTGTAATTTTTTTAATTGTGAATGACCCAGACATTTAATAAATGCCTGTTATGTAATATAACTTTAGATTCTAAATTATATTATGCTTATTTACAAGCATTCCTTCCATTACATTTACCTAACTTATTTTTAATAGTTTACCTAGATTACTTATGAAAACTGTGATAATCAACATTTAAAGGTATTTTCCTGTTAATCATTTATATAGCCTGTGAATTTCAGGTGTTTACCTAAGTAAGAAGCTTAAGGTTAAACAAATGAGTTTTTCGCCAATAACTCAGGATAAATGACTTATTTATCAAAAAAAATTACACAAGGATAATTATCTTTTGAGTTACATTTATAATTTTATAACCGTCATGCCAAATTTTGACACCTTATGTATATTAGCATTTAATCAAGCTGACTTTTAACCACTGAGCTTTAAAAATCCTTTAAAATCTCATTGCTGTAACCGAGTACACCCATTTTCCTGAGACATCAATTATTATTTTTTTTCTTTCCTTTTCTTGTTCCTTCAGTTCCCCACTCCCTACTTAGGCTTTTAGGAATGCAAATATAGCCTTTTACCTCCCCATTACCGGACTCTCCCTACAGTGCAAGTTCATCTAACTACACGCTCAAACTGGAAAGTCAACTTGAGAATTAACAGTTGATTTATAAACCAATCATGCCCACTGTGGAACTCTCACTCTTTAGGAGGTTGTCTCAAGAGATAACAGCCTGCCCATGAAGGTGCCAGCAGTCACAAGCTGATTGCCCCGTAGATAAGGCACAAGAGCTAGCATGGACCCCCCGCCACCACCCTTGCTCACTTCCTCCCCTGCTTTTTAAAAGTGAAGCCATATGGAGGACACCTGCATTTCTTCCCCTAAGCTAGTTTTGGAAATAAATTACTTTCTTTATACCAGACTTCACTTTTGTTAATTGGACTCTGCAAGCAACAAGCGACTAACCTGCATTTTGGTTACATTACCATGTTTTAGGTGGGACAAACTTCTAATATTTCAAATGTAACACAAATATCAAACCAGTAAAGACTTTATTTAGGAACCAAACCCAGGCTGCCATGGTGGAAAAAGGGCAGAACCTTAGCTACTGAACTACAGCATGGGGCAACCACTATTGCTATTTCAGTTTGGCTTGGCTAGCAAAGGGTTGTTTTGTTATGTAAATAAAGCCCTTCAGGTAATTGAAATCTTTCTTGCTTCGATGGCTGATTTTTCTTTTTTTTCTCTTTGTTTTTCCAGCTTCAGGAATTTAGCCAGTTCAGAGGTCTTGTTCCCCATAATTTAGAACTTTCCTTCAGGTTTGACCAAGTCAACTAGAGTGGTCAAACCCAATGGAAAAAAGACTAAAACAACAAAAACAGAACCAAACAAATAAACAACAACAAAAAAGTAAAGCAAAACAAATGATTGCACAATTTATAAGATTACTGAGCACTCTAATGGTAAGGAGGAATCAAGACCAGCTGGTAGTTAATCTTAACTTTCAGAGAATTTCCAAGACAAACCCCATTTCAGCTACTTATGTAGGAATAAGGCCCAGGTTGAAGATTGCTCTCTATCATCCTAGAAGCAGGAAAAAAACTCAAAACTCATCTTCCCTGTTGGAAGCAAGCTGAAACTCTGGAAAGGAGTTGCCTGCTTTCCATTATCATGGATTCAGAAAAACTCATCTTTTTGGATGCAAGTAAAACTCTAGAAAAGGAGTTGAACAGCAAAATAAACCTTAGATCTCAACAACATTTTGAGAAATCAGGGATTCTCTGGAGATGATACCTCCCAGGCCTCAGCAAATCGTCCTGTTGGTTTTGTTACTGGCAGCAAATCCATATGGGTCTGCAGCAATCTCAATTCTTGCCTTCTCAGAAGAAAGAATTCGACTGAGGGGCATACGGCAGAGTGAAAGATTGAGGCAAGTTTTAGAGCCAAGAGTGAAAATTTATTAAAAAGCTTTAGAGCAGAAACTGAAGAAAGTAAAGTCCACTTGAAAGAGGGCCGAGTGGGTGACTTGAGAGATCAAGTTCATGGTTTGATCTTTGACTTGGGGTTTCATACATTGGCATGCCTCTTGGGGCGGGGGAGTGGTTTGCATCTCTTCTCCCTTGATTTTTCCCTTGGGGTGGGCTGTCCACGTGCACAGTGGCCTGCCAGCACTTGGAAGGGGCAACATACACAATGTGTTTACCAAAATTGTACACATGCTCACTTAAGGCATTCTTCCCTTACCAGCCGAGTGTTCCTGGAGAAAGGTTATATACTGGTTCAACTCTGCCATTTTGCCTGTTAGTGCACATGCTTAAGTCCACTAGCCCACCTCCTGAGATCTTATTGGGAAGCTGCTGATTACCAACTTGAGGTGTTTCTATTGGGAGGCTGCCTTTCCCTGGCACCGGCTGCAGCCAATTATTATTTTCAAGAGGCAGTTTAACAACCTCCTGACCACCATCTGATGGTTGCCTGACATTCCTGGGCGAGGGTCCCTCTCCTGACCTATTCATGTCTGACTAATTACCTATTGTAACAGTTTGAACAATAAAGATAGCTCAAGGCCAGACATGGTGGTTCATGCCTGTAATCCCCGCTCTTTGGGAGGCCTTGCAAGGCCAGAGGATTTCTTGAGCCCAGGAGTTCAAGACCAGCCTGGGCAACAAGGCAAAACCCTGTCTCTATGAAAATTACAAAAATTAGCCCGGTGTGGTGGCACAAGCCTGTAGTCCCAGCTACTCAGGAGGCTGAGGTGGAAGGATCACCTGAGCCCGGGAGGTGGAGGCTACAGTGAGCAGGGATCGTGCCACTGCACTTCAACCTGGGTGACAGAGTGAAACACTGTCTCAAAATTAAAACAGATAAAATAAAAATATAGCTCATACTGGTACCATGCACAAGTAGATTTGTCAAAGGTCAGGGCCACCTTCACTCAGAGTCTCTTCCGTTGGTTGCCAACTTGTAAACGAAAAAGTATGTCAGATAGGTCTCAATCAGTTTAGAATTTTCATTTTGCCAAGGTTAAGGACGCACCCAGGAAACAGGTATATGTACCTTTCTCAAAGATGATTGTGAGGGCTTCAATATTTAAAGGTGAGAAGTGTGCTAGATGGGAAAGAGGGTGTGGTTATCCACATGTTGCAAGAGAAAAGGAGTAGGCAGGAAAACAGTCAATTATGGATTCATCTCACACTCAGTAATAGGCCCTTTACATAAGGTGAACATAAGACTAGCTACTTGAGGAGCTATTTAACCTTCTATCTGTAGCTATCTGCTGAGGAACAAAAGGAAAGACAGTTTTTTGCATGACTCAGCTTTCAGCTTAATTTTTTCCATTTGGCATAGTGAATTGGAGTCCTGAGTTTTATTTTCCTTTCCCACCTCAAACCCCACAAGCTTTGCGTTGTTGCAGATTGTCCCTCTCAGAATATTTTACAAGATGGTGAAGTGCCTAATGAACATTTCTTTTGTCATAAAGTGAGTTTGGATCCTGAAGAAGCCATCATCTTAATCAGGCTTTGGGATCAAAGTTCCCCTTCACCCGAACCCTGAACAGCACAGCAGACAGGGAAGGACTTACTGAGATGGCTGCTCCCACTCTCCAGCCCCCACTTTCCTGACCATTCCTGGCAGGAAGAGCTGCTGAGCAGACTCCATGGGCTGCCCACACAGGGTCTGGACCTAGCTGTCTTCCTGTGCCCAGCAGCCTGTGAGCCATCCCAGTCCCCTATGTGCAGTGGTCAGCACCCACAAGCCAGCCTTCATAGGGATTCAGTTCATGGGTGTTGCCCTGAGCCTGGCACAGTGGCCTCCCCAGCTTAGCATCTGCAGTTCGGGTCAGGGTGTTCTTAACGGCCCTCACCTATGCCTTTTCTGGCCACACATGAGTTTGGATGAAGCAGGAGTCTCTTCCATAGCTCCTTTTCATCTGAGATGTCCATGACTGGCTCAAGTGAACCACAGTGTCAGGAGAGGGGCACGGAAGCTGCACCCTAAATTCCCCGGGACCTGTGGCAGGCCTTCCTGGTGACCTCTGCCTTCTCAGGTGACTTCTGCCCTCCTGGGTGACATTAGTTCTCCCCTCTCAAGTGATCTGTGCCCTCCTAGGTTACCTCAGCTCTCCCAGGTGACCTCTGCCTTTCCAGATGACTTCAGTCTTTTCAGGTGACCTCAGCCCTCCTAAGTGACATTAGTCCTCCCTGGTTATCTCTGCCCTCCCTGGTGAACTCAGGTCTTCCAGGGGACCTCTGCTTTCCCAGATGATCTCTGCCTTCTCAGGTGACATTAGTTCTCCTAGGGGATATTAACTCTCCCAAGTGACCTCTTCCCTTCCAAGTGACCTGTTTCCTCAGGTGACCTCAGCTCTGCCAGGGGACTTCTGCCTTTCCAGGTAACCTCTGCCCTCTTGGTGACATAGTGTGCTCAGGTGACATTAGCCCTCTCAGGTGACCTCAACCCTCCAAGGTGACGTCAGCCTTGGTGAAGTCTTTCCATGATGACTTTGGCTTTTGCCAGAGGTAGGCTACTGCGGGGGCATAAGCCATATCATGCCATGAGCCACTATCCTGCTCATGTTCCAGAATGAGGAGACATCTGGGTGCTGGCCCAGCTGCTGGCCAATGAGAGGCTTGCCAAGCATGGTACTCTCCAAGGTGACCTCTGCCCTCTCAGGTGACACAGTCCTCCCATGTGACATTAGCTCACAGTGGACAGCTACCCACGAGGCATCACACAGCCAGGACAGGGGACGGCCACACTGGCTGGGTAATTGTGACTTACAGACAAGGCACCTTCTGTCCCCTGCTCATTTTGAGCCTCCAGGGTATCCCCTGCTGAGAGTCCCACAGGAGCCTGTGACTGGCCAGGGACCCGACACCCCAAGTCAGATGCCTCTTGTCCCCATCAGCAAATGGGATCACAGCTGCCCTGTGACCACCTTCTGCATCCTGGTGTCACAACCTTCTGGCCCTGACCTTATGCAGGGGACTCTTACAACCCTGCTGGTCCTTCCACCTCCCAGCTGGCCACCCTCCCAACCACCCTCCCTGCCCATGGCTAGACCAAGCCCAGATGACAGCTTCTCTCTGTCCTGTGTCCCCTGCCCTGACCCCACATCCAGGAGAAGGCCACACACCCTCCAGCACCCCTGGTCACCCCACCAGCTCCCACCTGTCCTCACTGCTTCAAAGGCAGGCCTGCCCTTCTGGAGCCATGGCCCTGGAAGCCACTAAGCAGTGCCTCCAGCCAGGCCCCAGGGGCATTCCCACCCCTCCTCTCCTGGCCGAGACCACATGATGGGGTCACTGGATGGGACAGTGAAAGGCCTTGGGGTCTGGAAGCAACCACCACTGCCCAACTGCCACTGCCCAACCGCTGCTGCCCAACTGCCACTGCCCAACTGCCACTGCCCAGCCTGATGGCTCCACATCTCAGGAGTAGGCTCTGATTCCTTGGGGCCCCAGGAGCCTCTCAGGAGTCTACATCCCAAGATGTTCTAACTTCCAGAGTCTCCAAGCCCATCAAGAGCAAGTTTTGCTAAAAGTGTTCTGAGAGCTTATGAAGCACATGGTGAGTGGTCAGTCCCTCAGCTCTTCCCCAGAGGCCCTGGGTCCCATGGGGTTAGCAGGGACAGGGGAAGCCTGGGGCTGGTGAGAGGCCAACTTCCAGCCAGGGCTTGATCTGGTTTTCAATGGATTCAAAGTTTGGCCTCCTTTTCCTTACCTGGAGGGGACAGAGGCACTGGGACCAGGCCAAGCTCTGGCTGAGCCAGGGCTAGGGGAAGTACATCCACTGGGGGCCCATGCCATGGGGAGGTGTTGGGGCACAGCCACCACTGTTCTACCTCTTGGGGAAGGGTCTGCAGTGGGGTCTGGAATACAGAGGTTTTCACGGAAGCCCAGGGGACCCTGAACACTTCTATTCCTTCTATCAGGACAAGGAAGGGTTGTGCATCCGGCTTTCCACCTTAAACTGGTTTCTATGGTGCTTCATCGATGAGATAAGGATGCATAGGAGACCCCAGGCCAGGTACCTCCTTTCCCCACAGTGCTCAGCTCCCCCAGCCCAGGGGTCTGGCTTCCCCAGGAGGACCCAGCTCACCCCCACCCCACAGGAGGCACAGGCAGGTCTCTGCAGGGCACACAAGCCAGGACCTGTATGATGGGAGCTTTACACACCAGACACCAGGGAATTCTGGGCAGACTGGGCCAAGACCCATCTTGGAAGAGCCAAAGGAGCCAGGGAAGCCACAAGCCCTCAGGAAGCCCCTTATTCTGGGAACCACATTTCTGCTGAGATGAGTCCATCCCCATGAAGAGCTGCCGGACCTTGTCTGACCCAGCCTTATGGAAGATTGGGTGGGTCTCTTCCCAAGCAGAGGGAGCCTCAGGAAGTCCAGACTGAGGCTACAGTGGGCCCTGCTCAAGCCACCAGCCCCGAGGTTGGAAAGGCCAGGTCCTCCCACACCTGCTGTTCCCACAGACTTCCTTCATGCTCATCCTGTGGCTCTGGGATGTCTACCTACTGGGAGGTGAGTGTGTGGTGACAACTATGGTATACATGGCCTTCACAGCCACAGAATTAAGTCCCTGGGTGGCCAATGGTGCCCAGAAGGAGCATGCAGGACAGACCCTGGGACCTATAGCCAGGACAGATTCCTGGCTTCTGGTGTGTGATGACCTGAGAGCAGCATCCACACTGTCCAGATGGCTCTCTGCTCCAGCCTGGAGGTAGGGCCAGACCAGGCCTGGTGGGCTGGGCAGGGAGTGGACCCAGGTACCAAACCCACTCCTGACACAACCCAGATGAAAGGCAAGAGTGTGTTGAGCACTTCCCTGCCCAGGCCTTCCTCCAGCTGTGGTTTTCTGTGAACATCTGGACCCCTGGGGCAGCCACAGTAGGATCCAGCACCGCCCAGTGGTGGGTGCCTGGGGCAGGAACAAGGTGCAGACACTGACTCTCCCACAGACCCCTCCCAGCCTCATAGTCACCCTGTCCCTAGAACACCCCCTGAAGCTGTTCCTGTTTGGCTTGCAGGAGTTCCTTCAGGACACACTGTCCTAGGCCTGGGCCCTGGAGGAGGACATGGTGATGAGGCACCCTGAGGCCTCCATGGGGGAACTGAGAAGCATGCACTGTGACCTGCACACCCAGGTGGGCTTCAGCACCAAGTCTCCTCCTGTGTCACCCTGCGGGGCAGTAAATAGTGGGAAGTGCCCAGACCTCACCAGCCCTGCTCCCTGGGCCTTCCTCCAGCCCCTCCTCTCCCTCCTCCTCTAAGAAGCTTCTGAAACCAGGCTGCCTGAGCCTAGGGCAAAAGCTGACCTTGGGTTTACTGGACATGCCTCAGAGACAATGAGACGTGAGCAAGACTCTTCCAAGCCCCTCCCCTGTACCCTCCTGCTCTCACTCCTGAAAGCCCCAGAAGGACACTGGAGGGGTCAGATCCATCTGTGCAAGCCCACAACCACACCTGTGAGTACCAGCAGCCCTGGAGAGCAGCAGGGGGCCTTCACTCCTGAGCACCCCTCCAAGGGCCTAAAATCAGTGTCAGAGACCCTAAGAGAATCTAGGGAGAGGGCATAGGTGAAACCCTGGCCCAGAGCCAGAATTGATTGCTCAGCTGAGTGTGGGAACAGTCCAGCCCTGGCATGGAGATCCCCCAGAGGAGTGGAGGGTGTCTCATCCACTGTGGAGATAAGCCCCCATATTGCGTGGCAAAGGGGCTAGGTAACAGTTAAGGCCTCATCCATCTGAGCTCTGAATCAAGGCTAAAGCCCAGGCTAAGCAGCCCTGGGGCAAGAGTGTGAGGCAGGAAGACTGAGTCAGCCTGAACCCTGGGGGCTGTCCCTGGAGTGACTTGAGCTTCCCTGACAGCTTCCCCACTCTAGGCTGCACACACACCTCGCTCTGGGAGTAGCAGCCTGCAGGAGTGTCCTCAGCATTAGACCAGGGGGACCACACGGGGACCCTGAGGACTGCAGGGACCCAGGTCTGTGGGGTCCAGCCTGGCAAAAGCAAGATGTTCTCAATGGAAAAGCTGACCAAATCTGCTTTCCTTTCAGCCAAACCTGAGCAAGCACCCCCACCACCCAGGCCTCTGCAGATATCCCCCAGCATTGAGACCCTCCCCAAGGGGATGGGCTGCTTCTCCCTGGCCCACAGCCCAGCTCCAGCAGCCCATGGGTATAGCCCTCCTGAAACAGGAGCCTCATCCTCCCTCACCCTCACCTGGCTATGCTGTACCCAAGGCCAAAGCCCAGAGGCATAAGGGAGCTTCTGCAGAGCCCAGGACAGCAGGCTGCTCTCTGGGGGCCCTGGGGACTCAGAGTGTGGCCAGCCCATCCCCAGCTCAGGATAGACCACAGAGTGCTTGGTGATTCCTGCATTGGAACTCCCTCTCTAAGCTCCCCATGGACCTGGACCTCAGAGGCCTGTGGTTTTCACAGTAGAGCTTGGAGCAGAGATGCTAGGCCCCTATCACTTCCATATGTGTCCTGGACACCTCTAAGATCATAGGACTGGCCTAGCCCCCAATACCAGACACTGCCCAGCCCCCTGATAGCCCAGAGGTAGGGCCAGAGACAACTCTCCTGCATGTGATGCCTACAGCTGATCACTCTTGGCAGACAGTGAACATCACGGCCCAGAAGGAGCCAGGGCAGCACTTGGCAAGCTGCCCCAAAGCCCCAGAGAGCTCCTTAGACATGGAAAGTCAATACTGATGGGGAAGCTGGACACTTGGAGGCCACTGGAGGGAGGGGTGAGCATGGTGTCCCCACAGCCCAGGCCACCCAGCAGCATGCCCTGCATCCATGGTCCCAACCTGTAGGGCAGAACCCCCCTCTCAACGCACAATTCCTAGACCCAGAGGGCCCTAGCCCAGACTCAACCTGAGCCCTGAAAGGGAAGGGGCACCAGGGGTGCCTTGGGGCCTCCAGCAGCAGCCAAGATACACAGGAGATGGAGCCCCCTGTGGCCCTGGCCAGAACTAGTATTTGGCTTAAGGCGGAGCAAGCCCCCTTGGAGCACTGCGTACATACCCGGGGCCTATGTGTGCCTGGCAAGGCCAAGCTGATGATGTTACCAAGCTCAAACTACCACTGGCCACCTTGGTGAGGGTGGGGCAGAAACACGTGGACCAGCCACCAACCTCATCCATTCAAGGAAGCAGAAATGGTCAGGCTCCTGCAGGATAAGTGGCCACCACCAGACCACCAATGGGGCAGAGTTCTGAGGCCCAAGCAGATGGCACTGGGGCCCTGCTTCCAGGGTCCACAATCTGCTCCAGGACACAAGACTGAAGAAAACTAAGCAAATGAGAGTCCAGGAGGCTGGATCCCTCATCTGCCATTCTTGGCAGTTGCATTTTGTGGTCAGAAAAAGTCAGGAAACTTGGCTCTACTCACTGCAGGAGGCTCCAAGGTGGGACCAGAGCTTCCAGCATAGATTCAACAATGCCTAAGAATGCCTCTTCTTGGGGAAAAGGACCCCTTCCTTGGCCTCAAAGCCCCCACTTATTTTGATTAAAGCACAATAAAGTCTTTGTTGTTATGTCCTGCCTGTTTTTGAGTTGCCCAGAGCTCTCTGCAGGAAGCCCTGGACATACTGGGGTGGATGGGAAATGAAGATGGCACAGCCCAGACCCTGACCAGCCTCTCACAGCCTCCCCATCCCAAAGGCCGCAGCAGGGCCAAGCACCAGAAAGGCCAAGGTTCCCACCCAACTGTGAGCCACACTGCACTGCAGCCTCCCACTCTCAGGCAGATGCCAGGGTTAAGACCCTCCAGTAATTTCCTGTAATTCAAACTGCACCTGATAGGGACCCCCAGAGGGCTGGGAAGGGAGCAAAAGTTGGAGTTCCAGTGACATTGCTCATTCATGACAGTCTGTACAAAGCATCCCTGAGAGGGTCTGCTGTCACCTGTGTCTACTGTCCCTGGGTGGCTGGTCTCCGGCAGCCCTCCCTTCCTTTCTTCCCTCCTTCCCTCCCCACATCCCTCCCTCCCTCTCTTCCTTCTTCTCTTGCTTCCCTCATCCTTTCCATCTCATCTCCTCTCAGCATCTGGCAATCCCAGGTCCTGAGCCTGTGCCAAGGCGGGACACAAAGGACACCACTGACAACAAGCCAGGTGACTAGCGGGGTCGGGGAGCCTTGTGGAATCAGAGTGGATGGGGAGGGGCTCATCTGTGCAGCCCAGGACTGCTGCCCCGGGAACAGTCTAGAACAGTGCAGAAGTGTGTGTCCCTGTGTGTGCACATGTGCACGTGTATGTGTATGTGTGTGCGTGCCTGTGCACACCTGTTTACTCAGTTCTGCTCTAAGTCCATGTCCACGACCCCAGAAGATCCCAGGTATGTCCTCACTGACGTCTGCTGAAATCAAGCATGGCCCCTGCTGGTAGTTATTGCACTGTGTAATGCCATCGTCGGGACCTCAGAGCAATAGAAACCAGTGGACCCCTTTAGGCTTTTCTTTCCAATGGGACATAAAGAAGTTATATGGACAGAAGTTATATCCTGTTTTCTTTCCATTGATTCTTTTACCACCTTTCTCCTCTTACTGATTTTGAATGAAGGGGGTTTTTCATGAGGGTAAGGTAACTGGCAAGAAATGAAATAACAGCCAGATGCAGTGGCTCACGCCTGTAATCCCAAGATTTTCGGAGGCCAAGGAGGGTGGGTTGCCTGAGTCCAGAAGTTCAAGACCAGCCTAGACAACATGGTGAAAGCCCATTTCTACCAAAACAAAAAAATTAGCCAGGTGTGGTGGCACGCGCCTGTAGTTCCAGCTACTGGTGGGGCTGAGGTGGGAGAATGGCTTAAGCCTGGAAGTCAGAGAGTGGAGATTGCAGTGAGCTGAGATCACGCCATTGCACTGCAGCCTGGGCAGCAGAGCAAGAACCTGTCTCAAAAAAAGAAAAAAAGAAAAGGAAAGAAATGAGATACCGAGAAACTAGCAAAGCTTCACCTGGCTGTCTGGAGACAGCCCTTGTGTGGTCCCCAGCCCACCTCACAGGTTCTAGGCTGGCCACCCTGTGGCCTCTGTACTGTGTATCTGGACCCAGGCTCTGTGGGAAGGGTACCTGGTCTGACAAACATTCCTCCATTTTTCTGGCTGCAGCTTGGAATAGGCCCAGACAGCATGTCCAGGAGATGCCAGACAACCTCACTATATCCTGTGAGACAGGCCCAGTGGGCCTTGAAGGAAGGGGTGAGCATGAAGCTGGGCACCCAGAGCCTGAGACCAACTGTCCCTCCCTGTGCCCTGGAGGAGGGGCCTGGCCTGTCAGTGTAGATGTGGGGAGAGAAGGGTCTGTGGACCCAGGAAGGGACATTGGTAGGGGACTTTGAGCACCACTGCTCAGGGGACATGAATGACAGGGTGGGAGGCATCTCCCATTTCTGCCCTGAGCACAGCACCCCTTTGACTCCTGAGGGCCACGAGGAGTCCACTCCCCAGAGCTTTTTGTAGAACCTGCATATGAGTCCATCAGAGGTGAGATTTGCAAATACTTCCTCCAGCCTGGGACTTGTCTTTTCATTCTCCTCACAGGGTCTTTCAGAGTGCACACATCATTTTGATGAAGTCCAATTGATCATTTTTTTTTCCTTTTATGCATCATGCTTTTGGTGCTTATCTAACAAATATTTCTCTAATCCAAAGTCACACTAATATCTACCTTTTTCCTTATGCAAATTTTAAAGTTTTAGGCCTTACATTTTGGTTTATGATACATTTTGAATAATGGTGCCATGTATGGACTGAAGTTTTTAATATGCATATCTAATTGTTCTAATAGTATTTGTTGCTAAGATTGTCTTTTCTCCACTGAATTTGCTGTACAACTTTTGAAAAACAATTGAACACATATGTGATGGTCTATTCTGGACTCTGTATTCTGTTCTATTGATCCATTTGTCTAGCCTCTTACCAATACCATACCGTCTGAATTTCTGAACCTTTACGATAGGTCTTGAAGTTAGGTATTGTTAGCCATCTTACTTAATTCTTCTTTTTTAGAGGGTTTTTTATTTCTAATCTAGGTCCACTGCATTGCCACACACAGAAACCCGTGCCCTTGAGCATACATACATATGCAACACAAGTATAAATATATGCACAGAACGACAAAGTGAAATTTATCCCAAGAATGCAAGGCTGCTTCAACGTTAAAAATGGGCCAGTATAACTCACCATATTAACAGATGAAAAGACAACAGCACATCATTATTTCAGTATATTTGGAAAAAGCATTAGACAAAATCCATCAACCTTATAAAAACTTCCAGTCTATTTCTATTCCTAAAAACTAGGAATAGAAGTGAATTTTCTTAAACTGATAAAAGGCACCTACAAAAACCCTGTAGTTGATGTTTACTGGACGTTATTCTTAATGATGAAAGACTGGATGGTTTCACCCCAGAGGAAGAACTAGGTGAGGATGTCAGCTCTCACTACTTGTATTCAGCATCCTATGGAGAGTCTAGCAGTGCAAAGGGCTCCTTCCTTTAGTAGACTCAGATTTCCATCTGGAGTCATTATTCTCCTGCTAGATGGATGTCCTTTACCATTTCTCAATCTGTACATCTCCTGGTGATGATTTCTTTCATCTTTTGTCAATCTGAAAACCTCTTTATTCTGCCTTTTTATTGGAAAACAAAATTTTGACTGTGTAAAGAATTCTAGGTTGGCATTTTTTTCTTTAAAAAAAATACTTCCATACAACTTGCAATTTTCCAACAAGAAATCTGCTTTGTATCTTTGATTCTCTGTACATATATGTCTTTTTCTTCTCTATCTAGCTGCTTGTAGGAGGACTCAGCTTCTCGCAGATAGACATGTATGATAAAGATGCAGTAACTACATCAAGTGTGGTATTGTCCATGGATGGATAAATAGACTGATGGAATAGAGCAGAGGGCCCACAGACAGACCCACAAGAGTCCAACTGTGATTGATCACCAAGGAGGAGCGTGATGGTGAAGGACTGTGCTTGTTATAATGTGCTGGGGCCTTTGGATAACCACTGACTAAGTGGGCCAAGTGGCCTTTTGGCTTAGGCTGAAGCAGGATAATAATAACGTTATCTATTCATAGAATTGTTAAAATTACCTGGTTTTATATTTGCAAAGTAATTAGAGCAGTATTGAGACAAAGGGAATCTTCAGTGAACATTTCCTCTAGTCATAGTTTTTTCCACCACTTGACTTCCTGCCCTATTCAGAGTCTTATGTTTGCCAGGACTCAAGCACCTCCTTATGGGGCAGACTCCACAGGGCATGATATGGTTTGGATCTATGTTCCCCACCCAAATCTCATGTCCATTTGTAATTTCCAGTATTGGAGGTTGGGCCTGGTGGGAGGTGATTGAATCATGGAGGCAGATTTTCCCCTCTGTGCTGCTCTCATTATAGTGAGTGAGTGCTCACCAGATCTGATTGTTTCAAAGTGTATAGCACCTCTCCCATTGCTCTATTCCTGCTGTTCCTGCCATGTGAAGACGTACCTGCTTCCCCTTCACCTTCTGCCATGATTGTAAGTTTCCTGAGGCCTCCCCAGCCATGCTTCCTGTACAGCCTGTCAAACTGTCAGCCAATTAATCCTCTTTTCTTTATAAATTACCCAGTCTCAGATATTTCTTTATAGCAGTGTGAGAATGGACCAATACAGGGCATCATGGTCAGTCCTGGGGAACAGCTTCCTGGAGTGGGAGGAGCTCAGTCCTGGTAACCTGCTGTTCCCTTGCCTGAAACCCCTTGTTTCCTCCACCTTCCATCTCATTCAACAAAGCTCTTGGGAGAACAACTTTAAGGACTCCCTATGCCTCTTCCTTCAAAGGTAGCCAGCCAAGAAGTAGATGGCTGGTTGAGCCATACTGACTACCATGGACAGCAGCAACAGAAGGTCAAAGGCAAAGGTCAGGTATTCTTTTCCTGGCAGGTACACAAGGACAACTAAGGGCAGGCCCCAAACGAGGAAGCTGATGGCCACAAAGCGGACAATGTGGTAGATCCGGATGGGTGAACAGTTCTTCAGGCAGTACAGGCTCCTGATGATCAAAGTCAGGCTGGAAATGCCCACCACAAGACAAATAAGCATGTGAAATATTATAAAGCCTGCCTGAAATTGGTCACATGCCAGGCCCTTCTCCCATTACTCACAAACCTGGCTAACCACATGCAAAGAAAGGGCCAGGGCCCAGCTCAGGATGCTCATCACAGCAGAGGTGTGCTTTGGGCGGTGGCAGCACCAGGTGGGACAGAGGACACACAGAAAGCTCTCAATATTCATGGCCACCAGGAGACAGAGACTCACTGTGTCAGAGAAATAGGACACAGGCTCCAGAAACATGGCCACCTGCAATGTCACCTGGTGATACAGCATGAGGATTTTCTCCAACAGGATCACAGTTACACAGGAGAGGTTGACCATATCAGCAGCGGCCAGGTTAAGGACATAGGTCATGTAGGGGCTGCTCCTGACCTGGAAGCAGAAAAGCCAGCACACCACACCATTGCCCACCAGCCCACAGAAGGCCACCAGCACTGTCAGGATGAAAACCACCTGTTTGCCCACCAACCACTCGCCTCCCGTATGACTCATGTTCACTTGTCCTGGGGTCTCTGTCCTGTTGTCCCAATCCAGCTTCCCAGAGAACACTGAGAGAAACTGGGCCATGGTGGGCTGCCTTGGCTGCCTGGGCACACCCTGCAAAGACAAAGGTTGGTAACTTACCAGGCCTAGGAAGGAGAGTCAGGGTTGCCTTCTGACCTGCTGGGCTTCCCAAGAGGGTCCTGCTGGGCCTCCCAAGATTGGTGGGAATCTCACAGAGCAAAGTCAAGGAGAGGAATGAGTCTCCTGCAAGTGATCCATCCATCCCATATCCTCCACTGCAGGGTACCCTCTCCTGCTTGCCCCCATCCCTCTCTCCACCTCGTTCAGGTATTCTTGATGCTGTGCCCAACACCAGGTGTGTATCCATGCACCTAGGTGCCCATAAAGGAAAGAGGTGCATTTCTTTACCTTTGTTCTCCAACTCTCTCATTGACACAGACAGTTTTCATGGCATGGTTTTGGTGGAGGCACCAGGCAATTCCTCTGCCCTAAGGTTCTGAGATATTCTGAGTCCCACATGGGGCAGTTGCTTTTCAGTGCTCTAGGGAAGGTCTACCCAACCTCTCTCCTGCTCACCTCCCCTCAACTCCTCACTTTCAGCACGAGGGCCTCCTGGTAGGACCTTTATGTTGTTCTGCTGCCTGGAAGGGCCTCTGCACATCTGTAAGCTTTGTATCCTCTTTCCAATCTTTGCCCCAGTATCAACTTCCAGAGAAGCTTCTGCTTCCTATTAACATTGCATTCATCACATGCTGAGTGTCTATGCAACTTACTTACTTCTGCAGAAATCCCTCTGTGGGAATGGAAGATTTATCAGGTTTTTTATTCTCTTCACAATGTTGTTCAATAACTTCTCCAGCTCCTGGAACAGGGTTTGACATAGAGGACTCACTTGGGTACGGCACCTATGGAGAGCTTTATGCAGCTCAGTTACACTTGGGGAAGTGCTGGTGACCTCTTCATAAAAGCAAACTTTGCTTCTGAATCACAGAAGCTTCTGGAACAAAGCTTGTTCCGCAAACTGATTTAAAAAAAAAGGCTTCTTGGACTCCTGAGGGAGACTCACACCTGAACCCTGGGCTACGTCCACAACAGGAGCAGGCACTCTCCTCCACATTGCCAATCACAGGTCTTTCTTTGTAGAATCATGAGGGGAGGGTGACCAACTTATCCTGCTTTGCCTAGGACTTTCCCAGTTTAAGCTCTGAACATCTCTTGTCCTGAAAATCCTCATAGCCCTAGGAAAACCAAGGTGGTTTGTTGCCCAACTTGAAAGTTAAACAGGAGAAGGTCAGTACCCCTTCTGGAATCCCACAGCTTGGTTAAACCCAGTGATCTGAGGAGTTCATGCTGAGACTGTGAGAGCTGACCTCTTGGGGGCAAATCCCAGCTCTTTTTCATAGTAGCTGACTCTTTCTTTGCCTCAGCATCCCCATCTAAGTAAGGGCTGCTGCTATGGGATGAATTGTATTCTTCTAAATTCATATGTTGAACTATCCCAGTACCTCAGAATGTGACTGAATTTGGAGACAGGGACATTAAAGGGGTAATTATGTTTAGATGGGTCATTAGGGTAGGCCCTAATCCAATAGGGGTAGTGTCTTCATAAGTAAAGGAGATTAGGACACAGACACCCACAGGGGGATGACCATGAGAAGACACAGGGAGAAGGCAGCCATCTACAAGCTAAGGAGAGAGGCTTTGGAAAGAAATGATCCCGGCAATCTTTGGATCTCAGACTTTCAGCCTCCTAAAACTGAGAGAATGAACTTCTGCTGTTTAAGCCACTCAGTCTGTGATCTCTGTCATGGGAGCCTGAACTGATGATCACATTTATGATGAAAAGTTTACAGACGGAATTATGGAAAGTCTCAGAACAGTGAGATCTACCTGGTTCTACAACCCTGAGCTGCTGAAGCTTTGCTTCTGAATCACAGAAGCTTCTAGAACAGAGCTTGTTCCACAAACTAACTGATAAATGCCTGCGATATGCCTGGAAATATTCCACAGGTGACCTTGTGGCCTGCAGTCACATATTGGTGCATCAGCAGGGTTTAGGAGAATGCTAGGGACCAGCTCCAAGTGAGCCCAGTGTTTGAATCTTCCCTCCTTGCTGGGATGATGGAGTCCCCTTCAGTTGGCAGCTCTCTTGAAATGGAAGGGTCCAGCCCCAGCCCCTCCCCTCCCTGCACTTGTTACCTAGACACTCTTACCTGAGGCCAGGGAGGACCGCAGATCTGGCTCAGATCTAATCTGGTCATAGGATGAGTCTTGGGGCTTGGTAACATTGGTGCCCATGGAAACATCAGGGTGACCTGCAGTTCTGTGCCTGGGCCAGGGTGTCAGAACTCGTGATGATGACAGAAGAGAAGCTGCAAACAGACCTCCGTGGCCCACCCCAGGCCACCAAGGCACCAAGCAGGAGCAGTTGGGCTCTGGTCCCCAACAAAGAAAGGAGATTTATAGATAAAAGAGTTTCAAGGGGAGAGGTGACTTACCCTTCAACAAAGAGAAAATGCCCATTTTGGAGGCAGCATGTGGCTTCAGGGACAGAGCCAGGCTTCCCATCCCTGGGCTCACTGAGACCTAGCTCATGCCCAGAGACCACTACTGAGGCCAGTGACTAAGCAGCACATTCTTCCTCATCACACAAGAGGAGGACACAGCCCTCCTGGGGTGGGAAGGCTTCAGTGCCTGGTGCAGCCCCAGCACTGGGCACAGAGAGATCCTAGCACCTGGAAATGTCATTTCCAAGTCGGGTCATGAGCCAAGCTCCCCAAGGAGCATAAACAACAAACAGGTTGGATCCTGGGATTCAGGGAGCCAGCTCTGATGGAAGTGCTCAGGTTGATGCAGCCAAAATAGCCAAGTAACCTTTGCATTGGGATTGAAGTACTTGCTCTGGTTCTGAGTTGAGAGCCCACCCTCCCCACTTAATCTTTATTTGAGGTGAAATTTACATAACACAAATTAACTAATTTAAAGGGCACAGTTCTGCCTCACTTAGCACCTTCACAATGTTGTGCAACCACCACCTCTATCTGGTTCCAAAATATTTACATACCCCCATAAGAAAGCCTTTTACCTGTTAGCAGTTACTCCCCTTGTCTTCCTCCTCCCAGCTCTTGGCAACCCCATCTACCTTCCATTTCTGCACATTCACCTATTCTGGACATGTCCTATTAGTGGAATCAGACCCTCTGTGATTTTTTGTCTGTTTCTTTCACTCAGCCTCTTGTTTTCATGGCTTCTTCACAGGGTAGCATGCATAAGAACTTCATTCCTTGCGTTAGATACAAACTAAATATGAATATAGAAGCTGTGAAATCAGAAGACCCAAAAGGATTTTCCTAGAAGTCATAGACTACACCTCAGTAATACAGTGGCTCAAATCCTACCTTTAACAGAATAACACACCCTCTGCCCATCTACACAGCTGGGGCATTTGTGAACCAGGGGCCAGGGCACAGTTGTGGCTCACCTGCTGGGACTACCCTGGAACCCCGAATCCTGCTTTCTCCAGGAACCTGGTTTCTGTCCTGTCCCCATTTTCCTGAGAAATGCACCTTCCCCAGTAAAAAATCATGAGGTTTCAAATTCCAGGAAAATATGTCTCTGAGTTAAAATGGTTTGAAAATGAAAGAAGGAAGAGAGATCTTTTCTCATACCTGGGAAGTCTTGGATAGAATTGGTACCACAGAGGCCAATGTCCTGAGAGATGAAAGTTCTGCCCACAGGTCAGGAAGCAATCTAACGATGTCTGATTTGAACTGGGTCCTGACAAGAGGTTGTCAATTTCTCTGTGTCTGTTGGGTCTTCCTGTACTGGGGCAAATTGCATATCAGGGCCCAGGCCTTTATCTGAAACATTGTATCTCAGCATCTCCTGATATCCCCCATCCCACTGACACTTTTGATTACTCCATCCTGAACAATAACTTCCCTCAAAAAAGAAGGATCTTTAAGACAAGTTGTCACCTGCCTCCCTGTGTGAATCTCCTAGAATGACATCCAGCCCAGCCCAGCCCATCTGAGACAGGCAGGAGAGGGAACTCTGGTGGGCATTTTGTCAATAAACTTGAGCATGCCAGGAACTCAAATGTGCTCCTTTCATTTTGCTGTCAATTGAATTGCATTTTTTTTTTTTTGCAAAAGATGTGGAAGTTCTTGTAAATCTGTGTCAGAAACTTACATTGGATTCACCAAGCCTAGGGAGATTTGGCTGTGCTTTGTTGGAGCCAATATTTTTCACCCTGGTTTACCCCACCACTGACTTGCTTTCTTTTTTTTTTTTTTGAGACGGAGTTTCACTCTTGTTGCCTAGGCTGCAGTGCAATGGTGCAATCTCGGCTCGCTGCAACCTCAGCCTCCTGGGTTCAAACGATTCTCCTGCCTCAGCCTCCTGAGTAGCTGGGATTACAGGCATGCACCACAACACCTGGCTAATTTTGTGTTTTTAATAGAGACAGGGTTTCTCCATGTTGGTCAGACCGGTCTCAAACTCCCAACCTCAGGTGATCCGCCCACCTTGGCCTCCCAAAGTGCTGGGATTACAGGGGTGAGCCACTGTACCCGGCCTTGACTTGCTTTTATGAGGCAAGAAAAGACATGTCTCCTTGTTGCACTAATTTCGATCAATCAATAAGTCAATTAGTTCATTTTCATTACATCTCTCTGAATCAATTGAGAGATAAATTGAGAAGTCAAAACAATGCCCAACAACATAGCATCTTTATTCCTCCCTCCCCTAATGACCTGGGAAGCAGTTTGTGACCCCAAAGCACTTGCTTATATGTTATTCTCTCCAGGAATTGAATTTACTCCTCAAAGTAATAGGCACAGGCACCCATGGTCAACACCTGTCTCCTGAAGCTTATCACTTAATGGAGGGAACCCAGGAGTATGATTCCTCCATGCAGACAGTCAGATTCCAAGGAGAAAGGAGGAAAAGTCCTTCAAATGCCACATTCAGCCCCTTCTTCTGGATGCCCCACTCAGCAAAGTCACTTGTGGCTGATGCTGGTCAGAGAAGCCCTTCCAAATGGGAACATGGGTGTAGGAAATATGTGCTTCTCACACTCCCAAAGGATCACAAATGGGGCCCTGTGTCTCTTAACTTCCTTATGTACAAAAGTACATACTCACTAGAATATGATTTTACAACATTTCCATCATTCCTATACAATGTGTTGGGAAGTGATCCTTTCTGATCTATATTTTGGAAGAGTTTGTATAGAATTGTATTATTTTTTTCTTTAAATGTTTGGTAGAATTCACCAGTAGAGACATCTGGGCCTGGGCCTTTTTTGTGGGAAGATATGCAATGACAGTTTTAATGTCTTTACTTCTTGTAGGCTTATACAGATTTTCTATTTCCTCTTGAGTCAATTTTGGTAATTAGTTTTTCTAGAAATTTATCCATTTCATCGAAGGTGTCTAGCATGTTAGGATAAAGTTGTTCATAGGATTTCTTTATAATCCTTTAAATTTCTATAAAGTTGGTAATGATGTGCCCAATTTCATTTCTGATTTTAGGAATTTGAGGCCATTTTTTTTTCTTGGTAAGTCTAGCTAAAGGTTTGTCAATTGTGTTGTTATTTTCCATGATTCAACTTTTGGTTTCATTACTTTTCTCTATAGTGTTTTATTTTCTATTCCATCTACTCTTGCTCTCTTCTTTATTATTTCCTTTCTTCTGCTTGCTTTGGGGTTAGTTTTCTCTTCTTTTCCTTGCTTCTTACCATAGAAAGTTGAATTACTGATTAGAGGTATTTTTCTTTTCCAATGTAGGCATTTACAGCTACAGATTTTCCTCTAAGCACTGGTTTATCTCCATCTCATAAATGTTGACATGTTATGGTTTCATTTCATTTCATGCATATTCTTTTTAATTTCCCCTGTGTTTTTTTTTCTTTCACTTGTTATTTGTGGATTCCTGAAGTTTCCAACTGTTGGTGATTACTCATTCAATTCCATTGTGGTTGGAATACATATATTGTATTAGTTCAATTTTTTTTTAATTTATAGATAATTTGTGCCCTCCCATCTAGTCTATCCTGGAGAATGTTCCATGTGTGTTTCAAAAGCGTGTATAATTCATTTGTTGTTGTCAAGTAGGTCAAGTTGGTTGATAATGTTTCAGGCTCTGTATCCTTGCTGATTTTCTATCTAGTTGTTCCATCAATGATTGATAATGGAGTGTTGAAATCTTCAACTATTTTTAATGATTTGTTTATTTATCCCCTCAATTCTGTCATTTTCATGTTTTATGTATTTGGGGGATGTGTTGCTAATTGTGTGTATGTTTATAATCCTCATATCCTCCTGATAAATTGAAATTTTATCATTATAGAATATGCCTCTTTATTTCTAGTAACGCTATTTTTCTCAAGGTCTACTTTGTCCAATATTAGTAGAGCTGTCTCAGCTCTTTCATCATAGTTTTCTACATGGTATACTTTTTTCCACCCTCTTTTTTTAACCTATTCATTTTAAAATCAAAACTGCCTCTGGTAGACTGCATATACCAGACATTGGACATACTAGGTGAACATATTAGACGAACAATTTTAAACACGTTCAAAGAACTAAAGGAAACCATGTCAAAAGAACTAAAGGAATGCATGAGAATGATATCTCACCAAATACAAAACATCAATAATGAGATGGAATGTTAAAAAAGAAACAAGGCCGGGCGCGGTGGCTCACGCCGGTAATCCCAGCACTTTGGGAGGCCGAGGCGGGCGGATCACGAGCTCAGGAGATCGAGACCATCCCAGCTAAAACGGTGAAACCCCGTGTCTACTAAAAATACAAAAAATTAGCCGGGCGTAGTGGCGGGCGCCTGTAGTCCCAGCTACTTGGGAGGCTGAGGCAGGAGAATGGCGTGAACCCGGGAGGCGGAGCTTGCAGTGAGCCGAGATCCCGCCACTGCACTCCAGCCTGGGCGACAGAGCGAGACTCTGTCTCAAAAAAAAAAAAAAAAAAAAAGAAAAGAAACAAATAAAATTCAGTAATTGATAAATAAAATCGTAGAAATAAAAACTTCACTAGATAGCCTCAATAACAGATTTGAGAAGGCAGAAGAAAGAATCAGTAAATTTAAAGATAGGTGGGGAAATTATCCAGTATGAGGAACATGAATTAAAAAGAAGAAGAATGAACAGAGTTTCAGAGACCTGTGGGACACAATCCAGTGTACCAAAACACATAAACGAGAATTTTCAGGAGAGGATAGAATAAAAGGAACAGAAGGAATATTTAAAGAAATACTAGCTGAAAAACTCCAAATTCAATGAAAAAATGTTAATCTACACTTTCACAAAGCTCAACAAACTTAGATAAAATAAATTCAAAGAGATTCACACATAGAAACATTATAATCAAACTGCCAAGAAACAAAGAAAGAATCTTGAGGGCAAAAAGAGGGAAGCAACTTATCATGTACAAGAGATTCTCAGTAAGAATAAGAACTAATTTCTCATGAAAAATTACAGAGTCAGGAGGCAATGGGATGACATATTCAAAGTAGCAAAAGTAAAATACTGTCAATGAACAATTCTAAAGCCAGCAAAACTATTCTTCATAAATGAACTAGAAATTAAACATTCTCAGATTTTGAAAACTGAGAGAAGCTGTAATTACCAGACCTGTCTTATGGGAAATTATAAAAGCAGTCTTGCAGGTTGACATGAAAGGACACTACATAGCAACTCGAATCCACATGAAGAAATGAAGAACTCCAGTAAAGATAACTACATGGGTAAATATAAAAGACAGTATAAATGCAATTTGTTTGCGATTTCCTCTCTCATATGATTCAAAAGACAAATACATAATGAAATAATTATAAATCTGTATTGATAAGCCTACAATGTATAAAGATGTAATTTGTACGGCAATAAAAACACAAAGAAGCAGAAGAGAATGGAGCTGTATGGAAGCAAAGGTTTTGTGTGCTATTGAAATTAAATTGCTATTAATCTGACTAAATTGTTATAAATTATTAATTGCAAGATCCAGGGCAATATTTAAAAAATACCTCAAAAAGTATAGTAAAAGAAACAACAAGGAGAATTAAGTAAAACACTAACAAAATTTATTTAACATACAAAGGCAGTAATAATGGAATAGAGCAATAAAAAACACGATATAAAGAAAATAAGTAGCAAAATGACAGGTCAAAATCCTATACTATCAGTAATTACATTAAATGTAAATATATTAAACACCCCCTTTAAATGGCAGAGACATGAAAAAAAAAAAGAAATCCTGTCATTCATGGCAACATGGATGAACCTGGAAGACACCATGTTAACTGAAATAAGCAGGCACAGAAAGATAAAGACTGTGTGTTCTCACTCACATATGGAAGCTAAAAAATGTTGAGCTCATTAGAAATAGAGAGTGGAATTTTGATTATTAGAGCACAGGAAGGATCGAAGGGAGGAGAGAGGGAAGGATAGGAAGAGATTGGTTCATGGATACAAAATTACAGCTAGATACCAGGGGAGAAGGCTGGCAAGATGGTGGAATAGGAATAGCTCTGGTCTGCACCTCCCAGCAAGATTGACCCAGAAGGTGGATGATTTCTGCATTTCCAACTGAGGTACCCAGTTCATCTTATTGGGACTGGTTGGACAGCGGGTGCAGCCCATGGAGGGTGTGCCAAAGCAGGGTGGGGCATCGCCTCACCCGGGGAGCACAAGAGGTCAAGGAACTCCCTCTCCTAGCCAAGGGAAGCCGAAGCCTTGAGGGACTGTGTGGGGAGGAACGGTGCACTCTGGCACAGATACTGCGCTTTCCTCACGTCTTCGAAACCTATAGACCAGGAGATTCCCTCTGGTGCCTATGCCACCAGGGCCCTGGGTTTCAAGCACAAAACTAGGAGGCTGTTTAGGCAGACACCAAGCTAGCTGCAGGAGGTTTATTTTTTCTGATTAAGTCAAGCAGCAGTTCTCACCGTGGCTAATTAGGCCTCCCACTGGGACATTTGGCAATGTCTGGAGCTGGTTTTGATTGTCACAATTAGAGAGGATGCACTACTATCACCTAGTGGGTAGAGCCCCGAGATGGTGCTAAACATCCTACAATGCACAGGACAGCACCCCCAACAAAGGATGATCCAGTCAAAATCGTCAGTAGTACTGAGGTGGAGGGCACTGATCTTTAGATCTTGTGACTAGGCTTTTTCTTTCTGAGTAACATGGAAACTGCTGAAAGATTTTGAGATAAGAAGTGGTATGATCTGAGTTGTTATAAATGGGTTACTCTGGCTTCCATGTTGAGAATATACTAAAGGTTAAGGGAAGAACCAGAGGATTATTTCAATCATCCAAGCAAGAGATGTTGACAAGGACAGACCAGAGTGGTGGTCCTAACAGTGATAACGATTTGTCAGTTTCACAACATATTTTTGCAGGTAGAGCCAATAGAATTTGTGGGTAGATTATATGTGAGTGAGATGAAGAAGAGTCAGTATCACAAGATTTTTGTCTGAGAAACTAGAAGAATGGATTTTCATTACGGGAGATGAGAAAGGCTACAGAAGAAGCACATTGTGGGGGAGAGGGTGGGTAGTAAGGAGCTCAGTTTATGGCATGTTAAATCTGAGATGTGTATTAGATACCAAAAGCTGCTGGTGGGTAGACAATTGGACATAGGAATCTGGAGGTTAGGAGAAAAATCCAGCCTGGAAATATAAATTTAGGAGTCATCAGCATATAGATGGTGTACAATGTCATAAGACTGGATGACGGAAGTGCATGTAAAAAAGGAAAGAGGACTGAACCCTAGGCACAGCAGGGAGGAGGAGAAACCAATAAAGGAGATTCAGAAGGAGCAGCTGGGAGACTTTGGTGATTTGAAGCTGTCAGTCAGCTCAGACTGCCATAACAAAATACCATAAACTGGGTGGCTTCAACAACAGAAGTTGATTTCTCACAGTTCTGGAGGCTGGGAAGTTCAAGATCAAGATGCTGGCTGATTTTGTTCCTGGTGATGGCTCTCCTCCTGGCTTGCAGACAACTCCCTACTTGCTGCCTCCTCACGTGGCCTTTCCTCTTTTATAAGGAAACTAATCCTATTTGGCCCTCACCTTTGTGACCTCATTTAACTATAATTACCTCCTAAAATGCCCATTTCAAATACCATCACATTGAGGATTAGATTTTCAACATATGAATTTTGGGGGGGGACACAATTCAGTCCATAGCAGAAGTGAAAGGCATGTTCCAAAAAGGAAAGCTAAGTCCACTCTATTGAAAAGCTTCTAACAGGTCAAGTAACATGAGGACTGAAAACTACTATATCAATGTGGAGGTCAGTTTGTGACCTTCGATGAAAGGTTTCCAGTGCAGAAACCTTGTTGGAGCCAACCCGAAAGAGAATTCAAGGACTTGGATGGTAGCTAGGGGGAAGTGAAGTCAAGAGAAGATTATTTTCTGATGAGTGAAATCAAAGTATGTTTATGTATTGATGGGGATGGTCCACTGGAAGGACAAATTATATTACAGGAAAGAGGGGAAAGATTAGAGTAATGTCCCTGAATAAGTGGAAAGGGATGGAATATAGTGGGCAAGTGGGGGTACTGGCATCAGACAGATGCAAAATAGTATATTCCTAGCAGTATCAGAAGAAAAGGTGGAGTCCCATATGTGAGCACAGATGCAAGTAGGTGAACAGATGGGTTAGTAAGAACTTCTCTTTTTATTGCTTTACATTTTTTCAGTAAAAAATGAAGTAAAATTTTTATCTGAGAAAGATGATATTATTTGAGAGAGAGGAGTACTGGGGATTTGAGGGGAGACCAGAAAGTATGCATGAGTTACGTAGGAGAGGGGAAAGTGAGTGGACTAGGAAAATATGATTATCAATGACATTAGCCCCTTCCTCTTAAAGTAGTGGTCATGAATGTAAAGTGAAACCTCTCAGTGTGGCTATTGGCTTTCCTTCGGCCACAGTCAGCTGAACAAATATAGGGAGAGAGTAGGACTATAGTTGGATTTAAATAGGAAAGCAATTTAGCTGAAAGAGTGTAACAAGTGAAAAGGGCAGGAACATTGATGTATGCAAAGGAGTAATAGTGATTGACGAGACAGTCTAAGCTTGATAGAGAACTGAAGATACAAGGGGCGTGAGGGGCCACGATGAATTTGCGGACCTCTCACTGAGGAAGAAACTGAGAGGAAAGTATAGAAAGATAATCTATGAGGATACTGAATTCACCAAGAATCATCACAGTACTGGAGAGAGTGAGAGGGGATCAGGGACAAAAATCTTCAAGGACGAAGGAGGAGCAAAGGGAAAGAGAATGATGAGAGCCACAAGTGGGGAGGTGGACTTTGGAGCAAAGCTGATGACATAACAGTCAAAGCTACATTCAAAACTAATAATGACTTCAACAAATCTACAAAATTCCTGACAGAAAGGGTTATTTTCCTTGTTTTACAGATGATGACATTGAGAGTCACTGAAGTTAAACAATTAGCTTAAGGTCACTCCATCAGAGAATGAAATTCTAAACCAGTTCCAATTGAATAGTAGAAATATTAATGAGAGGGAATTACGCTGCCTTTGGCCTTCATACACTGCCAGAGGCACACTACCCTAAAGGGACTTTCCCTCCAGAATTTCCTCTTCCCCACT
Organism: Homo sapiens; assembly: GCF_000001405.40. Taxonomy (NCBI): domain Eukaryota; kingdom Metazoa; phylum Chordata; class Mammalia; order Primates; family Hominidae; genus Homo; species Homo sapiens. Next base: position 815,661 of record NT_167247.2, read on the forward strand.
CTTGGGGACTCCTCTCCGGACACCTTCATGCAAAGTACTAATGATAGGAGTGGGACATCTATTCCCCAGAGCTCCATCCTCTCTTCTAAATAACAGGGAACGTTGAGTCCCCTGTTTTTTCTCTAGTGAGAGCACTCATCAGCATGCTTCCTCCTCTCTAACTGTGTCCTTTAGATCCAGGAGGGATATTTGCTACCACCACCAGCTAATGCTGATTTGCTACCAGCACAAGGCCCAGGTCCTTGTCTGGTCTGTACCCCATTACAAGGTTCTCCAGGAACAGACATCACCACCTCTGCCTAGATCCTGAAATTTCACAAATGTAGGTTCTTTCTTACCCGTTCTTTTTATTCCTCTATTTACAAGCACAATGACACCCACCCCTCGTCTTCTTCCTGAAATACCTGGCTCTGATCCCAGGCATCCATTCCAGAAATCAACACAGCTATGCAATTGCATCTTTTATTAAATACTCCCAACTCCATTTCAAATCCAGAGAATCCAGAGCAGGAGCAAGAGACCAACCTATCATCTGGAAACTCAAGGTGTAAACATTAGTGCCAAAGATTAGTCATGAAGGTAAGTTGGGTATTACAGTGCCCTACAACACAATGGTCTTGTGCCGAGAGCCACATTCTGAAATACCAAGTGAAGTTTGATGACACATTATATTATATATTTCACAACAGATTTGTCTTCTAGATGTGTGAGGGAGATGATGGGTTTATGTGTACAGGTGCACACATGCCTATGTTTTGGGGAATTTGTGCATACATGTAACAAGAATGTTATCTGTGCAGTTTTATTATTGTGTGCCTGTTTTCATGGTGTGGCATATTTGAAGAGGAATGGTTTAGAGCTTGCCAGGCTGAACAGTTATGTGTCCGTGTAATCACCGCATTAAAGAATTTGACCTTTTGTAACTCAACATCTCTAGCCACCATTGGTCTGTAAGCCTGAATGTCACCTCTCCTACTTTATTCATCTCTGATATGACCCCAAATTATAAAATGATCTATAAATATAGGTAAGACTTTGCATGTCCTTTCATACTCCACAGTCTCTAGCACAGTGGATCCTGGTTGATCAAACAGGAAGGACCTCGAAGTTAGTCAAATATAAGTGGAAAACCTATTAAGCATTTACAAATAATGTGGCCTTGGGCAAGTAATTTAACTTCAGTTACTCTCCTAACATACTCTATAAAATAAGGCTATTGCCTAATATTCAAGTGAGTTAAGATTAGAGTTAATAAATGAAAAGAGATGTAAATGTTCATAGCAGTTGTATCACTGCCTAGCATAAGAACCCCTTAAAAACCTGTTTCTTAATTTGGGAAACAGATATGACGATAGTTAGCATTTATTAAAGGATGACAGTTAACAACTGCTATGTGCCAGGCCTTGTTCTAACAGCTTTTCATATTTAGCCCACTTAACATATTTCTATTTTCATATGAGGAAACTGAGGCAGAGAGAGGCTAAGTAACATACCCAAGGTTTTCCAGCTAGAAAATGGCAGAGCCAGGACTCAAACCCAGGCAGTCTGGCTGCTGAGCCCTGGTTCTTAATTATGACATTAATGCTTATTCTGCCCAGTGAGGATAAAATGAGTGAAACATAAAATCAAACAGGATGTTTTGGTAGGGAGCAGTGTTTTTTCCCTCTGAAAAATGAAAAATTAGGTTATTGTGATTTTGTAATTTACAGCAGTGAATATGATGTGAAAAATAAGTTATCCATATAATAATTTATGTCAGGAGTCATGCAGCAGAAAGATTTCTGTCCATCACATAAACTTTCATCCATTACATAACCCATATGTTTCTGTACCATTAAGACACTTGGTTCAACAAGACCCTTGGAGAATGAGGTTCCTTTTGTTCCCTGGGGTTCTCTTTTTATTTTATTTTTGGATTAATATTTGATAGTAAAGCCAAGGATTTGGGACAGGAAACTTAGATGACATCTAGTTCAAACTCCTTGATTTACATATGAAAAAATTGAGACAGAGGGAAATGAAGATTTCCCCATATCATATAACTGGCTAAAGGGAGCTATGTAGGTAAAACCAAGATGTCCTGATATTCTAGTCTACCAGAAAGTGTTCTTTTTTTCTACCCAACTTATTCCTGATTTAAAGGCTAGTATACGTGTGCTGATCTCCCCTCAGTGGGAGGGGCATGGACGTTGGGAGTAGTCTCTATTCACAACAAATTAAAAATCAGTAATCAGCCGTATAATGGGTTGTGTTAGAAAGTAAACTAAGGCCCAATAAAATATTTAAGAGTTTATTTGAGCAGTGATCCATGAATTGGGCAGCTCCAAGCCAGAAGTGGCTAGGGAGCTCCCCAGAGAGAACATGAGGAGGAGGCTTTTTAGGACAAATAGATAAAAGCAAAGATAATATTTCATTGGTTACAGTTATACAGTTACACAGTTATACAGTTGCCTTATTTGGTCTATCCCATGAGGAAGTCCTAGTTACTAATTACGTTTTTGTTGGCTGCTTCTGATTGGTTGAGCTTAAGTTCTGTGTTTCTTTAACATAGGCATTTACAAGAAATACCACAAATAAAGTTTCAGACATGCTTGCAAATCAAGCAAGGTTAAGGTCACTTAGGAGGCCCAACTGGCTCTGTCTGCTCAAGGATTCTTCTGGCCTCGTCTCCATTTTACATGAACTGTTGCATAAATAAACACAGAGTACCTGAAACAACGGAGGTGATCATTCTGCCTACCGAGTGTTGGCCACGCCAAGCTTGGAGTGTTGCTCTTATTCTTAGGGAGTTTATTTTTAAGTAATCTCATCTGTAAATGGGATTACAATCCACAAACTGACCTTGTATATGATTCCATTCCTTCTCCCAGCCCAGCCCCACACTCCAAGGTTTTCCCTTTGCTTATAAGGGGTAGTCACCCTTTTTTATTTCGACCTTCCAAACATTCTGGGAGTTTTCCTCCTTTAGGCCAACTACAGCGCAGAGGAGCGCTTTCTCCTGCTGGGTTTCTCCGACTGGCCTTCCCTGCAGCCGGTCCTCTTCGCCCTTGTCCTCCTGTGCTACCTCCTGACCTTGACGGGCAACTCGGCGCTGGTGCTGCTGGCGGTGCGCGACCCGCGCCTGCACACGCCCATGTACTACTTCCTCTGCCACCTGGCCTTGGTAGACGCGGGCTTCACTACTAGCGTGGTGCCGCCGCTGCTGGCCAACCTGCGCGGACCAGCGCTCTGGCTGCCGCGCAGCCACTGCACGGCCCAGCTGTGCGCATCGCTGGCTCTGGGTTCGGCCGAATGCGTCCTCCTGGCGGTGATGGCTCTGGACCGCGCGGCCGCAGTGTGCCGCCCGCTGCGCTATGCGGGGCTCGTCTCCCCGCGCCTATGTCGCACGCTGGCCAGCGCCTCCTGGCTAAGCGGCCTCACCAACTCGGTTGCGCAAACCGCGCTCCTGGCTGAGCGGCCGCTGTGCGCGCCCCGCCTGCTGGACCACTTCATCTGTGAGCTGCCGGCGTTGCTCAAGCTGGCCTGCGGAGGCGACGGAGACACTACCGAGAACCAGATGTTCGCCGCCCGCGTGGTCATCCTGCTGCTGCCGTTTGCCGTCATCCTGGCCTCCTACGGTGCCGTGGCCCGAGCTGTCTGTTGCATGCGGTTCAGCGGAGGCCGGAGGAGGGCGGTGGGCACGTGTGGGTCCCACCTGACAGCCGTCTGCCTGTTCTACGGCTCGGCCATCTACACCTACCTGCAGCCCGCGCAGCGCTACAACCAGGCACGGGGCAAGTTCGTATCGCTCTTCTACACCGTGGTCACACCTGCTCTCAACCCGCTCATCTACACCCTCAGGAATAAGAAAGTGAAGGGGGCAGCGAGGAGGCTGCTGCGGAGTCTGGGGAGAGGCCAGGCTGGGCAGTGAGTAGTTGGGGAGGGGAGAAAGTATTAAGCCAGAACCCAAGGATGGAAATACCCCTTAGTGAGTCAGTTTAGACTTCAGGCTGTTCATTTTTGTATGATAATCTGCAAGATTTGTCCTAAGGAGTCCAATGGGGGATATGTTTTCCTCCCGTGAGGAAATGTTTAGTTCTTGAGGGAAAATCCCTAAATCCTCTATATACTCAGGTTTAGGGAAGGAAAACCTACCCCTCACAACTCCACGCGCAGGGAAAATGATGGACGTGACGCTCGCCTTTAGCTTCCTCCCTATCTGATGGAAGACCATGGAAGACCTCTTGGTCTCTGCAATCAGAAGTCTCAAGTTGACAAGAAAATCATAGTCCCTACCCTGCAGGAGAGGGTACATCCAGAAAAAGCGACCATGGACTCTATTCTCAGAAATCAGTCCAACTTAGTGCAGACCTGGCCAGATGACCAGTGCCCTCCCCGGGGCATTTCACCCATAAATGTGATGAGGAAAGCCCATAAATGGTGGTGAATTTTGCTGAGTGGGGTTAAGACTGGAAACCCCCCTGCAGGAGTTGGTTCTTGAGCAAGTTTTAAAGAAACAAGGAACTAGGATGAGTGTGGAAGAAGGCGGGCACGTCTCAGCCCGTGAAAAAAACTCACAGGTGATCAGTAGTGAGTCATGAGAGAGAGAGCAAGAGAGAGAGTCAGAGAGAGGAGTAAATGGAGGGAGGAAGATGGAGGAAGGGACTCAAGTTCTCAAGACAGGAACAGGGATCTCCTCATGAAAAAAAGAAGAGAGGAAAATGCTCAATCAGCAGAACCTGAGCAGAATATTGAGGTCAACCCAGAAGCCAGCTCCTCACCCACCCTCACCCAGACTGGCGCCCTCATCCTGGAGAAGACCTGCTAGACCCTAAGGCAGGTAGGAGAGAGGGTGGTCCACAGTCCCCCAGCTTTAGAAAGTTTGTTCGCTCCCAATGTCCATCTACCCCTAGGAATCCCCACTAGTTAAACAGAATTGCTAGATCCCTGTGGAAAATACCTTTCCTTGCCCACCATCATCCCCAGAAATAATAACTATTTTAGTTGGGTGTGAGACATAGAGAATAAAAGGGGGCATGGTGCCAGACTTCATTTCATACAAATAGCTTTAAAGGAGAAGAGGGGGGAAGGAGTTTAATTTAGTTTCTAAAATGTTTAGTAATTTGATTGTGATCATGTCAGAGCAACTAATTCATTTTATAAAATATCATTTCACTATGCTCTATAAGTAGAAATTCAATTTGGTTCAACCATTATTGAGTGATATAAATAAAGCACTGGACTTAACAAAGACAGAAATACAGAAATCAGTAGAACATGGATCCCAACCTAAAACTTACTCTCTTGTCATAAAGGAAAGGAGATAGGAGTTTTTGCATAAATAACAAGGTATCAAGACAGAATTAAATTCCAAGCTGGCTTTGAATGCTCTATTTTGCCTTAAAAATTTATTTACTAGTCTCAGTAATACATTAGTAAAAATCATGTCACTTAATTAATTGTGTTAGAATCAAAGAAACATAGAGTTGGGCAATATACTTCATCCTACCCATCCCACCCAAATCTTACTCTACTCATCTCATTCTCATTAATTTTGGGAAATCATCAGAAGATGTGTTCGTTGAGTAAGAGATTAAAAGAAATAAGCTTTTTGACCCCTGCCAACACCCCATCCCCAGGGTGGTCACCCTCCAATACAATAAGATGCCAGGAAGAGTAAGTTGCCCTTTCTGATGCCGTAATCTGCCATCATCTTCCCATCTTCCAGTCTCTTTCCATTGCAAGTCACAATCTGGGTCTCAGGGATTATACCCGTCTTAGTCTCGATCATTGCTTTCACTTGTGCCACTGAGCTGGACCTTCGCACCTGGAGGAGGTGCCTCTTTGCCTCATCACCTGACTCCACAAGAAACAAGGGCAGCTCCTCATCACTGGGCTTCACCACTTTCAGGGTAAGGTGGATGGTCTTCTCTTTGTCAATGCCATAAGATGAGAGGCTTCTCCGTGGCTTTAAGATCTTGGAGCCCAGCAAAAGAACCTGGTCCTGCACAGGAACCTTGGTCTTAGACCGGACATGTTCTTTGATTTTTTTCACGCTGTCATATGGGTTGGCATCAAAGGTCATTAAATCCCATTCCTCGGAACGGACATGCACCTGGGAAGTGAAAGCCACAAGACAGTTACCTAGGATGCCTGCCTCCTTTACACTTCTACTCCCCACCACAATGGCTCCCCCTCTTCCACTATCTATCTGGTCCTCTAGCTCCTATTCAGTAGCCAGTGTCCCTCTCTTTCTTGGAACTTCTTTTTTGGAATTACCAAGTTACAACACAAATAAGATAATTTGTCCCATTCCTTTATAATCACACCTTTTTTTCGATCTTGAGAATGGAAAATAAAATCCTGAGCCCCCAACCAACTGAACGGACGCTCTTTTGCTCAGGGGGACCCTAGAGAAACTTTAAAAACTTAGTCATTGGGCCAAGGGTGGTGGCTTACACCTGTAATCCCAGAACTTTGGGAAGCTGAGGCAGGCTGATCAATTGATGCTGGGAGTTCGAGACCAGCCTGGTGAACTTGGTGAAACTCTGTCTCTACTAAAAATACAAAAATTAGCCAGGCGTGGTGGCAAGTCCCTGTAATCCCAGCTACTCAGGAGGCTGAGGCAGGAGAATCATTTGAATCCAGGAGGCAGAGGTTGCAGTGAGTGGAGATGGCACTACTGCACTCCAGCCAGGGCAACAGAGTGAGACTCTGTCTCAAAAATATAAATAAATAAAACATTCAGTCATGATGGAACAGGAGGTTGGATATGCCTCATTGTATCTTCTCCCTTTTGCAGTTTAGACACAACTGACCAGCAAAGTTAGAGATTATAAGACTGAGAGAATGGATTCTTTGTGGCAATAAGATAGCAAATTATAAACAAGACCGAGGGCTATAACAGGCAAAAGTTAAGTCATGCATCCCTTACACTTAAAGAATAAACTATGTTCTGCCACAAAGTTTTTTCTTTTTTCTCTAGCAGCTAAACAAGCACTGGCCTTGACAGGAACAATATTAAAACAATTACAGCTCACCCTGTGTTGGGGAACACAGGCTAACTGACCCCGTGTTCCACAAGCCATAACTACAGTTTTAATTGGACAAAAGACTGATTTCAGTAATTTTCTCCTGATAAGAGACCACTGACCATGGACTGGTTCTGGCTAGTTTACAGAAGCTGTGCATTTGAATGCCTTTGTGTCCCTGCTTCACCTTTTCATGTATAAGGCCTAACTGTAATGCAATTAAATGTTAAGTCTCCACTTCAGAGTGACCATGGGTGGTATGTAACATGCAAGCTTATTCAATATGCATGCATTAGGACCCCCTCCATGAATATTCATTGCCTCTGCTATAACCTATTGGATATGTATACTTAGCAAACCCCTTCAGCATAAATTCCTGTGTCACCTTTCCTCCTGCAAAGTGCTTGCTTTTGGTTTTCAATCAGAAGCAAAACTTCCCAGCCTGTCAGAATGGCTACCTTGCAGACTATAACCTTTCATAAGAAATAAACTCCCCTTCTAAATTTATGAATTGTGTGATTTTTTTTAGTTGACAATCTTTACATTTCGTTTTTCTGTGCATTTCAATGGATGTAAAAAACATACCTTTATCCATCTCAAAATGTAATTAGTGATTTTCCACCTTATTTACCTGCCTCTCCTATCCAGATAAAGTTTGTCAAATGTCAACAAGTAAATACGAGGCTTCAAAAGATGTACATCAGACTCTAAAAACAACTCTCAAAGAGAATTTCCAAAATATGACAGCCTCATGAAGATACTCATAGCCATAGGATACCCTCTGTCAATACTTCAGAAGGAAATCCTGGGTAGGACACATAATCACTGAACTGTTAGTTTCTTTTCAAATATCCCACTGCTTTATAATAATAACTCACATACTACCGTGACACTATGTTCAGTGTTTCTTGTTAATTTATATTTCTTGTGTTTTTATTTCTATCTAATGAGAGACAGGACTAGCTGGATTTCCTAGGCCGACTAAGAATCCCTAAGCCTAGCTGGGGAGGTGACTGCATCCACCTTTAAACACGGGGCTTGCAACTTAGCTCACACCTGACCAATCAGGTAGTAAAGAGAGCTCACTAAAATGCTAATTAGGCAAAAACAGGAGGTAAAGATATAGCCAATCATCTATTGCCTGAGATCACAGCGGGAGGGACAATGATCGGGATATAAACACAGGCATTCGAGCCAGCAACGCTACCCTCTTTGGGTCCCCTCCCTTTGTATGGGAGCTCTGTCTTCACTCTACTAAATCTTGCAACTGCACTCTTCTGGTCTATGTTTCTTACGGCTCGAGGTGAGCTTTCGCTTGCCATCCACCACTGCCGTTTGCCACCGTCGCAGACCCGCGGCTGACTTCCATCCCTCGGATCTGGCAGGGTGTCCGCTGTGCTTCTGAACCAGTGAGGCGCCCATTGCCGCTCCTGATTGGGCTAAAGGCGTACCATTGTTCTGCACGGCTAAGTGCCCAGGTTCTTCCTAATCGAGCTGAACACTAGTCACTGGGTCCACGGTTCTCTTCCGTGACCCATGGCTTCTAATAGAGCTGTAACAACCACCACATGACCCAAGATTCCATTCCTTGGAATCCATGAGGCCAAGAACCCCAGGTCAGAGAACACGAGGCTTGCCACCATCTTGGAAGCGGCCTGCGGCCATTTTGGAAGCAGCCCACCACCATCTTGAGAGCTCTGGGAGCAAAGACCCCCTGGTAACACTAATATAGAATGTGATCTCCTTTGATAAGACTAGGGCCTCACTCACAGAAGGTAGGGACTATATCTAAGTCTTACTTCAATAGCTGGAAAATCCTAAAAGATGGGAAAACTCACCCCTAATGGCCACTTGAAAGCCTGAGAAGACCTCCCTCATACTCCATTCAGAAATATTCTCCCAATCTAGATATTGCAGACATTTCTTCACTGGAAGATCTGTGTTAAGCATTGCCTTACTTCCAGGTTCTCTCCATAGTGCATATTTTCTTATATAATGTAATGTGTTAGATCATTAACAACTTCAGATGAATGAGTTTTGTGAAGCTCTCCTTTGAGAGGAGAGGGAAGATTAAGTTTAAGAACCTTAAAAAATGTTACCATAATTTCAAATCTCACCAGCCCTGTGGAACACAAAGCTCACCCCCACTTTTTCTTCTACCATTTATCCCTAAGAGTAGCTAGTCCAATGTTTTATTTAAAAAAGAACACAGAAGCCAGATAACCAGCTTCTCTTCAGACAATCCCTCTTCCCATTCTGCAAATGTCAATGCCAGCCTCTTCTCCTGAAGGATGCCTGCCCAGCCCCCCAGAGCCCTGAGTACTGCCCAGCCCCCGTTTCTAAGATCTCTCCCCAACTCTTGAAAGTGCTTTTCCTTTCCCCATCCCCTTTATCAAATCCCAACTTACACAGAGGCAGGAAGCATTGGGAGCCATCTCTGCAGACAAGGGGCCAGAAACCAGAGACAGAAAAAGGACTTTGCATGCAGCTTATATACCAGAGTTGAGTTGGAAATCCCCTGCCTGGATTGCTGTGTTTGTCCAGCTTTGCTGTGCTCTTTGTTCTTGCATGCTCCCATGAATTTTCTTTCACTTTTGCTGGGCAGGAGTTAATAGACAAAGAATGCTTTCTGATCACATACTTCTCTCCTCAAGCAATCTATTTGCAAACCTCATTCCAAACATGGGATGGTCTTTCTGTGTTGAAAACTTTTCCCTTTTCTCAGGAAAGATCTTTGTCTGTTGAAGCCACCTGGATCTATACCCACAGCCCAAACCTAAGCTGCAGATCTCTATGTCTAGCTGTGTCTGTGTCTATGGGAATTCTCGTTCCTTGAATTCCCGGCATATCCTTGAACACCCCAATCTCTCTGCCATCTCCACGCCACTGAGCATGCCTTTTCCTCCAACTCTATCCCCACCACCATGAATTTATAAGAACACACGGTGTAAACAGTATCTTCGTCAAAAAGCCTTCCCTAACTCTTTTCCTCCCCATCCTGGGTTATGTGTCCATCTTCTATCCTCTACACTTCCTTCAAATGCCTCTCAGAGCATGTTTCTTCAACAATAGCATCGTCTGCTTGTCTGTAATCTTTAGAAAAGAGTAGGAATCTTGGGGGTCGTGATTGTGTCTTAATTAACTTGTATCTTTAGCACTGTTCCAGCATGCTGTCAGGCACAGGAAATAATTTATAAATGTTTACTAAATGCACAAATGAATTAATAAATGAATGAAAAGTAAGTAAATAACAAAAAAAGGAAAAGTAATATTTAGTGAGTACTTAAATTTCAAGAACTGCACAACATATTATTAAATGTTACCTTATTTACTGTTTCAGCATTTTAATGAAGTAAGTACAGGTGCTCCTTCACTTATGATGGGGTTACATCCCTGTAAACCCATTGTACACTGAAAATATCCAAAATCAGAAATGCATTTAATACACCTAACCCACCAAACATCATAGCTTAACCTAACCTGCCTTAAACATGCTCAGAACACTTACATTAGCATACAGTTGGACAAAATTATCTAACAAAAAGTGTATTTACTACTGAAGTGTGAAATATCTCATTTAAGTTATTAAATACTGTACTGAAAGTGAAAAGCAGATGATTTTATGGGAACTTGAAGTAGGTTTCTACTGAGTATGTATTGCTTTGGTATCACTATTAAATAAAAAATCATAAATGGAATCATTGTAAGGAACCACCTCTATTAGTATCCCCGTTAATAAGTAAGAAGCTACCTCATCCACAATCATATTAGTAGTAGCTGGTAAGCAAGGGTTCAAACACTAATCTGTATTTCTATAGTCCTTGTATTCTTCCTATATTATTATGTTATTTCAGTGGGAAAAGGCAGGGAGAAAAGTGCTACTGGAGTTGGGTATTTCCAGCATGGGGTTACTGTGAGGGCAAATCTAATATACTCTCAGAAAAAACTAATTCAGGGGATTCCCTACCCAGAGATGACCTGGATTCTGGGAAATAGTGCCCTTTCAAGAAAACATATGAACAACAAACCTGGACTCTGACCTCTCTCTCTCTCTTTACTCTTCCCTTCCTATGGGAAATTCCCTCCCTGCCCATAGCCAGGGCCAGGACTGTCCCAGACACCTTGGTGCCCCTTTGCTGACCACAGGCAGGACTTCATCTTGGGACCTGACCTCCTTGCTTCTTACCCAGTGTCAATCTGACTTTTTTCTGTCTCTCTCTATGTCACAATAAGTTCTTTCAGAGACAGATCTCTTTTCATTTGCTGTTTTAGTCTCTTTTGCATACTATAAAGGAATACTTGAGGCTGGGTAATTTATAAGGAAAAAAAGTTTAATTGATTCATAGTTCCTCCAACTATACAAGAAGTATGGCACCAGCATCTGCTTCTGGTGAGGCCTCAAGAAGCTTTTACTCATGGTGGAAGGTGAAGGAGAGCAGGCGTGTCACATGGCAAGAGAGGGAGGTAAGAGACAGTGGGAAAAATGCCAGGCTCTTTTAAACAACCAGCTCTCTTGTGAGCTAATGGAGTGAGAACTCATTTATTACAATGATGACAGCCCCAGGCCATTCATGAGGGATCTGCCACCACAACCCAAACATCTCCCAGTGGGCCCATTTCCAACACTGGGGGTCACATTTCAACATGAGATCTGGAGAGTACAAACATCCAAACTACATCATTTACCCCTCTGACAAATTCAGAAAACCAGCTAAAGTGTCAGAGGTGTTTGAACCAGAGCAACTCCATCTTGAATAGGGGCTGGATAAAATAAGGCTGACATCTACTAGGCTGCATTCCCAGGAAGTTAGGCATTCTAAGTCACAGGATGAGAGAGGAGATCAGCACAAAGTACAGGTTATAAAGACCTTGCAAATAAAAGGAAGCAGTAAAGAAGCCAGCCAAAACCCACCAAAACCAAGATGGCAACGAAAGTGACTTCTGGTCATTCTCACTGCTCATTATATGCTAAATAAAACATTAACATGCTAAAAAATATTCCCACCAGGGCCATGGCAGTTTACAGATGCCATGGCAATGTCCAGAAGTTACTCTATATGGTCTAAAAAGAGGAGGAACCCTCAGTTCCAGGAATTTCCCACTTCTTTCCTGGAAAACTTGTGAATAAGCCACCCCTTGTTTAGTATATAATCAAGAAATAACCATAAAAATAGTCAACCAGCAGCCCTCAGGGCTGCTCTGCCTATAAAGTAGCCATTCTTTTTTTCCTTTACTTTCTTAATACGCTTGCTTTCAGTTTACTCTATGGATTCACCCTGAATTCTTTCTTGTGCAAGATCCAATAACGCTCTCTTGGGGGCTGGATCAGGATCCCTTTCCAGTAACAAAAGTAAAAAGATGATGGTATGAAGATCTTGCCAAGTTATAAAACAATTGTGGCGGTTATCTACGAGTGTCCCAATGTGGCCCTGGCTGACGGGATGCTCTTGGGCCTGTCACTGCCCCCATTGAAGCCTACTTGAAGCCTACTTGGAACAGATGTCTCTTTCTAGTCTCTTTAATAACGTCCATGAAAGAGTTTCTAAACTGCTTTGAGATCTAGAATATTGCTTCAAAAATGCCAGCCAAACTCAGTCAGAAAGCTAGTGTGAATTCTCATTTATTGGTGATTGGGAAAAAAGTCTACACTCAAAGAAGAACAGTTTGAAAATACCTACCAAAATTTAACATGGACATACCAAACCAAGACAACCAAATGCCTATCAGTATTAGGGAAATAGGTAACCAAATTGTAGAATATCATAAGCAGCATAAATAGAAGGATCATACCTGCAAACAACGATACAGATGAATGTGCTAGAACTTATTGAGTGAAAAAAGTGTTAGAAACAAATGCTTATTCCACGGTGCCGCAAAGAAATAGCACTCAGACATAAATTCAATTTTCTCAGCAAGGAATTTTTACTTCTATAGAAGGGTGTGACTCGCGGATGGAGTAATGGCAAGAGCATACCTGGACAAGGGAGGGGAAGGAGTTCTTATTCCTGAGGCAGGTAGCCCCTACTGCTGTGTCGTTCCCCTATTGGCTAGGTTTGGACCACACAATCTAAGCTAATTCCGATTGGCTATTTTAAAGAGAGCAGGGGTATGAGCCAGAGCGGCAGGGTGGGTAGTTTGGTGGGAAGGGTGGTTACAGAACAGGTGACTCAGGATGATTCAAATCAAAGCAGGTGGCCGAGGGTGACTCCGGATGGAGCAGGTGACCAGGGGAACAGATATGAACCACTGATTAGAACTGACAGGAAAGTTGTTTACTGAAACTAGAGGCAAGAGGGTGAAGAGAACCCGGAAGCTCAACTTTCAAATGGAGAATCAAAGAATAAGAGAGATGAATATGCTGACATACTGATTCTTTGAAGAGAATCTTGGAGTTCACTATATCTAACAAAAGCAAGATGAGTAAGACTACATAAAGTATGATACTCTCCATAAATCTCAAAAGCAAGCAAAACTACATAGTGAGACAGAGAAAAAGAGGAACTACTTGAAATTCAGGATATGTCTGCTTTTTAACAAAAATGAAGCCCAATCTAAATTTTGATATAAGCTACTTGAAGGAGATTTTCAACAGGAAGTAAGAGGGCATTAGAAGCCCTGATATTATTTCATCTTGCCATATTCAGAATCTGAAGTTTAACCAAGAGAACTTAATGTTTGTTAAAGCAATTTATTACTTGAGAGACATACCGTATATTCACTTTATTAAAGGTAAAGTAATAATATCTAAAACAAATGTTCCAAAGAAAACTAAACATAAGCAAAACTGAATATAGTATCTAGAACTACATATGTAAGTAATAAGGCTCTTATAAAAATGTAAAAACCATGAGTGTTCATTATGCTACTATTATGTTTTATAGTGTTACATTATATTATTCTATATGGGTTACATTTATTTATCTGTAGTATCAAAGATTATAATAAAAATATAATTTAAAATTTTTCATGTTCATATCCTCTAGCTCAGCAATTCTGCTTCTAGGAACTTATCCTATTAGTACTCTTTTGGTTTTTTTTTAAGGAGTATCACTCTTGCCTCCCAGCCTGGAATGCAATGGCGCGATCTCGGCTCACTGCAACCTCCGCCTCCTGGGTTCAAGCGATTCTCCTCCCTCAGCCTTCTGAGCAGCTGGGATTGCAGTCATGTGCCACCATGCCTGGCTATTATTTATTTATTTATTTATTTATTATTTTTATTTTTAGTAGAGATGGGGTTTCAGCATGCTGGCCAGGCTGGTCTCGAACTCCTGACCTCAGGTGATCCACCTGCCTCCGCCTCCCAAAGTGCTGGCATTACAGGTATGAGCCACCATGCCTGGCCCTATTAGTACACTTATATATGTGTGAAATAAGCCATGTACAAGAATATTCATGTGAAATAATTATTTGCAACTGAAATAAATGGGAACAACACTTATCAATAGACAACTAAATAAGTGCTGGTGTATACAGTTGAATTAAATTTAAAAGCCAAGTTGCAAAATATATGTATAATATTTTGTTATTTAGAAAGGAAGAAAATATACACATATGCTAAAATGTGCATACAACATCTCTGTGAGGAGACACTGACTCTGCAAGTTGCCTGAGGAGCAGGAATGAGAGGTGGACTATTCATTATATGTCTTATCTTATTATTGTTGCTATTTTTTAGTTTTGCAACTGTGCATGTTTTACACATTCAGATAGGCAGATAGTATGGGAAGGGATAGTATATTTTTTATGTAGTCATCAGCTCAGAATGGAGCTGGCTATAAGCTATGCACCAATGGGAACCAGTTTCAGTGCTCATCACTAGTTGACAGGCAAAGGGCCATGAAAAGTTGGTGGCTATAGTAGGTTAACTATTGTGATTCTGTGCCTTCCCTACTCCCCAAAATTTATTTTCCACTAATCTTTTACATACTGCAAAATTTAGAAACATTGATAATATAGCCCATAATATATCTGAAAGCAAAGAAATTTATAATTAGCTAAAATCAGAGACCAAACCTAATGAAAAAAAAAAAGTAATTCTGAGACAATTGCTGAGCCTGGTACATGGGACTGATGTCAATGTGCAAAAATTGTCCAACCTGACAAAGCAACTGGAATAACTAATGCAGTCATAAGTGCAGGATGATGTGTTGACCAATGGCGCATTTCCACTTTGTAGCAGTCAGGCCATCTTGGAGTGAATCCAGGCTCTGCCTCCTACTTCTCATGCAAGTTATTTGGTACTTTCTTCTGTCAGCTGGGGATTTCGGATTTCACTTAGGATTAGGCTCTGCTACCATTAACAGACATCTGAAAATAATGTGCCTTTAACTAAAACCCCAAAAGGACCAGATCTTAGAAGTCAAAATGACAACCAAGGCTTAAGGAGTTCACCCTAGAACCAAGAAAAAACTGCAATGATCCATTCCAGCAAAATGTAAAGCCAGTTTTTCAGAAGTTCAAAGTGATAAGTGGGTAATATATCTGCTTATTAAACAAGATTCAATACGCTTCAGAGAAAGATAATAGAATACAAAATAGATAAAGGTAATAGAATACGGAATCTCTGTAACATATTACTCACATCATCAAGTGTAAAACAGGAAATCACCAATCATGTGAAGAAACAGAAATATTAGACAAACAGTTTTAAATCCTCAATAAAAACAAACCCAAACGCCACCGAAATGTTAGAATTATCAGATGGAGACTTTAAAATCACTATAGTATTTTAAAGAATCCACAGGGAAAGATTTATACAATGGGTAAAGAAATGATGAATTTTAGGAGACAGATGTAGAAACTGCCATTTTAAAAAGCCAAACGGAAATGCTGGAACTGAAAAATACAATATCGTTGACCCTTGAACAACAAGGGTTTGAACTGCATGGGTCCATTGAATGTAGATTTTTTTCAGTAAATATACTGGAAAATTTTGTACCTTTGTGACAATTTGAAAAAACTCGCAAACTTCATAGCTTAGAAACATCAAAATAATTAAGAAACAATTAGGCATATCATAAATGCATAAAACATACGTAGATACTAGCATACTTTATCATTTACTATAAAATATACACAAATCTATTATAAAAAGTTAAAATTTATTAAAACTCACACACAAATACTTATAAACAATCATAAAATACAGTATTAAATCATAACTGCGTAAAATTAGTCATAGTACATTCTGTCCTACTATAATAATTATGTAGCCACCTCCTGTTACTATTGGGTGAGCTCAAGTGTTGGGAGTATGGGATTAAAATGTCATGTAATACTAATCATTCCCACGTAAGCAGTTCGTCTTCTCTTTAGGAAAAAGTGATGTCTCACGGTTCTTGCGGTTGTCCTGTTTTTGTTTTGTTTGTTTGTTTATTACAGAGTTTTGCTCTGTCGTCCAGGCTGGAGTGCAGTGGCACGATCTCAGCTCACTGCAACCTCTGCCTCCCGGGTTCAAGTGATTATCCTGCCTCAGCCTCCCAAGTAGCTGGGATTAGAGGCATGCACCACCACGCCTGGCTAATTTTTGTATTTTTAGTAGAAACGTTCTTTGGTTCAAGACGGCCAAGCTGGTCTTGAACTCCTGACCTCAAGTGATCCACCCCCCTCGGCCTCCCAAAGTGCTGGGATTACAGGTGTGCCACCGCGCCCAGGATCTTGTGTATTTTTAATTGTGTTTAGTGCAATTCCATAAAGCCTGAATAACACCACGAGACCCATATAGTGATGCTGGAAGTTTTCCCTGGAGACAGAGAAAAGCCATAACATTACAGGAAAAAGTTGAATTGCTTGATATGTGCTATAGATTGAGGTCTGCTGCTGCAGTTTCCTGCCATTTCTGACTGATGTTTCATCTCTTAACAGATGACACAAACTTACATAATTGATAAATACGGTATTGTACTGTCAGTGTATTTTCTCTTCCTTATAATTTTCTTAATAACATTTTCTTTTCTCTGGCTCATGTTATTGTAAGAATACAGTATATAATACATACAACATACAAAATATGTGTCAGTCAACTGTATATATGATCAGTAAGGCTTCTGGTTAACAGTAGTTTATTAGTAGTTAAGGTTTAGGGGAGTCAAAAGTTATTCATGGATTTCCAAATGTATGAGGGGGTCAGCACCTCTAACCCATGCATTGTTCAAGGGTCAGCTGTATACGACTTTCTGGTAAAAAGAACCAGGAGTCCTTGGAGAGATGGTTGATCCCAGACAGAGGAAAGAGAACATACAAGATAACCCTGGAATACTGTATGATGCCAGAAACTAAAGAAGTCATTAAAAAAAAAAATGAGGACACATCAAAAAACTCACAGTAATCACGTTAAAGGATTTCCCCATAGCCAAGTCTGGGAAAATGTAAACAGCAAAGTAAATAATGAGAATAATGAAGAAAGAATAAAATAAACATCCAGGAGTCATTACTGGATATGAATAAAGAAAATAAACAGTAAACGAATAGGAGGAGAGGGACAGCTCTTACAAAATTCAAAATAACAAACATAGGAGAAATGATGAAAGTTATCATTAGGCAAACAGCCCAATAGTAATTGTTACAGTCAAAACTCATTTGTGGATGCTAAAATTAGTAGGCAAAACTATAATGAGAAAAAGATACTTGCATAATCTCAAAGTATTACCATAAATACTTATTATGTTACTTATATTATTATAAGATATGACTACAGTTTTAATAAGACAACACAGTTAAAAAAATGAAAAATAATTTGAATAAAAGACACGTAAGGACCAATAAAGCACATGATAAGATGTTTAACACCATTAACCATCACAGAGCAAATTGAAACGACTTGAGGGAGCACTTCACAGCCGATAGAATGCCTAAAACCAAGAGACTGACAATTCCAAGTATTACCAAGGATGTGGAACATCTGGAACTCTCATCGCTGTAGGGAGTGTAAATGGCACAATCACTCTGGAAAGCAGTTTAGCAGTTTCTTATAAAGATAAACAGACAGCAAATGACTCAGAAATTCCAATTCTAGGTATTTACCCAAAATAAAGAACACATGTGTTCACACAAAGAACGAAGAACCATATACAACACAACTAACTGTTCTCTCCTTCTTCTTCTTCTTCTTCTTCTTCCTCTTCCTCTTCCTCTTCCTCTTCCTCTTCCTCTTCCTCTTCTTCTTCTTCTTCTTCTTCTTCTTCTTCTTCTTCTTTTTTTCGGACCCAGGCTGTTGTGCAGTGGCATGATCATGGCTCACTGCAGCCTCAACTTCCTGGGCTCAAGTGATCCTCCCACCTCAGCCCCCCAAGTAGCTGAGACTACAGGATGCACCACGATGCCCGGCCAATATTTTGTATTATTTTGTAGAGACAGGGTTATATCATGTTTCCCAGGCTGGTCTCAAACTCCTGGGCTCAAGTATCCTCCCACCTTGGCCTCCCAAAGTTCTGGGATTACAGCTGTGAGCCACCATACCCAACAATTGTGGCTTCTTTCATAGCAGCCCAAAACTAGAAACAACCCAAATGCCCATCAATGCATGAATGGATAAACTGTGGTATATTTATACAGTGAAATACTATTAGCAATAAAAAGGAGCAAATTACTAATATATGAAACACTATGAATGAATTTCCATAACAAGCCGGATAACAGAAGCCAGAAATAAGGCATGAAGCCAGGCATGGTGGCTCATGCCTGTAATTCTAGCATTTTGGGAGTCCAAGGTGGGTGAATCACTTGAGCCCAAGAATTCGAGACCAGTCTGGGCAACACAGCGAGACCCTGTCTCTACAAAAAGTACAAAACTTAGCCGCGTGTGGTGGCCTGCACCTGTAATCCCAGCTACTTGGGGGGTTGAGTCCAGGAGGTTGAGGCTGCAGTGAACTGTGATCACACCACTGCACTCTAGCCTGGGTGACAAAGTAACACCTTGTCTCAAAAAACATAAAAAAAGTAAATTTCATTGAAGTACAAATTACGGGTAATAAAATGCACACATTTTAAGTATATTGTTCAATAAGTTTTGACAAGTGCATACACTTGGATAACCAATACCCCATTCAAGATATAGAGCATGCATTTTCATTATTCTAGAAAGTTATCCTATGCCCTGTCCCAGACAACCAATCATCTGATTTCTATCTTGCTAGATTTGCTTTTCCTGTTGTAGGAAAGTTATGTCAATGAAATCAGGTGGTATGAATGTATGAATGCTTGCTTGCTTGCTTTTTTTTTTTTTTTTTTTTTTTGAGACAGGGTCTCACTCTGTCACCCAGGCTGGAGTGCAGTAGTGCAGTGGTGCAATCACGGCTCCCTACAGCCTTGACCTCCTAAGTATATTGAACAATATACTTAAAATGTGTGCATTTTATTACATGTAAATTCTATCTTAAAGAAGTTTATTTTATTTTATGTTTTTTTGAGACAAGGTCTGACTCTGTCACCCAGGCTAGAGTGCAGTGGCATGATCACAGCTCACTGCAGCCTCAATCTCCTAGGCGCAGGTTATCTTCCCAGCTCAGCCCCCCAAGGAGCTGGGACTACAGATGAAGGCCACCACACCCGGCTAAGTTTTTGTACTTTTCGTAGAGACAAGGTCTTGCTATGTTGCCCAGACTGGTCTCGAACTCCTGGGCTCAGGTGATCCATTCCTCTTGGCCTCTTAAAGTGCTGGGATTACAGATGTGAGCCACCATGCCCAGACTGAAGTTGATTTTAAAAGCAGAAATGAGCTACTGATACTTGAAACAACATGAATAAATTGCAAAATAATTACTCCTAGTGAAATAATTCTTACTCAAAGGAGTATATATTATTCCATTTGTATGAAGTCCTAGAAGAGGCAAAACTAAGTATCAAGGAAAGAGGCAAGTGGAAGGTTTGTAGGATGATGGAAATCTTCTGTTTCTTCATTGAAGTCATCAAAATTCATCAAAACGTATATTTCAAATCTGTGCATTTTATTGCATGTAAATTATATCCAAATGTCTACCAGTAGAGAAGAAACAAGAAATAACGAAGTCTTACATGGGTTCAAATGAGACTTGAGAGAAAAGAATGGGACACACTCAGGAGAGGTGGCAATGAGAAAACATGACCTTGTGCTCCTCAATGACACAGAGGAGCAGAAGTGACCTTTTTACTTACCACAGGGAGCACCAATGCTGGCACGTTTCCTCTGAATCATCTCCTTCTTTCTTAATCATCATTAGCACCAGTGGCTAATTAATTGTCTGTGAACTGTGACGCTCTGGAGTCTTGGGAGAATTAACAAGCCATTTCTCTCCATGGGATGGGAGTCCCGGGATCCCTCCCTCCATCACTTCACCACGTTTTCTTCTCTATCTCCACTACCATTAAAAGAGAGGTTAACTTACTAGGTTGAAGAGGAGAGGTTGTGGGCAAAGAGCAACCTTCAGCCTTACAGGTCCAGAAGAAGGATGGTGGTGGGGTATAGTTTGTGCCTGACTCTAGAGCCAACCCACCTGGGTTCAAGTCTCAGCTCTGGCTATATAATTCTGAGCTAATTATTTAACCTATGTTTTAGTTTCTTCATCTGAAAATAAATATAGAATATAGAAATATTATCCAGGTCATACAGAGGTTGTGAAGTGCTTTGAAAGGTGTGGCAGCAGCATTAGAAGTCAACATTACTACCTGAGCCCTAATCCACCACCCTTTCAAAGGTGCCCAACACTCCTGACTTTGCTTGTAGATTTCATTGTGAGGATTAACTAGAGGCTCACTCAGTCTAGAAGCTCGTTGTCAGGGAGAAGCTCCGGCAGCAGGCAATGGGGAGATTGTGACATGATTGAGGAAAAGTTATAAGTTTATTCTTCTCCTACTGTCCATTAATGTCCACATATCGTCAATGGTAGAGCTACCCCAGGAGCACCAGATTTGGAATCAAACAGGACTCAGACTCCAGGCCTGGTCTTCATCGGCTATGTAACCTTGGGCAAGCTACTTAACCTCTCTGCGACCATTTCTTCTTCTGTAAAAGGAAGATGATATTAACTACCTCAAAGAGTTATGAGAACCAGGTATTCAGGAAATGTTTAGCATGGTGCCTGGTGTATAGGAAGCACACAACAGATGGTAGCTGCCAAAGTATTAACGTGGTTTTCACTAATGAATTGGAGAAAAGAATTGATATTTCATTCCCTTGTAGCACCTAGTACACAACTAGGTCTTTGGTGATTAATAAAGAAATAAATACATCCGTGAATATGAAATTAATAGGAAGAGAGTAAAGTTGTACTGGACTTTTGTGGGTGTCCAAGAAAAATTAAAAAGACCAGAAGAAAGAGAGTGAGAACAAATACACGTTGTGAAACACAGAACAAGAGAGAACAGAAAGAGAGTCAAAGAACTATGTAAATTGAAGAGACTGAAAAATGACATAGAGTGAAGCAATGAATTACCAAGAGTATAAGAGTGTAAAAGAGGGATGCAGAAAGTGTATTAGAATGATGGTTGACAGATAAATAAGGAGGAGTTGGCTATTTTTTACCAACACAAAGGGTGTAATGTTATAAGACAATATAGGAATGATTTTGTAAAAGTAATAATTGAAATAGTCATTGCGTCTTCAGGAGTAGGTAGTAGGTATGATTAGGGAAGGGCACGCAGAAGGCTTTTAAGATTTAAACAATCTTTTGTTAAAATATTCAACAATATTTTAAAGGAAAAATTTTTCTCAGAGTAAAAAGAATATAGGAGGAAGGAAACGAAAAAAGAGACAAATATAAACAGGTTGAACAAATAAAAAGATGAGATGGGGCTTTTAAACACACAAAAAAGAGACACTGCAATGGGTAGATGCTGCCAACCTATAGCCTCTCCAGCCACCTCCCCATCAACTTGCCCAGTTCCTGCCTCTCAACTGCCAGAGTGGCTGCCACCGTCCACCCATATCTGAGTTGGCCCTGTGTGCTGAAACTCTCTTCACCTTCTCAAAAACACAGTCCCCTCCTCCAGGAAGCATTCCCTGATTCACTCAACCACCCTACTCATTTTCTTTACAGATCTATCTCTCACCTCTAGCCCCCTACCCCAATATTTTTGCCTTATTTGCCTGCAATGTTTCAAGTTTTCTGCTGATGTTGAATGTACTACCCAGGGTTTTTCAAAGCCATGAGACTACTCTTTCTTCCAGCCCATAAGCTCCTCCGCCTTGAATGACCACATTGTTCAATAATTTGAAGTAGACTCCTTACTTCAGTGACTTAGGATAGGCTACTAAAGAGGATAAAGTCAGACCTGACATCTAAGTACAATATGTGACTCTCAACTGGATCCTACGTGGAAAAAAAAAAATCCTACAAAGAACATTATTGGGACATAGAGAAAATAAGAATATGGACTGTGTGTTACATAACAATACTGTATCAATTTTAAGTTTATTGAATTTAATTGCTGTACAGTGTTAATTAAGATCATCTTGTTGTAGAATATGAATACTAAGACAATAAGGAGAAAGAGGCATGATGTCCACAAGTTATTCCCAAGTGACTCAGAGTAAAAATGAAAATACATAAACATATTGAGTATAATGATAGTGAAAATGAGTAAAAATACTAAAAATTGATGAATTTGATAAAGGTTATATAGAAGTTCTTGGAACTACACTTGCAACTTTTCTGTAAGTTTCAACTTATTTCAAAATCAAAGGTTTTTAATTGCATGTGAATAAAATTAACCGAGTATTTTCAAAAGCAAAATTCTACTTACATGTCCCAAACTCAACATGGTATGTTTTTACTACTATATTTTATCTTACATGAAAAGGAGAGGATATTGAAATCTATTTCAGCTTTCTATCACCAAACATCAATTCTTCAGGATTTTTTTGCAGTTACAGAACCAGAAAATAATCTTTCTGACTGACATTATATTTTTTCTTATTTTTACATATTACACATAATGGAAAATTTAGGCAGGACATTTCATTTGCAGGAGAAATGTTTGTTCTTAGTTTAATAAGTCATAATTTTTTTTGAAAGACCTAAATCACCTGACTGATCTTTCTAGCAGTTGAGTCATTTCACATACAGAAGAAATCTCCACAGTCCACATTTCTATCACTGGTCAAATCTCTTGCAAAAGTGTAAAGTAGATAGAATGTGAATGATTTGAGAAAATTTATGCCCACCACTAGAAAACATGATGAATTCTCTAGTAATGTTTACAATTAGGAAACTCACTGAACACACATTTCTTTGTATTTCCTTCCACACATAACAAAGGGAAAATTCAGTAGTAGCATAGCGATCAGAACATAATAGGTACTTAATAAATTTTTGCAAAATTAATAAAAACTAACTAGTTAGCTGATCTATGCTTCACATCAGACGTTTTGCATTCAACCAGGAAGTCAGAGGCACCAGTGTGAGGCTCAATCCGTTGTTGAGCACATTAATGGTTTCCTCACTCCCACTAGACAATGTTTGATCAGAAGGAACAGGGGATGAGAAGGAGCTGCTTGATGGTGATGAGACTGGGAAAGGAACGCTGGGCGAGCAGAGACAAAAGAGAAACACTCACCTACTGGGACCTCACAAACACCCAGGCTGAGTTTTAATAAGACAGGTTGAATCACACTGGGGTGACAGCCTCATCCTTCCAGATACAGAGAGGAACAGGCCATGGTTAACCAAAGCTCCGCACCAGGCTTTCTCCTTCTGGGCTTCTCTGAACACCCAGCACTGGAAAGGACTCTCTTTGTAGTTGTCTTCACTTCCTACCTCCTAACCCCGGTGGACTCATCATCCTGCTGTCTGTGCTGGACCCCAGGCTCCACTCTCCAATGTACTTTTTCCTCTCCAACCTCTCCTTCTTGGACCTCTGTTTCACCATAAGTTGTGTCCCCGGGATGCTGGTCAACCTCTGGGAGCCAAAGAAGACCATCATCTTACTGGGCTGCTCTGTCCAGTTCTTCATCTTCCTGTCCCTGGGGACCACTGAGTGCATCCTCCTGACGGTGATGGCCTTTGACCGCTACATGGCTATCTTCAAGCCCCTGCGCCATGCCACCATCGTCCACCTCTGCCTGTGCTGGCAGCTGGCATCTGTGGCCTGGGTCATTGGGCTGGTAGAGTCAGTGGTCCAGACACCATCCACCCTGCGCCTGCCTTTCTGCCCCCATCAGCAGGTGGATGATTTTGTCTGTGAGGTCCCAGCTCTAATTCGACTCTCCTGTGAAGACACCTCCTACAATGAGATCCAGATGGCTGTTGCCAGTGTCTTCATCTTGGCTGTGCCTCAGCCTCATCCTTGTCTCTTATGGAGCCATTGCCTGGGCAGTGCTAAGGACTAACTGCAAAAGGGCAGAGGAAAGCTTTTGGGACCTGCTCCTCCCATCTCACTGTGGTCACCCTCTTCTACAGCTCAGTCATTGCTGTCTATCTCCAGCCCAAAAATCCCTATGCCCAAGAGAGGGGCAAGTTCTTTGGTCTCTTCTATGCAGTGGGCACTCCTTCACTTAACCCTCTCATATACACCCTGAGGAACAAGGAGGTAACCAGGGCATTCAGGAGATTGCTGGCGAAGGAAATGGGGCTCATACAAAGTTGAGGGAGAGCTGTTTAATGTGCTTTCTAAATTAAGAAGAAATTATTTATCCTTTTGTGAACAAGTTTGAGCTCCCAAGTATACTACCTTTCATACACCCATCACAGTGTTTACAATGGGTCACAGTATATGAGTGTGTGTGAGAGAGAGAAAGAGACAGAGAAAGACTAAGAGTCAGGTAAGAGGAGGTAGGTATCTTTAATTAACATCTAAAGCTCAAAAAGATTATCATACCTGCCCATTTTTAATATTTAATTTCTATATTTTTATTTTCTTTTCAATTTGGTTTTTAACTCTCTTCTCCCCTACAGGTTCTCCAAATGCACCATGCCTATTTCTGGTTATGTAACCCCTCTCCGATTGTTACATTATCATCATCATTTTACCATCACTTGTGATTCTTTTTTTTTTTTTTTTTTTTTTTTTGAGATGGAGTCTCACTCTGTCGCCCAGGCTGGAGTGCAGTGGTGCGATCTTGGCTCCCTGCAACCTCCGCCTCCTGGGTTCAAGTGATTCTTCTGCCCCAGCTTCCTGAGTAGCTGGGACTACAGGCACATGCCACCATGCCCAGCTAATTTTTTATTTTTAGTAGAGACGGGGTTTCACCATGTTGGCCAGGCTGGTCTCGAACTCCTGACCTCAGGTGATCCACCCGCCTCGGCCTCCCAAAGTGCTGGGATTATAGGAGTGAGCCACATCACCCAGCCACTTCTGATTCTGACAATGTCTTCTTTCCTTTGTCATCAGGATGGTTCATCTCCACTTGCTTGAGGTGGACTGACAGGAAGCTGACACTCAGAGAATTTAGTAATTTCACCCAAGAACACACAGCAATTTGTTAGACCTAAATTGAGATGCATATCTGTTAACTTACCAAGTGCATGCTGTTGGTTTTACACCATTATAAATATACCAACATCATTAGGATTTATACCCAAATGGGTTATCAGGCAGAAAACTCTATTTTTCCAGTCCTAGTAAGTTTTCTGATCATCCAGCTTTCCAGGGATCACAACACTAATCTCCTGCCAAATCCTGAAAATGTGCTCCCATTCCTGGAGATGATTTTCCTTTACCTCTTCTCAACCTCTGCATGACAGTGACCATGAGGAGTTGTGAGTCTGCTCTTCAGTGGCTACACAGTGCTAACAGCTGTCCTGCATCCATTTTCTAGTGCAGTTCTGAAATTCTGACCAACCTCTACTAGCCAGGCACAAACATGAAATCCAATTGTAAGTAATAAAGTGCTGCAATGGAGCCTGGATGGAGCAAGGGCCTCAGAAAAAAGGGAGCAGCAGTGTAAGCCCCAACTTCTATGAAATCTTATTTCCTTTTTCAAGTTGATCTACATTCATTACATTCTCAAAGCCTCACATGAATGGAATGGAGAGTGTGATGGAAAAATCTGTTTAGAACTGAACCATTCTCTCCTCTTTCCTGTCAGGAAAGAGGTTATGCTGTGATAACAATACCAATCCTCAGTGACTTGAAACAGCATAGGTTTATTTCTTGCTGCTGCTGCATGCCCATTGTCATCCAACCAGAGGTTCTGCCTTGTCATCTTCACCCAAAGATGTGGACTGACAGAACACCCACCATCTCAAACACTCCTAGGTGCTGGGAAAGGAGGAAATAATAAGCATGACAAATGGCAAACTAGCACTTAGTTTCCAATCGGAAGTGGCATAACACTTTGACTCATTGGTCATTTGCCAAAGCAAATCTCATGGCTACATATAACTTCAAGGTGAGGGGAAATAAACCAATCATGTGGCAGGAAAGGGAACCAGAAATATTTGGTGGATGATATGAATGACTACTAACTGGCTCTTTGCCTCCAGTCTTGACCGATTGAAATTGATTATCCATGTTGAACCAGAGTAATCATTCCAAAATACAAATTTGAATATGTTACTCCCTTAGCCAAAAATAATATATAGAATCCCCCTGCAATAAAATGTGGAGCCCAAACTCCTAGATCGGGTTCCTGTTTTCCAGACTTTACCATCCCCACCTCCTAAGGCTCAACCACCTAGAATCCTGCAAGTTCACACAACTACCTGCAAGTGCAAGTGTATGAACCACACCAGGCTCTCTGCCACCTTTAGCCTTTGAACGTGCTCCTCCCTCTCTTTGGAAGACTCTCCCCTCCAGCTCCTCTCTACCACCAACAAAAAGCACTTCCCATGAAGTAACAGGATCTTTTTAATTGTCTACCTCTCAAAGTACACAGTAAGGAAAGTGAGGGTCAGGGTTTTGGCTCACTTATCCTTATACTCTTAGTGCCTGGCATAGTATCTGGCACAGTAGGTATGTAATGAATATTTATTACAGTCACCCCTCAGTATCCCCAGGGAATTAGTTCCAGGACACCCCTCAGATACCAAAATCTGCAGATGCTGAAGTCCCAAAGTTGACCTTGCAGAACTCACAAATACAAAAAGTCGGTTCTCACATCCATGAGTTTAGCATCCTGAGAATATTGTATTTTCAATTCATGTTTGCTTGTGGATGCAGAACCTGTGGGAATGGAGGATAGACTATATTTACAGAAAGAAATCCTAGGGCCTGCGTCCTCACGAAAGCATTGGCCTCCAGCGTGGGCTAACAGCAGAGCAGGGCGGAGCTGGCCCATGGTTGCAGACCTCTGTGCCAGCCTCCCCTAGACAAGAGCACCGTGTCGAGGAGAAGAAATCGGCTCAAGCTCTGGGCCCATGATGCCTGCTCCTTCCAAAGACTGTGGCAGATTACGCCAACTGGGATCCGGCGGTCGCAAGGTCTAGAGGAGTCAAGAAAGCCATCACCAACGTCGTTCAGCAGGAAGTAAAATCCCTTTGTGTCTTGGAAGCCTCCCAGGTTCCTGCAGAAGAAGCTGTTTCTGGAGGTAGTGAGCCCTATGACATCATCGACAGCAGTAACTTGAAGAAGAGCAGACATGGAAGAGAAATCTGCTTTTCACTTTATATTTTTGCCTGTCTTTTAAATGTTACAGCTGTGTGTGCTTTACATATTCAAAATAAATTGTGTGTATGTGTGTGTGTGTGTGTAAATTTTAAGCAGTTAATAGGTTCAAGGCAGAAGTGGCTACAAGTTTATGCCCCAGTAGGAATCAGTTCCAGTGCTCTTCATTAATTGCCAGGCAAAATAGCCATAGTAATGTAGTAACTAGAATAAAATTTAAATTAGGTTAGTTATAAACACCCTATCCATTATCG
This sequence comes from Homo sapiens, assembly GCF_000001405.40. Lineage (NCBI taxonomy): Eukaryota > Metazoa > Chordata > Mammalia > Primates > Hominidae > Homo > Homo sapiens. Next base: position 843,442 of record NT_167247.2, read on the forward strand.
ACTCCCAAAGCTGCTTCATCCATGAATATTTAATATGCCACAAAACTATCAGAGATTGCTAATATATCCCATAATATAATATGAAACCAAAAGATTTTTCAAAAAGCTAAACTTGGGAGAGACTCATAGCAAAATGACATGTAATTCTGAGGTCATCACTGAGTATGGTACTTGAGTCTATCGCCACATGTGAAAAGCATCTGAATATAATCCAAAAAGCTATTGCAGTCATGGGCTGCAGAATAATGCGGTGGCCAAGAGGCTGTAATATTGTGATATAATAAGATATACATATTTGGCCTTTGATCCCAGTTCCTGGCACAGAGTTCCTAAGGCCCTTGTAATTCCCTGAGCAATAGGGGTGCTAGGAGAGTCTTTTGTTCTAATATTTGGTCTTTGACCAAATATGTCAGTTCCTAACATTGAGCTCTAATCCCTTGGAATTTCCTGGGTAACAGGAGCATCTTTTGTTCTAATGAGGTGACCCCTTGGGGGACCCCTGAATGGGGACTCTGACTAGAAGGACCAAGCCATGATTAGAAGTTTGAAACTTTCAGCTCTACCCTCATCTTCCAGAAAATCGAGAGTGGCTAGACATTGAGTTAATAATCAACTATATCTATTTGATGAAGCCTCCACAAAAATCCCTGAACTACAGAGCTCCGAGAACTTCCAGGCTGGTGCACACACAGAAATGCTGAGAGGGCAGCATGCCCCAGAAGCTCTGTAACCCTTCCCACACACCTTTTCCTGTACATCTCTTCTATTTTGTTGTTCATTTGTATCCTTTGGAATATCCTCTATAATAAACTGGTAAATTGAACTAAAGAGCTTTCATGTATTCTGTGAACTGCTCTAATAAATCATCAAACCCAAGGAGGGGATTGTGGGAACCCCCAGTAGGGTTCCCAGTAGGTCAGAAGTTCCAGAAGCTTGGACTTGTGATTGGCATCTGAAGTGGGGAGCAGCCTTATGGGATCCTTTAACCTGTGGGATCTCACTGTATCTCCAGGTGAATAATGTCAGAAGTGAATTGAATTGAATTATAGGACACCAAGTTGGTGTCCACTGAAGAATGTATTGGTCAGTCTGGAAGAAAAACCAACATGTTGGCCGGGCGCGGTGGCTCAGCCCTGTAATCCCAGCACTTTGGGAGGCTGAGGCGGGCGGATCACAAGGTCAGGAGATCAAGACCATCCTGGCTAACAAGGTGAAACCCCGTCTCTACTAAAAATACAAAAAATCAGCCAGGCATGGTGGCAGATGCCTGTAGTCCCAGCTACTCGGGAGGCTGAGGCAGGAGAATGGCATGAACCCAGGAGGCAGAGCTTGCAGTGAGCCGAGATCGCGCTACTGCACTCCAACCTGGGCAACAGAGCAAGACTTCCATCTCAAAAAATAATAAAATAAAACAAAACAAAATAAAATAAAATAAAAACGAACATGTTTTGGTGACTAGAAGTGTTGAATGTTGAGAATATAGTAGGAGAAAATGGTCAGTTTGGGGGTTTTCTACAAATACACAGAGCCCTTTCGCATTGCGCAGCATCCAATTTGAATCCTGGACCTGCAAACTCATGCCCAGGATATAGTGCCATATCAAGGGCAGCATTTGCATGTTTCTGGCAGGCCGGACGTTCAGTAGCTGCAGGAGTTAGATCAGTGTTGGTGAGTGAAAGCCATGCTGTTGAACACATACAGACCTGCATCCTGCCACCATAGTTACTGCCTTCATAAGTCCATTTTTACCAGCACTAGGGTGGCCTGTGGAGAAGACTGCTTAGTGTGAACTGGCCTATAGTCACTGTTTACTTGGTTTAGAAGAGGTTTAGAGCCTCTTCTATTGTGGATGCTTTCTAGTGGGCATTAGCATGTAACACAAAGATATTCACAATTTTCCCAATTTCATAAATAAAAAGATTTCCCATTTTCATAAACCTATCCAAGTGCCTCTTCCTCAAATTTCATTGTTCTTCATCTTCTAAACCTCCTCCTTCCAAGCACTTGACCAACCAACCAAGCCATTTGCCACTGCCCATGTATTCACAAATATTCTTCCATTAGGCCATTATTCTTTCTACACAAAATAGATAATCAGGTGCACTACTCAAAGCTTTGCCCATTGGGAAGATTTACAATTTCTACTGTCTTCCAGAACTACTCTTGAGTGTGGCTATAATGCAGCAGCAGTCCATTTTCAGCTCACACCAATGTGTTGAGCAGATACATCCATGAACCAAGGTCATCTTATTTTTCCTCCATTAGCCAATCATAAAGTACCCCTCCCCCCCCCATGACAGATTAAAGATGGCTGCAAACTATCGGACAATCATCCCATCAGGAGGGCTATCTATTTCCCCTCCCCTTGAATCTGTGCTAGTCTATGACTGTTTTGACAAAAACAGCGTGGCAGAAGTGACACCATGCCAGCTCTGGGGCCAGCCTGTAAGAGAACTGGCTGTTCCTCCTTGCTATCCTGGAGTCCTGAATTTCCAAGTAAAAAGTCTATCATGCTGGGCAGACCATGTAGAAAGGCCCTGAGATAGCATGAAGACAGAGAAAATGAGCCCAAACTTACAGTGAACCCACCAAGGTGCCAGGCATGTGAGTGAAGCTGTCTCGGACCCTCTAGAGCAGTCCATCTGCCAGCTGAATACTTCCAAGGGATCCCAGCTGATGCAACATGGAATATAAGGAAACCCAGCCAATTTCGTTCCAAATTCTTGGCCCACAACATGTGAGATACAATAAGGTTTGTGTTCATTTAAGCCATTAAATTTGGGGAGACTTTGTTATGCAGCAATAAATAACTAGAACACTCCCATGAGCCACTGGTATGAGCAAGTTGGGAAGTACCAAGGCCACAGCGTGGAGGACATGGGAATCTGGGCCCCCCACTTCAGCACCTTGCATTTACCCTCCAGTTCTGCCCATGACTGATGCAGGATATACGACTTCTCTCTTACAACTGATGATGTTGCAACCACTAGACCTCATCACTTGATTGATTTGACAGGACCCAGCTCATGATGGACAGTTGTAGCCTAATAGCCATTTGATGTCTCATGATCAGGAGCTCTGTCTCTAGTAAGGCCCAAGAGCAAGCTAGGACTTGTTTCCTAATGGGGTTTACTTTCCTGCAGCAGACAGCATAGATTTGATGAAGAACCCCAGGGATCTATGTTGTGATTTTCCTTTCAAGGCTTGCCCAAAATGCCACACTGTATCTTTTCCCACCACTGATACCTTTAGTGCCCCAGAGTCTATTGAGTCACATGACCAAAGCACTACCACACGGCTGATATGACAGCTTAGAACAGCTGCGGACCCCAGGTCTGCTCTGGGCTTCAGTCAGTCGCTAGTAAACTGTTCCATGTGGTATTCCCATGAGTGTGGAATATGTTTCCTCTAGATCCTAAATAGGACAACCAAGCATTATCTACCCTGGAGAAGAGGAAGGAGAAGACCAAGATTCACTGCTGGAAGAAGAAAACAGCCTATGAGGCTACAGAAACAGGCAGAAAAGAACGTGGAGAAGAAAACTGACAAATACACACAGTTCTCCTCAAGACCTATGGACTCCTGGTCTGAGCCTAATAAAGACTGTTTATTCCAAAAAACACCTCTGTATTATAAATTCTTCTGTGTAATAGTGTGTTACTGTGCATCTCTTTCCAATTCTGCATTACTGGTGTTAAGTGTGAAATGCAATAATGTGTTCTTACTTTAGAGGGATGTCCTGGCACAAAGTCTAAAAACTTCAAAGATGTGGAGGATGCTGAATCTTCACAGGGTGTATTTCCCACTCTCTGGAGTGCATTTGTCTTACCAGTGCCGCCAATATGCTTGCCCTCATGGCTCATTCTGTTTGGTTAATAAGATATTGTTGATACAGTGGAACGATGTCATGTTTTGTGGAATGTCCAGAAGGTCCACGTCCAGTGGTGTGCTGCATGCAGCTAGCTCATACTGCCTCATGGAGCCAACTGTTAAATTTTCAGAAATTGTGCAAACCAGTTGTTAAACATGACTATTATTTTAAAATAAGTTATTTTAAGGCATAGGTAACAAATCCCTAAGCTCTTCATTTTCTAGGTATTTAACTATCTTATCATATTTTCCATACTCTTCTGGTTATTTATATCTGTTATGTCTATATAATAAAGATACTAAATAATGTTGTCTGTATAATAAAAATATTCTGGATTGGTGATGAGCAACAATCACCATCTTTCGTTTGAGTCTCATGGCCATGAGACCAACCCCATGCACTGCTCTGAGACCTGCCAGCCACTCCCATTCCTGGGGTGCGGTCCTCCTGGTTCAGAAGTGATTTTCCATTAGGCTATCTTTTAATTTAAACATGAACTCTGCTGTGCCCATCACTGTCTGTGTGCAGTCACAGGTAGAGGGAGAGCCTTCAGATGGCACCCTCAGCACTTCCCAACCCTTTCCTTCCCTCTAGGCCAGAAGGTGGTGGTCGTACAATGCGAGAGCATCAACATTTCTGGCAAGTTCTACAGAAACAAGTTGAAGTACCTGGGCTTTCTCCGCAAGCGGATGAACACCTTCTGGAGGCCCTGCCATTTCTCAGCCCTAGCCGCATCTTCTGGTGGATGGTGCAAGGCCCACTGCCCCACAAGACTCACCAAGGCCAGGCCGCCCTCAACCACCTCAAGGTGTCTGACGGCATTCCACCGCCCCATGACAAGAAAAAGCTTTGGTGGTTCCTGCTGCCCTCAAGCTTGTGTGTCTGAAGCCTACAAGAAAATTTGTCCGCCTGGACACCGAGCTCATGAAGTTAGCTGGAAGTACCAGGCAGTGACAGCCACCCTGAAGAAGAGGAAGGAGAAGGCCAAGATCCACTACCAGAAGAAGAAACAGCTTATGAGGCTACAGAAATAGGTGGAAAAGAACATGAAAAAGAAAACTGACAAATACACACAGGTCTCCTCAAGATCCATGGACTTCTGGTCTGAGCCTAATAAAGACTGTTTGTTTATTCCTCAAAAACAAACAAACAAAAAAAAACCCTCTGTATTATAAATTATTCTGTGTAATGGTGTGTTACCATACATTTCTCTACAACTCTGCATTTTCAGTAATCTCACATTGACAGTTTAAAATTGGCCATGGTGAGAATATTTACACTGCAGAAATCAGCAAATGATGTAAATCAAGGCTTTTTTGCCTGGACTTGCAGCACATCCATGTCCCATTGGACCCTATTATGACGGGAGAGTTTTAACATGGTACTGAAGCAAAAATGTAAATGTAAATGTACACTTATATCCATACCTGTAAATTCAAACTGCCTTTGGTCTTTCTTCCTGATAGTATTTGAAAAGAACACATTCAGCCAGGCACGGTGGCTCACGTCTGTAATCCCAGCATTTTGGGAGGCTGAGGCAGGCAGATCACGAGGTCAGGAGTTAAAGACCAGTCTGATCAATATGGTGAAACCCTGTCTCTACTAAAAATACAAAAATTAGCCAGGCGTGGTGGCATTCGCCTGTAGTCCCAGCTACTCAGGAGGCTGAGGCAGGAGAATCGCTCGAACCCGGGAGGGGGAGGTTGCAGTGAGCCAAGATCATGCCATTGCACTCCAGCCTGGGCAACAGTGAGATTCCATCTCAAAAAGAAAAGAAAAGAACACATTATTCACCAGATTAATAGCCATATAACATGGACCTGAAACCGTGCTAATCAGGCACAACAGCTGTAATTACAGCTATTTCTTGGTTGAGTTTGTGCTAGTCTGGTCATCTTTCAAGTTGCATCTGATATTTGTAGTGACCAGACTGGTGAATTAAATGTGAAATATGATAGAAACAAACCCCCGCACCCTTTAAAGGTGGCCTCAATCAGCCATTTCCCTTGAATTGTGATATTGTTCTTGATTCACTGTCTTTGCGGTAAGAGGTGTAGATTCAGGGCTTCCACTTCAATCTGTAGCTCGTACTCCACAGACTAAAGAACTATGTGGGGATTCTGCCAATGGCCAAGCATGTGCATTCCAGTTACAGATTTAGAGACTACAGAAATGACTACTGGGTAGATCCATGGACCTAGTACATGCCATTTATTAGCTGATCTCATAGGCTCCCTTTCTAATGGAAGAGAAGCATAACGATTCAGTTATATGAAGATTGGCTAAATGTTCTAAGTACTCTCCAAACCCAGAGCTTTATAATTCTCTGTTACTACAGTGTGCTCCATCTCAGAATAACTAAATAGAAAAGGAGGAAGCTGAGAACTTTAAAAACTGAGGTCCTGAATAGATGAATCATAAGCCTGAGAGGACTATCAGGATGCCCGGGACTCACTGGAGGTGGGAGTAGAGACACTGTCCTTTTTCTTCCTGTTGACAGAAAGAAGCAATGAGTGACCTCTTTTACCTACCACAGTGATGACTATTGTTGGCATATTTCCTATAGATATTCCCCTGCCCCTTTTACCATAATTTGTGGCTAATGAATTGTCTGTGGGCTATGGACCCTAGAGTCTCAGCAGAATTAATGAGCTCTTTCCCTCCGTGGGATCCCTCTACCACCATACCATGTCAACATTTCTACCTCCAATGCCACTAAAACAGAGGCACACCTCTGCCTAGACTGAGGGGGAAAATTGTTGGCAAAGAACTCAATGGCAAAGAACTCTATGGCAAAGAACTCGATGGCAAAGAACTCAATGGCAAAGTTCTGACCTTGGCTTCATCCTCCCTGCAGAGATTTGGTGGGCTTTGGTTGGTGCAAACCCTCTACAGTTAGCAGATTTGGGTTCAAACATCAGCTCTGGTGCTTACTAACTATACTGCCTTGGGAAAGTTATTTATATTTCTTTGTTTCAACTTCTTCATATTGGAAGGAAGAGAATAATATGTAGAGTTGTGAAGGATAATCAGCAGTGTAGAGTAAATGTTTAATAAACAACTTGGTTGGTGGCAGATGGGGAGAGCCCTAATTTGTAGTGTTTGCCAATTTTCATAGTGTAAATATTCCTGCCATGGCTGTCTCAAGCCACTGATGGTTTAATAACTGTCTCACAAAATTCCTAAAAATTTACTAATCAAGAGATAATCTGAGCCAGCTCCAGCTCATCACACACATGTGTGCTTAGAAAAGTGCCAGATGGTCAGCATTAGCAATCCCTATTGTGACCAGAGATGCAGTTGCCCATTCAAGGATGCCCATTCCTTTTTATTTTTTTGTTTCTTCCTGATGTACAAGTGGAGGCTGGGCACCAGTTAAGAGCTCTGTCATGGGGAATTGCTGGTACCAGAAGAGATTTTTATTTGATTGAAGGTAAGCAGAACCTTTGCTCTTTGGCTGTGAGATATCAGTTTCCGCCTATCCTCAACACTGGAGGACCAGATTTGGAGTTAAACTTACTCTAAAATCCTAGTCCTAGCACTTATTGACTAGGTAACCTTCTACAAGTCTCTTGTCCCGTCTGTGACTGTTCACTTTTTGGTAAAATTGGGATAATTTTATCTCTTTGTAGGGTCACTGTGAGAACCAGATGTTCAGGGAGTTGTTTATCACCATGCTTTGATGGTAGCTACTAACAGCAAGGGTAGCTCATGGTCACTAGACTATCATAAACCCCTTTCAAAGGACCTCCCAACTCCTTCCCCAGCTCCTAACACAATGCTGGCACTTTGGGGCTCAAGAAATGAATAAATGCGTAGACCAATGCATGAATATTTCAGAAGGAAAAGGAGTAGGAGAAAAATAATGAGAGTGGAAAAGACAGAGAACAAAGAGGGAAAGGGAAACAGTCACTAAGAAAGGTGTAATCTAAAGAGATTCAGCGATATAGCAGAGAAAGGAAAGGAATGAAATGCCAAGATAATGACAAAGTTAGAAATGTAGAAAATTAATTAGGATGACACATGATGGATGAATAAGAAACAATTGGCTATTGTTTAAGGTTACATGCAAAGAATTTTATATTACAAAGAAAACAAAGGAGGGGGCGGCAGCCAATGAGCATGAGGTTTCTTTTGGGAGTAATGAAATATTCTGGAAGTAAATGGTGTTGGTTGCACAACTTGTGAATATACTTTAAACCACTAAATTACACACTTCAAAAGGGCGAATTTTATGGTACGTTAAATACATCTCAAAAAATGAAAGCGAAGGCATAATTAAAAATTTAGAGGCCAGGCACAGTGACTCATGCCTGTAATCCCAGCACTTTGGGAGGCCGAGGCAGGCAGATCACCTGAGGTCAGGAGTCTGAGACCAGCCTGGCCAACATGGCGAAACCCCGTCTCTACTAAAAATACAAAAATTAGCTAGGCATGGTCTTGAGTGCCTGTAATCCCCGCTACTTGGGAGGCTGAGGCAGGAGAATAGCTTGAGCCCAGGAGGTGGAAGTTGCAGTGAGCAGAGATCGTGCCATTGCACTCCAGCCTGGGCTATAAAACGTGACTCTAAAAAAAAAAAAAAAAAAAAAAAATTAGAATGGTGGTGACATCTTGAGGGGTGACAAATTGAGAAAATTGAGAGATCAGGGAGGGGCACACAGAAGCTTCTAAGATACTTGAAACATTTGCTCAGTTCCTTAACCTAGTTGTTTAAATATGTAACAATATTTTGAAAATTAAAAATATATTTTAAGTGAGAAAAGAATAATGGGAAAAACAGGAAGAAGACAGAGACAATGGCAGAGAGTCCTGGCAAAAAGGGAGATGTGATAGAGCTTAATACAAGATGGGGACCCTGTAAGAGGAAGACATTCCTGCCATCCTCTGAGCTCCATGGCACGTTTGTGGTGTGGCCCACCATCTCATCTCCTCCCCTCATGGCCTTCCTAAGGTCCTGTAAGACCCTGAGTCCTTGTCTCTGACCTGCCAGAGTGGCTTCAGTCTCCCACCCCCAGCCCTCAACTGACCTTCTATGCCCCAATACATCTCTATTTTAAGGAAAAAGTCCAGTCACCTCCTCTAGGAAGCTTTCCCTGATATACCCAACCAAATTGGTCAGTCATCCTACAGAACCTTTACTCTCATTCACCCAGTACATTGGTGTTACTGGCCTTTAAATTTTGGACTCTCTTTTTGGTGGTGTCTGAAAGACTACAAGATTTAGGGAGAGTGATTCTTGGAGTCTTTCGATAATGTTCCTGTGAACCCTGGTGATTTTAACATGCTTGTGGCCACTCTTGCCTCCTACTTGTAAGCTACTCATGGCAAGGACGAAGCATGTGGACCAATTTCCACCCCTCCCTGAAAGTCAGTTGGTTCAGAAACTTAGGTTGCTAAAAAGGCCAGGGCAACCAACCTGATCTCTCTATAAGTAGGGATATCTTAAAACAAAACAAAATCTCTCTCATAGATAAAACACTGTCTCTGATAAGCTTACTTGCAAATGAAAAAATACAAAATAAATGGAATGTACAGAGTTCTATAAAATTCATTCAACCAATAGAGCAATAATTGAGCCTACAGAGACAACTTATCAGAAAATTCATTCAATATACCTTACGAGATCATCCAATAGATAAGAGACAACTCTAGAACAGCATTCAGAACATAGTGGCACTCAATAAATTTCCCCTGAATGAATGAATTAATGAATTAGTGCATATTTTAATCAGCCTCCTTTGCCCTCACCCAGGAAGTCAGAGGCACCAGTGTGAGTATCCATCTGCTGTCCAGTACATTCATGGATTCCTCACTCTCACTAGACAATGTTTGACCAGGAAGAACAGGGAATGAGAAGGAGCTGCTGGATGGTGATGAGCCTTGGAAAGGGAGGCTGGGCGAGCAGAGACAGAAGAGAAACACCTACCTGCTGTGACCTCACAAACACCCAGGCTGAGTTTTGATAAGACAGGTTGAATCACACTGGGGTGACAGCCTCATCCCTCCAGGTACAAACAAGAACAGGCCATGGTTAACCAAAGCTCCACACCGGGCTTCCTCCTTCTGGGCTTCTCTGAACACCCAGGGCTGGAAAGGACTCTCTTCGTGGTTGTCTTCACTTCCTACCTCCTAACCCTAGTGGGCAACACACTCATCATCCTGCTGTCTGTGCTGGACCCCAAGCTCCACTCTCCAATGTACTTTTTCCTCTCCAACCTCTCCTTCTTGGACCTCTGTTTCACCACGAGTTGTGTTCCCCAAATGCTGGTCAACCTCTGGGGCCCAAAGAAGACCATCAGCTTCCTGGACTGCTCTGTCCAGATCTTCATCTTCCTGTCCCTGGGGACAACTGAGTGCATCCTCTTGACAGTGATGGCTTTTGATCGCTACGTGGCTGTCTGCCAGCCCCTCCACTATGCCACCATCATCCACCCCCGCCTGTGCTGGCAGCTGGCATCTGTGGCCTGGGTCATTGGGCTAGTGGAGTCAGTGGTCCAGACACCATCCACCCTGCACCTGCCCTTCTGCCCCGATCGGCAGGTGGATGATTTTGTCTGTGAGGTCCCAGCTCTAATTCGACTCTCCTGTGAAGACACCTCCTACAATGAGATCCAGGTGGCTGTTGCCAGTGTCTTCATCTTGGTTGTGCCTCTCAGCCTCATCCTTGTCTCTTACGGAGCCATTACCTGGGCAGTGCTGAGGATTAACTCTGCAAAAGGGCGGAGGAAAGCTTTTGGGACCTGCTCCTCCCATCTCACTGTGGTCACCCTCTTCTACAGCTCAGTCATTGCTGTCTACCTCCAGCCCAAAAATCCCTATGCCCAAGAGAGGGGCAAGTTCTTTGGTCTCTTCTATGCAGTGGGCACTCCTTCACTTAACCCTCTCATATACACCCTGAGGAACAAGGAGGTAACCAGGGCATTCAGGAGATTGCTGGGGAAGGAAATGGGGCTCACACAAAGCTGAGGGAGAGCTGCTTAATGTGCTTTAAAAGAGAGGAGATTCTATGTGCTTTTATCAGAAAGTTTGAGTTCCCTGCCCCTCTGCCTTCTTCACACCCATTACATTGTGGGAATGGATGAAAGCCACATGTCTGTGTGTGTGCATGTATGTGTGCAAGAGACAGCGACTGAAATGTAGTAAAGGGAGGTATCTTTATGCGAAAAATTATAGGCATCAAGTATATTTTATATTTTTTTCTACTTTAAGTCTTCGCCTCCATAGTCATGTTCCTACCTTTATCACTTCCATTTTTAATTCCCCTCCCTTGCCATATCCCCACTATTCCTTCACCTCCAATTCTAATTCCTACCATATCTTCTTTGCTTCTCCCTCATGTTTTTCCCACTTCACTATATGTCTGTTTTGTATTCTCATTCTATTTTATTCCTCAAATAACAGCAAAAGAGAAGGGGAAGCTGAAGCCCAGCTAAGTTCGGAAACTCACCCAAGAACACACAGTGTCCACAGCATCAGAACTAAAATCCAGGCCCCATAATTTTCAGTCAGGCAACTCTCAAATACACACTGTTGCTTTCACACCATAATCAAATATCCCAGTATTTCAGGCTTGAGCCTTACAAAGGAAACTTAGCTTCTTCAGTCCTATTTCTTCTCTTACAATGCCCACAAATCGCAGGTAAAGGAGCAGCCAAAAAGACACAAAAATATCTTCATGTTTAGGCTGGCACATTGTGGACCTTGGTGTCATCTACCGGCCAAATATGGTATTGCATGTGACATCCCAGACTTCTGCTCCAGGGTCATCCGAACTGTACTTTGCTCAAAGACATAGATATGGTTATGATACTATAAGCATTTATGTAATTGTTATGTTAACCCAAGTAACACTTAAAGTACAGATGCTCCTTGACTTATAATGATGTTACCTCCCAAAAAACCTATCATATACTGAAAATATTGTAAGTTGAATATGCATTTCATACACCTAACCTACCAAACATCATAGCTTAGCCTAGCCTACCTTAAACATACTCAGAACACTTACATTAGCCTACAGTTCAGCAAAATCCTCAATACAAAGTCTATTTTATAATAAAGTTTTGAATATCTCATGTAATTTACTGAATACTGTACTAAAAGTGAAAAAACAGAATGGTTATATTGGTACTCAAAGTACGGTTTCTACTGAATGTATCTCTTTTGCATTATTATAAAGTCAAAAAATGGTCAAAGTCAGGAACCCCCTGCAATTTACACATATTGACTTATTTAACCCTTATAACAACACTATGAAGCAGATAATATTATTATCCTTTTTCAGAGGTAAAAACTAAAACACAGAATTTATGTTACCACTTGCAAATGTGCAAGACAGGATTTGAACCCAGGAAAACTGGCTCCAGACTCCTTGCTCTTAACCTTGCCTTTTGGTAAAAATAATGCCTCCCAGGCCCAGGTGAAAAGCTTCAACTTCTCAACAAGCTTTGAGGAAATCATTTCAATCTAAAACTATATCTAAATGATCCCCCAGCTGAAGGGGTTTCACTTCCTTAAAATAAGAGTTTTTCAAATACTTCAAAGCATAAGAAACAACAGAACAATAAAACTTTTGGAAAAAGTTGTGTTACAGTTCATTGTGTGTGTGTTTCTGGCTTAGTTCACCCACTAGATTTCAGGCTCTCAGAAGGCAAGGACCAGAATTTTGCATAAAATTGGCACCCAGTTTTATAAATGTATAAGTGAATGAATGAATGAATGAATGAATCTTACTCTCCAAAGAGAATATATAAAAGGTTCTGGGGTTCCAATCCCACATACGCTGTCTCCCAGCTTTTCCCTGGCAAGGGCAGCAATACCAAATTCCCTTTTGAGTACACGCCGATAAAATAAGAAAAAGGAAAATCTTAGTTTTATTTCTAGTTCCAACATAAAATGATTTTGATTCAACATTTATCCTGGCATCAGCACAGAACAGCAACATTAATTCTATTATAATCCTAATCTTTATCCTAGCCATCCTTGTGTTAATCTTATTGTCTCCTTGACCTCGTTATTAGAGCATATTCTAATCTTAATGTAGAGCCCCCATTTTATATTTAATAATCCTAATCAGTCAGGCGCAGTGGCTCACACCTATAATCCCAGCACTTTAGGAGGCCAAGGCGGGCGGATCACGAGGTCAGGAGTTCGAGACCAGCCTGACCAACATGGTGAAACCCTGTCTCTACTAAAAATACAAAAAAAAAACTAGCCTGGCGTGGTGGCGTGCTCCTGTAATCCCAGCTACTTAGGAGGCTAAGGCAGGAGAACCTGGGAGGCGGAGGTTGCAGTGAGCCGAGATCATGCCACTGCACTCCAGCCAGGGCGACACAGTGAGACTCTATCTCAAATAATCATAATCATAATCATAATCTCAGCCCTACAGGTAAGGCTAAGCTTAATTCCACTTTTCAAATCACTGTAGTAAGACCTTTTTTTCATGACCCCCTCTATCTGCTTTCTCTTACTGGCACCTAGAAATGTCTACACTTTTCTCCTGTTTATCATCTCCCTACAGCCAGAGGCTATAATGTTTGTATATAGTAAAATCGTTTCTAGACTGACTCTAGGGGAAATGCAACAGAGAATTAAATAAAGTAGTCTAAAAGAATCTGCTTTGTTGAATAAATGGTTTAACATAGGACTTAGGACTAACATCTCTTATCCTAAATTCATTGTTTCCATGTGACAGTCATCTATTGGATACTCTGTGAGAAAATCCAATATAAAGTTACTCAGTCACAACCCCCACAATGTCCAGTGAAAATAGGGATGGTCAGGCACATAGTGCCAGCATACATGACAGTTACACAACTGAATTGGAGCAAATAAGAGTCTACAGGAATACAGAATTAAAGAATAATGTGTGTGAGTGCTTGGAGCGGCAGTGATCATGGAAGCCTCTTAGAGGTTTGAACCACAGAAGAGTAAACAAAATAAGAAGTATTTGCTGACTGTGTAGAAATGAGATGATGCAAAGACCCCCTTTTTAGGGGCTTGGGGACTCCTAAGCATGGAAATAAAGCAAAATCCTGTGTTTCTTCAAGGAAAATTCCAGGCACCTAGCTGGCTCTGAGAAATAAGTAGCAACTTGAAAAGCAACAAGGTAATAGCAGCCTAAGACAATAGCCAAGGAAGTTAAGCGTTCTGAATAGGTTTGCTTTCCTCATAGAAACTAAAGATAACCTCTTAACATATGTCTCTGCGTTGTCTCTCAGAAACTCGGAACCCCACCAAATGAATCTGCTGGCATAGACCTCAGAGGACAGGAAAATGACTGAACTTTATAACCATCATCCTTTGTTCTAAGTTTCTTCCTGAGGAGCTTGGAGAAAGTAACACCTTCTAGGCAGTTAACATTTTTCTACTGGACCCCAAATTTTTAAACAAAGGTTCTCTTCCTTAACTAATTGCAAATTTGGGGTTTTTTTGTTTTTGTTTGAGACAGGCTTTTGCTCTGTTACTTAGGCCAGAATGCAGTTGCAGTCGTAGCTCACTGCAGCTTAACCACCCAGGCTCAAGCAATTCTCCTGCCTCAGCCTCTAATTAAAAAAAATTTTGTGTGTGTAGATACAGAGTCTTGTTATGTTTCGCAGGCTGGTCTCAAACTCTTGGCCTTAAGGGATCCTCTCTCCTTGGCCTCCCAAAGTGCTGGGATTACAAGCATGACCCACACCTGGCCAGAAAAATCTTTGAATCTACCTATAACCTGTAAGTCCCTGATTCAAGATATCCCACCCTTTTAGATCAAAACCAATGTGGAGGCCGGGCACGGTGGCTCACGGCTGTAATCCCAGCCCTTTGGGAAGCAATGTGGGCGGATCATGAGGTCAGATCAAGACCATCCTGGCTAACACGGTGAAACCCCATCTCTACAAAAAATACAAAAAAAAAAATTAGCCAGGCGTGGTGGTGGGTGCCTATAGTCCTAGCTACTCGGGAGGCTGAGGCAGGAGAATGGCATGATCCTGGGAGGCAGAGCTTGCAGTGAGCCAAGATCACACAGCTGCACTCCAGCCTGGGCAACCGAGCAAGACTCCATCTCAAAAAAAAATGTGGAACCTCTATGCACTGATTTCCAATGTTCCTTGTAGCTTCTGCTTTTCTGAAATTTACCCCTGCCTTTTTTTGTTTCCTGTTTTTTGAGACAGGGTCTTGCCGTGTTGTCCAGGCTGGAGTGCAGTGGCATAATCATGGCTCAGTGCAGCCTCAACCTCCTGGATTCAAGGGATCCTCTCACCTCAGCCTTCTGAGTGGCTGGGAGTACAGGCATATGCCACCATATTTGGCTAATTTTTTTATTTCTTGTAGAGTTGGGGTCTCACTTTGTTGCCCAGGCTGTTCTTGAACTCCTAGGTTCAAGTGATCTTCCTGCCTCAGCCTCTCAAAGTGCTGGGATTACAGGTGTGAGCCACTGCACACTGCCTTACCCCTGCCTTTAAAAACCCATGTTACAATAGTTAGTCAGACACGAGCAGGGCAGGAAAGGGCCTCCTTCCCCACCAGGAATGTCAGGCAACCATCAGGTGATAGGCGGTTGTTAAGCTGTCTCTCTAAAATAATCATTGGTCACAGCCTGTGCCAGGGAAAAACAGTCTCCCAATAAATAGAAAAACCTGAAACTAAGATCTCAGGAGTTGGGCAAGTGGGCTCATGCATGGGCACTAAGGGAGAAATGACAGCATTTAACTGGTTTATAACCTTATAGGAACACTCCCTGGTAAGGGAAGAATGCCTCAAGTCAGCATGCATACTACTCCAGTAAACATACCGTGCATGCAGCCCCTCCCAAGCACTAGCAGGCCACTGTACATGCAGACAGCCCACCCCAAGGGAAGATTCAGGGGAGAAGGGACCCTGGAACCCTGCCAACATATAAAACCCTAAGTCAAGGTCAAAACCACGCACTTGATCTCTCAAGTTGCCTGCTTGGCCCCCTTCCAAGTTGGCTTTACTTTATTTTGTTCCTGCTGTAAAGCTTTTTAATAAACTTTTACTCCTGTTCTAAAATTTGCTTCGGTCTCTTACTCTGCTTTATGCCCCTCAGTCAGATTCTTTCTTCTGAGGAGGCAAAAATTGAGGTTGCTGCAGACCTGTACAGATTCGCAGCTGCTAACATATTTTCATGCCATGTAACTCTGATACATTCTGCCGCTAATACCCTTGCCTGCAAGACATCAGGGAGGCCAGGACTTGAGTGTTTAGCTGCCTGGTCCTCCCTGCGTAGTGTCCTGCAACAAATGCCTTTCTTTCTATTGGTGCAATCCTTGGTGTAAGTATCTGGTTTTATTGCACCAGGCAAGCAGACCCCAGTTTGGTTCTATAACAGAAAAGGCTAAAGACAAAAATAAGCATGTTGTGCATTAAGATAGGGAGATGTGGGGGAAGGAGTTACACCGAGGAGCAAAATGATTAAGCAGGAAGGTAGAGATTATTTCAGAAAGATACAGAAGCTACTGAATTGAATACAACCAGAAAAAAAAAAAAAAAAAAGGATCCCTTACAGATGTTTCAAACCTACATGATTTAGGTCTCCTGAGGGCAGGCACTTAACTATTCATTCTAACATGACATGTGAGTTGGAAGCCTTAAAGGAACATTATTCAAGAACCTCGTCTCTACTAAAAATATGAAGTCTCTAATAAAAATTAAAAAGTCTCTACTAAAAATACAAATAATAATAATAATAATAATAGCCAGGGCTGGTGGCAGGTGCCTGTAAACCCCTTGCTTGGGAAGCTGAGGTAGGAGAACCACTTGAACCCAGGAGGCGGAGGTTTCGGTGAACCGAGATCACGCCACTGCATTCCAGCCTGGGAGTTAGAGTGAGACTCCATCTCAAAAAAATAATAATAAAATAAAATAAACCTCAAACGTCTGAAGGGCTCACCGAATCATGAATAGATGCTTATGTGTAGGGCCCAGCCCTGTCTTATCCTTCTATCTCCCAGGGAAGGGGAAACCTTCTGGCTCCTCCTATGCAGAATTAATCGCTCACCCTTGAAGGGTACCAGTATATGCCACCTCAAACTATCTTTAGCATGTGGATTATTTTGAGCTAACAATTGAAAATCATCAGACTAGTGAATGCTGTAAAACAGGATACAAGTTTTCCTTTTGTAAATAAATTCACATCTGTAAAGGTACAACTCTTACTAATGGAGAAGACATCAGTTTAAATCTACATAACAAACCTTTTCTATCTGTAAAGGTACAACTCTACTAATGGAGAAGACAGTTTAAATCCACATAACAAACCTTACTAAACCACTTTGTTCCATATTTTCCTGGTCACTTTCCCATAACTTGCCTGCCCATCTACCACTCACCCAGAAGCCCCAAACTCCTTTTCCTTTACCTAGCCAAGATGTTATACAGTTGCTAAGAACAACACGATTTGAACTCCATGGATTCACTCACACATGATTTTTTTCAGTAAGTATATTGAAAATTTTTGGAGATTTGTGACAATTTGAAAAAACTCACAAACCACATAGCTTAGAAGCACTGGAAAAATTAATGGGCCAGGTGCTGTGGCACATGCCTGTAATCTCAGAACTTTGGGAGGCCAAGATGGATGCATTGCTTGAGCTCAGGAGTTGGAGACCAGCCTGGGTAACATGGGGAAACCCCATCTCTGCAAAAAAAAAAAAAATTAACTGGGCATGGTGGCACGCACCTGTAGTCCCAGTTACTAGGGAGGCTGAGGTGGGAGGATCTCTTGAGCCCAGGTGGTTGAGGCTGCAGTGAGCTGTGATTGCACCACCTCACTCCAGCCTCAATTAAAAAAATAAATAGGGCTGGGCACGGTGGCTCACGCCTGTAATCCCAGCACTTTGGGAGGCCGAGGCAGGTGAATCACGAGGTCAGGCAATCGAGACCATCCTGGCTAACACGGTGAAACCCCGTCTCTACTTAAAAAATACAAAAAATTAGCCAGGCGTGGTGGCACACACCTGTGATCTCAGCTACTTGGGAGGCTGAGGCAGGAGAAACGCTTAAACTCAGGAGGCGGAGGTTGCAGTGAGCCGAGATGGTGCCACTGCACTCCAACCTGGGCGACAAAGACTCCATCTCAAATAAATAAATAAATAAATAAGAGAAAAGTATGTCATGTGTAAACCAAAAATAAAATTCTAAGCCCCCTAACTGACAGGAAGAAAGGTAAGACATGCCAATGATACCCTCCTTCCTCTGGAGTTTAGGGACAACTGACCAGCATTAACATTACAATAGAGATCATAAGACTGACAAAAGATTCTCTGTAGCAATAAAATAGTCAACTCCAACCTGACTCTGATACAGCATCACACCACAGATAGCAGGCCCTGAAGGAAATCAAAGTATTTTACCCCAAAATATACTTATTTGACATTTTGAAATGACTCTGCAAAGCCATTTCTTGTCATGGGGATTTGCATTTTGTAGAGAATCCCCTTCCCCTTCCAGGTCTTTTTCTGATCCAGGAGGGATTTTACTAATGAGTCTGACATCTTTTAAGGTGCGATAAGAAACATTTACCATCTATTCTTTCTGAGGCCTGGAAGCTTCATCTACGTAACAAGAATCTTTGCTTCCACAAACATCTCCCCCAACGCCACCTCCACGCCCCCTTAACTCAAGCATTTCTTTCTGCTGACTTCAACTCTTTAGGCAGGGCTTAACTTTTTCAACCAATTGGCAATCAGAAAATCTGAATCCCCCTATGACCTGTGAGCTCCCTTGCTTCGAGATGTCCCGCCTTTCTGAGCTGAACCAATATATACCTTACATGTATTGATTTATGTCTTTGTCAGCAACTTCTGGCTCCCTAAAATGTATGAAACCAAGCTGTAACCCAACCACCTTGGGCACATGTTCTCAGGAACTCCTCAGAATGGCTCAGAATAAACCTCTTCAAATATTTTACAAATTTTACTTTTTTCATCAACAAATAAATGTATAAAATATATGTAGATACTACCAAAAAATATACACAAATCTACTATAAAAACCAAAAATTTGGCCAGGCACTTAGGGAGGCTAGGTGGGCAGATTGCTTGAATCCAGGAGTTCATGACCAATCCGAGCAATATGGTAAAACCCCATCTCTACTAAAAATACAAAAAATTTGTCCGGCATGGTGGCATGTATCTGCAGTCCCAGCTACCCAGGAGGCTGAGGTAGGAGGATCACCTGAGCCTAGGAGGTTGAGGCTGAAGTGAGCCAAGATCACGCCACTGCACTCCAGCCTGGGCAACAGAGTGAGACCATGTCTCAAAAAATAAATAAAATTTATCAAAACTTACGCACACACTTACAGACCATACATAAGCCACTCAAAGTCAAGAGAAAGCTTAACAAAAGATGCAGAATTAAATCATAACGGCATAAAATTAACTGTAGTGTATACTGTTCTACTGTAATTTGATAGCCACCTCCTCTTACTATTGCAAAGAGCTCAACTGTTGCAAGTATCTGCCTAAAATGCCAAGTGACACTAATCATCTCTGCATGAGCAGTTCATCTATCCAGTAAATTGTGTATAGCAGTAAAGAGTGGTCTCTCAAGATTCTTGCATATATTTCATCATGTCTAGAGCAATACTGTGAACCTTAAATAACACCATAGGGCCCATATGAAGTGCCAACAGTGATGCTGGAAGTTCTCCCAAGAAGCAAAGTCATGACTCTATAAAAAGTTGAATTGCTTGATATACACCATAGATCAAGGTCTGTTGCTGGGGTTGCTGCCATTTCAGACAGACGATTCATCATGTAAATGATGTAAACTTAAGGCATCAATAAATACAGTATAGTACCCTATATGTATTTTCCTTACAATTTTCTTGATAACATTTCCTTTTCTCTAGCTTACTTTATTATAAGAATACATATATAAGATGTATAGCATACAAAATATGTGTTGATCAACTGTTTACACTACTAGTAAGGCTTTCAGTCAACAGTAAGCTATTAGTAGCTAAGTTTGGAGAGAGTCAACAGTTATGTGCAGATTTTCGTTTGTGTGTGGGGTCAGTAACCCTAAACCCCAAGTTGTTCAAGGGGCAACTATATGAGCTCCAAATTCTTTTTTTTTTTTTTTTGAGTCAGAGTCTCGCTCTGTCAACCAGGATGGAGTGCAATGGCACGATCTCTGCTCACTGCAACCTCCGCCTCCCAGGTTCAAGCAATTCTCCTGCCTTACCCTACCAAGTAGCTGGAATTACAGGTGCCTGCCACCACACCCGGCTAATTTTTGTATTTTTAGTAGAGACAGGGTTTCACCATGTTGCCCAGGCTGGTGTCAAACTCTTGACCTGAAGTGATCCCCCAGCTTCAGCCTCCCAAAGTGCTGGCATTACAGGCATGAGCCACCACACCCAGCCATGAGCCCAAATTCTAACTGCCCCTTTGCATTGTTCACCACTGGGTACTCCCATGTGTACATGCATGAAGCAAATGTTAATAAACTTCTATTTGTTTTTCTCTCATTAATCTGTCTTATGCCACTCTAATTTACACAGCCACGGCTGGAGAACCTAAGACAGGAAGAGGAAAAGGATTTTCTTTCCTACACTCCCTACACACACCTGGGGAATGCACTCTGCAGGCCACATGACGTTGCTTCTGCATCTGTCTCCCTAGCTTTGCTGCATCAGTCCCAGTGTCCAGCCCACACAGGCCTCAGTACGTGTCCCTATCACAGCTGCTGCTGGTGCTGAACTCACCTTCCAGGAGAGTCTCCAGCATATCCTTCCACACTCCAGGGAGCCATGTAAGTGGATGCCATACTGGTTAAATATTTTGAGTAGCATCCCATTTGAGGGAAGCTGTCACTTAACATGAACCCACCATAAGGTGGCTAATGAATAGCACCTTTCTGCCTGCCTTCAAGTGACAGCCTCCCTTAACATGAAGCCTACCTTTTGGTAAGCTTCATGTCAAGTGATAGCTTCCCTCAAGGGCAAAGTCACAGAATTATCTGTTTCAAAAGCCTGAGTGGATAAACAAACTGTTGCCTATCCAGGGTGTCCTAAAACTACCAAGGACTGTGGGAGGAGCAATTGGCAGGACCATCTTCAACACTTCCCATTTTCTGCTGGGGTGAGATCACAGCTGGCCCCCAAGCATCCAGAGGAATCCAGGGCCTGGTAAGAGGCTGTATGACAGCAAATATACAAGGCTAGGGTGCTCAGCTCAGAGGGCGGACAAAGAACATGTTAAAGTGAAGTGAACACTGGCTTTGCAGCAGGCAGACCAGATGCAGCAGACTGCTTTTACCAAAGCAGCCTGCAACACACATTTGTCCCATTCCACATGTTCTCTTTACAGTGTGACTTACGCTCATCCCACCAACAGGTGAAGTGTTTCCTCTCCTGAACCTAGGCATGGCCTTGTGACTGCTTGGACCAGTGGAATATCTCAGAAGTGATGCTACGTGACTTTCAAGGCTTTGTCAGGGAAAAAAAAAATACAGCTTAAACCTGGCTGACTCTCTACAACTGCCTCCACTTGCCTTTGGAACTGTCATTAGGTCATGAGGAATACCAGGCCACATGGAAAGGTCATGTGTAGGGGTCTCAGCTGACAGCCAATACCTCCTTTAGATGCTGAGTGAAGGATCTTTTGGACAACAACCCTCAGACTTCAGATCTTCCAGATGCTGTGGAGCAGGGTGAACCCTCCCCACTGTACCCTATCTGAATTTCTAGCCCACAAAAACCATGATGGATAATAAATGATTATTGTTGTCTGAAGCCATTTAGGGTAACAGGTTTTGTGGCAATAGATAATAATATATGCAGTTTGAATACTGGCTTTGCTCCTTAGTTTTGTGACCCCAGAAAATGAACACACAGTCCCCTTGCTTTTAGATTTGTCCTTCACACCAGAGCTAATGGCTGTGAGATGCCCAACACTCCTGGTTGCTCTCTTAAGTGATCTCGTTTGTTTTTCTGCTTACTGGTCATCTTCCCACGTCGAGAAGGTACAACGCTTGAAAGCCATCTTACTCACCATTTTGCCTCAGTGCCAAAAAAAGCACCTGCCACAGCAACTCACCATCAACACTTGTTGAAGATCACCTAACTAATGTAGCAGCCAAGTGCACACAAAGTGCTCTCTACTGGTAGACAACCAACAGGAGGGCAGGGAGGCAACAGGCTAAGTCAGGGAAAAGCAGGGGACATGGAAGCCTGCAGGCAGTCTACATTCTAGGACATTCCAGAGTTAGAAAGTGATCTGAACCCTACCCAAAGGCAGGTCTGAAAGGCAAAGCCTGCCTCACAGTGCACAGGGAGCAAGTCCTCCCAGAACTGCCAAGCGGTAGCCTCTCCACCTGGCAACACATCTCCTTTGCACCCCTTGGGGTACAATTATATATTAATTATATATCATTGTGTGTGTGTATATGTATATATGTGTGTGTGTATGTGTGTGTATATCTCATTGTAATTATATATAATGTACTAATAATTAGTATTAGTGCTAATCAATAGCACCATTCACCCTGAAAAGACACTTTCAGAAATGAATACATGAAGTCTCATTGTAGATAAGCATTGACAGATGAACATTTGCAACTGATCTTAATCATCAGGAACATTAACTGTGAACTCAAATAAGTAGTTATCTCAAAATTGTTTTTCTTATTAGTAGGAGGCCTGTATGAAAAATAGTGCTCAGTCATGTTTTAAATTTGGCCAGTAAAAATCTTACAAGTTCTCTTCTAAGTACCTTTTTAATATTCTCAATCTCACTCCTTCCCACCCCTTTGCACTGGGCACTCTGCTAGCCGCACCGTTTGGCTCTCGACTCCTGCACTCCTGCTAGCAGAGTGTCTGGCTTACCTTTGGCCACAGTAGAACTTTTCACCCTTTGTTTATAATTTACAGCCCACTTAAGTGCAATGCAAGTTTGAGATGATAATTTGGGTCTTTTAGGTTCTACCCAGGGCTGTTCTATAGCTCCTGCTACTGTTGTTTCTTTTTTTTTTTTCTTTTTTTTTTTTTTTGAGACAGTCTCACTCTGTCGCCCAGGCTGGAGTGCAGTGGCACAAACTCACTGCAACCTTCATCTCCTGGGTTCAAGCAATTATCTGCCTCAGCCTCCCGAGTAGCTGAGATTACAGGCACCCACCATCACGCCCAGCTAATTTTTGTATTTTTAGTAGAGACAGGGTTTCGCCATCTTGGCCAGGCTGGTCTTGAACTCCTGACCTCGTGATCCACCCACCTCAGCCTCCCAAAGTGCTGGGATTACAGGCGTGAGCCACCACACCCAGCCTCCTGCTGCTGTTCTGATGCCAACTATTCATTTTCCAAACTGCAGGCTTATCTACTCCATAGACTTCTTCTCTTTTCCTAGCGGATATTTCACTGTGGGAAGAAGAGAGACTCAAATTAAGTCCAACTGGTCCAAGGTGGATAATCACAGTGGAAAGTTTTTCAAGTACTGGTCTAAGATTCAACCAGCCCATGCTTTAGTGGAAGTTCAGAAATTGGCTCTTAACAGGTCAGTGAATGACAGGGCCCATCCAACCCTTGCAGCTGTCTTACAAAAATCTGAGAATCACTTTAAAAATCAGTGCCAAAATAAAAGAAAATTTGAGCTTCAAAAAAGCACTCTCCAAGATGACACAAAAAATGTTTAAAGTCTCAGGCAAATGTTTTTGCCCTTGTCCATTCAAGATTTTTTTTCAGTTTGATAGCAAATTATTTCCAAGATGCTCAGAGTTCCTAAACAAAGATGTTTAAGGTTGGAAGCACTCAGCAGCCATCTCATCCATTACCTTCTAGCAGTCATCATTCTTTTACTCTTCTTAGTTCCTGGGAAGGAGCGTCCCTAGAGGGGATGCTTAGGCACTTGCTCCAGGCTCCCAATACATGCCCACTACTGTCAAGGAACTCATTAAACAGCAGGGACAGAGGCTAACATTCACGCAACATATACCATGGCCCAAGGGCCAACCTAGGCACCTGAATGCACAATTTATAATAGTCTTTGTACCCAACCTATGGAGGAATGTATTACTGTTATTCTCATTTTCATAAATGAGGACATGGGGAATAGAGACTAAGAAAATGTTTGCATGTGGTTGGATCTGATACCCTGGCAGTCTGACTCCAGAGCCCACACTTTTAACCAGTAGTGTCCTCACTCACTAATCTCAGACTTAATCATGTCCTGCTTCATTCTGCTAAGCCCTCAATGGATCAATAAAACACCTCTTTTCACCCTCCGCTTTAATGCCTTTTCATGAACTTGGAGTCCTCTGAGCCTCCCTTCTTGGATTGAAGCCCATTCTGTTCACAGGAAGACTGCAAGGTGCCGAGTCACACTGTTCACTGGTTTATTGAGATTCGGGGAGATCCTTCCCCAAGAGACACCACAGTGTGAAAGGGACACCACCTCCCACCCCATAGGTCCATCTGTCTATCCCAACAGTCAAGGGTGCCTTCCTTTGGTCAGGATTCTCATCAACTATCCACTGGAAGCAGCTCTCCAAACCTGCCCCCACTTATTTTTCCTTAATTCCCCTCAAAAAAACACAAAACAAAAGGGAGCAGTCTTGGGAGAAGATGATTGTGAGTGTAGACTGAGGGTAGTACATGAATGCAATGGAGATGGGGGGAATCTGAGCAGAAATGGAGATTCTGTGACAAGGAGAGGGTGTGGATGGCCCCACCAAACATGAATTGGGGAAAAGTGCATAACAATGTGCAGGGTAGGGTACATATGGCTCTGTCAGAAGAATACCATGATTTAAGGGAAGAAAGTACACAAGGTACATGGAGGGTACACAGGGAAAGTACATGGATAAACATGGACGTGTGCAAATAGGAAAGACATGACTCAGCATGCTAGACAAATTGCACATGCCTACCCAAACACGCTCAAGGGCAGACCCATGACCATGAGAGGGGCACACGTAGCTGTGAATGCAGGGCACCCGAGAGCACATGTGACTGAACATGAAGAAAGCATACGGGAAAAGCGTGTGTACACATGAGCATGTTCAGTGGGCACACGCAGGAGAGGGGAGGATGCATGTGTGCTGAGCGTGAGTGCACAGAGCAGAGGCAAGGAGCATGTGAGCCTTGGCGAAAAGAATGAGCTCCCAAAGGAAGCAAAATTCAGGGGGAGCCACATGTGAGAAAGTATAGAAGGGCAAGTAAGATGGAAAGAGATTATGACAGTGGAGAAAAGGAGAGGCCCCTTTGGGGTGGAAAGAGCACTTGTTGGGAGACCCCTGCTGGACAGGAACAGAGCACAAAGGCAGAGGAGCTGCAGGGGTTGCCGTGGTAACTAGAAGAGGGTGTTGCATGGGAAGAGAAAGATGCAGTGAGGCTGCTGAGGAGGCAGCGTGTGAGCAGTGAGCAGCTTCAAGCCAGGTACGAACTAAATTGTGAAGAGGTGATACAAAATTACATGAAGCAGTAAGAGAGAAAAAGGTCTGTTTCCCAGAGGTATGAGAGACCCAAATCAGCCCAGAACTCACAGGGGGACATGTATTTACAAGAGATGAGATTGGATAGCATGTTCTTCCCAGCTGGGGATGGGGACCCCCTGCTTCCTGAGTCCCCTGCCCTTCCCCTCTCCCTTTCCCTCCCCCTACTGGCCTGTCCTCCCTCACCCTACCCTCACTTATAAAGCAAATGCACTCGACTCCCATCACAGCTAAGCCGGTCGGGGGGCTCAGGGGGTCCCCTGGGCAGGCCCCCAGAGGGTTCTGGGGGTGTCGGTGGGTGGCGCCGGGAGCGGAGCTGCTGCCGAGACTGGAGTTGATGGCGCAGTTCAGAGACACGCTCCTCTTTCTGGAGGAAGAAGCACAATTGGGATAGTAGGAGAAGAGGAGGTGATGAAGGAGTGGGGAGGAGGGAAAGAGAGGAAGGGCACAGGGAAAGAGAGGAAGGGCACAGAAAAATGTAGGGGGAGGACGTAGGGTAAGTGGACAGAATAAATTAAAAGGAGAAATCAAAACAGAACAAGAAAAGCCAGAGAACATAAGGATACCGATAGAAAAAATGCGATCAGGGAAATAAGAGAGAATTTAAAAACAAAAGGAAAAAGTGGGGAAGGAGAGAAAAGTCAGTGCACAGAGCTTCCAATAAATCAGAGAGATGTGTCAACCCAGTTGGAACATCCCTCTCTTTGGCATTGCACCAGCCCCTAATGACAGCCTGGGGCACAGTGAACGCCTGCCCAGGTCCTTTATGCTGGGGCTGCATGCTACACCCAGCTGCTGTGAGTGTTGACTACTAGAGGCTCACAGCTGCCTCTCTCCAGTTGTCACCTACAGCCAACAGCCATCCTCTTGCCTTAAGGAGGCTGAGTCAACCACATAGCTCCCACTCCAGAGCCCTTCCACCTGCCAGGCCAACACTGGATTTTGCCTGAGATAGAATCTTGCTCAGCCCTTTCCCCTCCCCTATGCTGCTCCATTCACTCCTTACAGGTTGTCTCCTAGGACCCTCCCTCCATGAGCCAAGAACATCTGACCCTGTATCTCAGGCTTGGCTTCAGACAACCCAAGCTAAGACGCAAGCCTCCTGGACCACTCCAACACCCTACCCTGACACCCACCCCCGCACCTCAGCAATGATCTTTTCCAGTTCACGGTTCTCCTTCTCCAACAGCCGGGACTTCTCCTCCTCGTTGTTGTTGGTCGATGACCCTGTCTTCATGGTGTCCTGCGCCTCCGACTGCCATTCCCCTCGGGTGATCAGCCTGCGCATCTGGGGGCAAATGTTTGGGCGTGGGGTGGCCCAGCAAGGACTGTACTAGTGACTGGCTGATGGAAGGTTGGAGGTGGAAGGAATGCTGATAAGAGTTGGGCCCAAAACAAGGGGAGGAGTGAGAGGAGGGTGAACGGAAGGGCAGAGGAACTCAGTAATATAGGAAGGAGGGATGGAGGGAACATGGGAACAAAGAGGGTGGGAGAAAAGCCAGATCCTTACCTTGGGCACAAAGAGCACAACAAGAGTGATATAGGAGGAGAAAACTATGGCAAGAGAGGCAAAGGCAAAGGCTGCATCCTGCTGGCTGGACAGAATCATGGTGACAGGAGCAGTGATGAGGCACAGGACCTAGAGGGAAAGACACATTGAGGGAGTCTCAGGTCTGCAGGCTCAGACAAGATCCAGAGTTTACTTCCCATGGGAGGGAGTCTATGCAGACAGTTTCCTGGTGAACTTTCCCTTTGAAAAGGATCCAAATTCAGGATCATCCTCAAATATAGATTGAGAAAAATCTCAAACTGTCCCAAACCAGTTTTCACTCTTGGTTAACCCCTCCCCTCAAGGCAGGAACTCCCAGGATCTCTATGCACAGATTCCGGGTCCTCCAGAGTCGGTCCCTGGCAGGAAATGTCAATAGAGTCCAGCCCATTAACCACAGACAAGCAATTTAACGTCTCTGTGTTTCTGTTTCCTCACCTATAAAGTGGGGATACTAATATCTACTTCACTGGGTAGTTGCAAGATTAATGATACAATGTCTGTAGTGAGCTTTGTAAACTGTAAAGTGCTTTATAGACCTGAAGAATTAACAAACTTTTTAAGACTTCTAAGCAACCGATCCCAGATCTAGCATTGATTCTTCCTAGTCCTCTATATCTGGGCTGCTGTGGTCAGCCTACAGGGTCAATGCCATGGGGTCAGTGCTCACTGCCACATTGTAGATAGCCATGCCCACAGCCCGGTGATCATTGATCTTCTCAGTGGACACACTCTTGGTCTCATAAGCAAGGAAGATTCCCAGCAGCAGCAGCAGCCCCTTGTAACCATAGAAAATGCCTAGGATGGCAGGAGAGAGTCACTTGAGCAACAAGGACCACAATGCTCCTCACTCAATCCCCATCCCCTCTCTGCCCTTCACCTACTCTGAAATGGAAAGGGGGCCCTCCTCTCCAATCCAACCCCTCTGACCTAGCAAACCTCACCCTGTGTCCCCTATCCCTTATGTCCACCCAACTTGCCCAGACCACATCACTTTTTCCTGGGATTCACACAGGAAAGCAATGGTGGCAAGCTGCTGTCAGTCAGGCAAGGGCTTGTTGAATATCTAGAAATAGGCCAGTCTGGGCCACACATGCCTCACCCTTACCCTACAGGTGGGAAGGTGGCTTTCCAGGCAGAGGGTAGGTTTGCAATTTGTGACCATGAATCGAACAATGCTAATAAGGCCAAGGGGGATCTAAAAGATAATGTCAAGTCTGGAGGTGGGGTTACCCCCACTTGTTCCTCTGCTGAACACAAGTTCTTCATCTGTGCTTTCTGTGCTTTGGGCCCTAAGCTCCTCATAGCAAAAGAGCAACTCTCCCCTATTCTCAGAAAAGATTAGTGCAATAACAAAGAGTAGGGTGTTCAAACTGGGTTGACAAGCTCTCTACCTCCTCTTCCAAAGACCCCTCTCCCTCCAAGCCCTCTACCCCTGCCTTCCCTCCTGCCTTTGTGCATCCCTGCCCTCCTTTGCCCACATCCCACACACCAAGCCATGTATTCATCTTCCTGGAGCTGCAATGCTCCAGCTGGGGCAGAATAGAGACGTCAATATCTTCCTTAGGTTCCTCCTTGGCAAATGTCTAGGGCAGAAACAAGGTCACAAGAAAGATGGTTGCCAGCCTCCCCTCCTCTCCTCAACGCTTCTCAGTCTCTGGCTTCCAACTGTTTTCCTATGAGACCCTCAATGCTGATGCCAAATCTCATTCTAGGCCTAAGAATGTTTTCCTGAACCCTTGGAGGTGCTTGTTCCCCACTTTCCCTGATGCCTGGAAGTTCTACACACCCTTCCCAGATTCCCACCCCTTCCTTTCTTCAGCTGAATCTGGAGGCCTATGAGGGGCTCCTTCTAGGAAGGAAAGGAAGAGCTTCCAATACGAGGAAGGCACTCTCTCCAAGTAGCTTCATCCCTCAAGACACACACAGCCCCAGGGCCCTGATGGCCACTGAGCCCTGCTCATTCTCCTGACCATAGCACCTCCTCTCCAGTGGTACCTCAATGGTCCGGTGCAGAGGGTCCACGATCTGCCAGATGGCGAGAGTGAGGACATCCATGCCCACCAGCAGGCCCACTGTGGCATACAGCTTCCAGGGTTCCAGAGTCTGGATAAATATGTGGGGAGAACAGGCACGTCAGGGGAAAATGCTCTGTGCCCCAGGAGCCAAGGATCTGGGGGCTGAGGATTGGGCAGCAGCTCACCTTCCTCCACTCCTTCTTTTCTTCCTTCTTTGTGAAGACCGTGTGGACCCACCAAATCTTGGTGAACATGGAACCGTAGCCCAGACTAAAGCCCAGGCCCAGGAGCCAGAGGCGGGCCTAGAAAGGAAGAGAGGGCACAGGCAGAACAGGGTAGAGTAGTAGCCGGGACTGCAGTAAGGATGGGCAGAACCCTAAGGGAGAGTGGGCAGGGAGCACGGGCAGGGAGCTCATGGTGGCACAGGGAGGATGCGAAAATGTGAGCAGGACGGGGAGCGGCAGGAGGAGAGCAGTCTCCCCACCTTGAACAATTCCTCCCATCCACCCTCTACTTCCACACCACCAGGGTGATCTTGCTAAAACCTCCTGGCTTTAGTGGCCAAAAACCTCCAACCACTCCCCAATATCTATAAGTTATAGCCTGAACACTTCTGGATATGACACAGACCCTTCACAACATGCTCCCATCCACCTGTCCAGCTAGGCTCATCTCCCAGCCCCACACCTACCCCACGCTCCAGCCATGCTGAACTACTCACTTTCTCTTCATCTACTCTCTTTCATGTATTTTCTAGCCACACGATGCTCCCTATGCCCCTGAAGTAGCCTTCCTCTATTTCTCTAGCTGATAAAATCCTATTTGTCCTTCAGTATTCAAATGCCACCTCTTCAGTGAGGTCCACCCAATCACGCCAGCAGTGAACTGTGTTCCCTTCTTTGCCCCCAAAGCACTTTGTGCAGATCCCTACTCTGGAACCTCTCCTATTGCACTACAGCTAATTGTCTGCTTCTCCAGCTGCACTCTGGCCTCACTGGGAACAGAGGATTCCTGATGAACTGCATGTGCATGTGCATGGAAATGCCATGTGCACAGATGTATGATCAGGACAGCACAGAGCAGAGGAAAAAGAGAGAGCAAGGACAGGCAGGCAGATCAGGAGAAAGAGTGGGTGTTTCCACCAGTGGAAAAGAGAACCACTCAACTATCACTGTTGAAGCTGGCCTCTCCCCACAGCACTAGAACCTTCCATGTACCAACAGTCCCAGAGCCCCTCCTCCCTGTGTGGCAGTGGTCCCTTCCCCCCAACTCTCTGCTGTGTTTCCATCTCTGCTTCTATCCTTCCAAACCCAACAAAGGCTCCCAAAAAAAGTCCACAGTTCTGATTCTCAGCCCCCATACCACAGACAAGCCACCATTGTTCAGGAGACCTTTGAGCAGATCCCCTTCCTTTGCCTTCAATGGCTCCCTCCTCTTCTCTGCAAGGCCTGCCATGGCAACCTTGGAACTGACAAGTAAACTACAGAATGAAAATGGCCTGCAGACACAGAAAGAAGGGACAGAGCCAAACAGAGAACAGAGGGGTGATGCTAGAAGGAAAGAACAGGGACAAGAGTCAGGGAAAGCTGAGGAGGAAGGGCAGAGAATCATAAATCATGGAAGGTGCTCCTGAGACGGGTGGGAGAGTCACATCCTGTAAGGAATTTGCCCACCACCTCCTCACCTGGCAGACGAAAGGAAACTGGTTCCTCCCAATGTGGTAACCATCGAGCCCCAGGGGGAAGACAGCAGCTAAAGCCAGTGAGCAGCCCACAGCAGTCAGGTTGTTCAGGTTGGGCTGTGAGTTCTGGATATAACTAGGGCAGAGGTGGAGAGGGTGAGAGGGAGAGAGAATTACCCCTCTTCTCCAGGGAGGCTGAGCTCTCCAAATACCACGCAATGGCATGACCCTAATTTCAGGGCCAGGGGCTAAAGGAAGACAGGATTGGAGAAGACAGTGGAGCCTTGAGAGGCAGAGCAATGCAGTCATGGGGCTGAAGATGGAGTTGCAGAGGGCTTCCCAAGCACAGGCCCCCACTAGAATACAGGCTATTTATGTAGAGTCCAAGACTGTGAGACCTGGCCCCAAAGGTTGTTTTTTTCTCTTCTTTTCTTTTTTCCTCCCGTTAGCTACTTTGGAGTAGGAGTGGGGGTTATATCTGGTTTCCCTGTTTTCATTCTCAACAAGTCAGAATGAAAAACTCCATGATACATGGCCATGGGAGTTACACAGGTTTTATTCTCATCCTGTCCAGGAACATGATCAGTATCTCAGAGAGGCAGACAAGGAAAACGTCAGAAGAGAAACTTACCGGACATGTGAGTTGTAGATGTTAAAGGACAGACAGACAACAGCTAGGACAATGCCCAGGCTGGAGAGAACTGAGACGGAGATAAAGAGTTTCTGTGACAGGAAGCGGAATGTCTTGATGACCAGGGTCTGGTCAGCTGGGGGGGACCCTCCTGCATGGCACAGGGGAGGAAGAGGGGAAGGGAAAAGAGAAGGGAAGGAGGACAAAGGAATGAAGACGGGATAGGAGAAAAGGGCAAAGAACTAGATTGCTGATGGACATTCAGTCATTGGCTGGGGACATGAGGCCCTAACTGCACTGGACAGAGGTTACTGCAGGCAGAATGCTCAGTGCCACTGGGGCCGTTAGGAAGCAACCAGAAATGAGATGAGAAGATGGAGTGAATGGTCTATCCATAGGTTGGGAAATGCTGAGGCATGTCCCCAAAGTTGTAGTCTTTGTTTTTGTTTGTTCTTTAAGTTTTTCTGTCTTTCTTACAGCAAAGGAAAATGGGAGGAGAAAGAAGGGGATCATTAAAAAATGTTATAAGGTTTCTTATAACCCAAATCAAAGTTTTAAATGACAATTATGGAATCATAAAGCTAAAAAGGCCTTGAAGTATCTAGTGTGGACACCTATTCTTAAGACAAACAAAAAAAGAAGGAAAGCTAATCTGAAATTTTAATCCTGGCAGGGTAATATTCCCAAATATGTTTTCCAGTTATTATTAGGGGGAAGTTCAAATTTGTCAGAGTTCACCAAAAAAAACTAATTTCAATTTGCTTAGTTTTTTTTTTAAAGAATAATTTAGGCCATGCAGCATTTATAGCAATCCAGAACATTGTCCTAAATTCGAATTGTAAAAAAAAAAAAAAAAGGGCAAAACTCCAGCAGTGCTGGGAATGACTGGATATCTGCTGGGCAGGGCAGACGGCAGCCATCTTCAATGGTTGAGCCTCCCCTTCATTCTCAAGGAGGCTTTCTTTTATCAGTAGGTCCTTCCTTTTGTCCACCTTCAGTTTCTCTCCTATGTCCTATCATTTAGACCAAGTACACAAAGAATAACTGCTTGCTTTCTCTCTTTAAAAAGTATATTTTGAGGGATGTAATACTACCTATTAGGTACAAGGTGCACTGTTCGGGTGACAGGCACACTAAACGCCCGGACTTCACCACTATGCAATATATTCATGTAACACAACTGCACGTCTACCTCTAAATTACATAAAAATAGGAAAATTTTTAAAAATACATATAAAAATAAAAAGCACATTTTGGCAGATGACAATTACATGAGGTTTTCCCTCCTCCTCCATAGTTTAAGCAACCGTTTTCCTGACAGAGACAGACAAAGAGACAGCTCTGGGCTTGAAGTAGCTGGTTCAAATATATCAAGACACCAGGACATCTGGGAAACCCAAATGGAGTTTCCATTTCCCGCCCTCTGCCCACCCCCTGCCTCTAATCCCCAGTTACCCCAGCAATGCACCATTAAAAATAGTACTAACCACCGCCTATTCCCTCTCCAAATACACCAGTCTCCCCTACCCACGCCTTAGGGGTTGTATTCACTCTCACTTAACCCTTTCTCCTGGCCCAGCTGCCAGCCACATTCCAACCTAACAGTCTCTACCATTCCATCCTCACTCAAAGGCATGACTTTTTCCCTTGACTGTCGAGAGGGGCTGAAGGAAAATACAAACAAGATCCACTCACCAATCCATTTATCTGTTTTGGACCAGGAAAGATCATCCTTGGTGCTGTCATAGTAGCCAATCTTCTTGTAGCTGCCACCTGGGCAGACGACAATAAAAGGAGTGACCACAGGTAGCCAAAGAGCTGATCCTAGGCATTTTCAACTTCCCACTTCCCTAGAGCTTTGCATGGTTGTATCTGATTTTATTTTCACCTGAGGCCCTAAGGATGCTTGGAAGGACCTACGAGACTCTTGAATCAGCAACATGACTTAAAAGCAATATAAGGTGGTTCCCAAGACAACTCAAATAAATAAGAATATCTATGTTTAAAAGTCTTCAGTGAGGAGGCTCCACAACATGTCTGCCACCTATTCCATTCCTCACACCTCTCTCGGCGAGATGTCTCTCACTTTGATTTTGGCTTCTAAAGCTTTACACATATTTCTGCTTATTCTTCCTCTCATGATGGGCAGGCTCTATTTTCCCAGTGGCTTTCATTTTAATTTTAGAACATTCTCTTCTGTTGGCTTGGGTTTTAATTCCTTGGATAAGTTATATCTGCCTCTTAAAGCGCCATTGAGTAAAATTTGGTCATTTCTAAGATTTCTGTTCTAGAACTGTTTCCGTTACCATAACTTTTCCTTCAAAAGCCAACTCACACTCCTTTCACCATGGCTGAAGTCCATTTCCTCTTGTCCTGGATACAAAGAGGAGCTGAAAGGATGTGGAGGTGGGGAGAAAGGAAGAAAGAAACTTTTCACAGGAGGCCAAGAAATAGCTCTCTTGGCCATGCCGTAAAAGACTGAGAGCCGAGTGGAGCAGAAAAATTAACTCCTAGAAGTTCTGCAAATACCTGTGTGCTAAGTTTCAAGAAAATACAATCTACAAAAGCCAAGCTATACACATTGAAGCTTTACACAGCAAGGAAATTTGGCAGATTCCCTTAAAAAAAAAATAGCGGTTCTCCTAGATTCAGCTTTCTTGAGTCTAACTGACAGGTCATCAACCTCTCAACCCAAGCCACTCAAGGGGAAATTCCTGAAATTAATGGAAGCCACTGGGAAAGAGAGTAGCTGTTTTTAATTTGCATGTCTCTTTTCTTTTCTTTTTTCTTTGAGACAGAGTCTTACTCTATCACCCAGGCTGGAGTGCAGTGGCGTGATCTCAGCTCACTGCAACCTCTGCCTCCTGGGTTCAAGTGATTCTCCTGCCTCAGCCTCCCAAGTAGCTGGGACTACAGGCACCTGCCACCACACCCAGCTAATTTTTTTTTTTTTTTTTGTATTTTTGGTAGAGACAGGTTTCACCATGTTGGTCTGGCTGGTCTCAAACTCCTGACCATGATCATGATCTGCCTGCCTTGGCCTCCCAAAAGTGCTGGGATTACAGGGGTGAGCCACCACACCCAGCCTGCACACCTCTTTTCAAGAGCAAAACCAGTGCAACTCAAAGACATCAATCTTCTTGTAGTTAAGCTTATTATTATTATTATTTACAAGCTTGATGAACAGAGTTAAAAGAGAAGGGCAGAAGTTGGGAGGTGCCAGGGCAATCTTGTGATGTCTCTGGCATTCTTCCCCAGGGGGCATCCCAGCCCAGCCCCAGCCTAGCCCCCATGTCCGGTCCCCTCCTGCCCCTGTACTAACCCTGAAGCTGCTCGATAAGCGTCCATGCCATCCGAGAGCCGCTGGCATCAAACACCACATGGCCCTGAGGGAAGGAACATGTGGAGCAAGGCAAAGGAGACAAAAGCAAGAGTGAAAGAGAACATCAGGGACTCTTTAAATCCTTCTGTTTTTGATGTAATTGAGCCTCTGAATGAATGCTATTTATGGCATTTGCCTGCATATAGGACATACCCCAGATGCCCATACCCTAGATTTTAGAAACATTATTCTTTGGAGAAGGAGCTTCACTTATGAGATTTGAATGGGAAAAAATCCCCAGACAGAACACCAGCAGGCTTCTGGTTGTGTGGCCTAAGCAAGTCAGCAAATCTCTCTGGAAACTAATCTTTTCATTTTAAAAGGAATAAGAAGATGACCTTTCAGACTGTTTTGTCTTTCAAAATCCTATAGTTCTCATCTGACTCATGAATACTTGGTCTAGTTTGAAAAGAAATGAGGGGAGGGGTTTAAAAAAATGGAATACATCATTTTTTTTCCTCTAGTCTTTGATGGGTTCTTCTAATTTGAAGGTCCCTACTTCTCTGGTCGGAGACTG
Source organism: Homo sapiens (assembly GCF_000001405.40). Classification (NCBI taxonomy): domain Eukaryota; kingdom Metazoa; phylum Chordata; class Mammalia; order Primates; family Hominidae; genus Homo; species Homo sapiens. The sequence continues at coordinate 878,523 of NT_167247.2, forward strand.
ATTCTGCAAAGAAGTAACTGAGAAAAACAGAGAATGCATGTTTGTAGAAGGTGCCTCTTGGGAGTCTCTCTCAAGATTGGGAAGACAGGGGAGTATGAAGGAAGTTTTAACTCACAGAGACACCCTCAAAGGACGAAGAGTTCATTGCCCGGTAGATTTGGTCGGTAATGGTCTGGTTGTTGTAGTTGAAGTCCTCCAGGCGCACACCAGAACGGCCGCCTCCTCCAGATGTCTTGTTCAGGGCCAGTGCCAAGGCCCAGATGGCATCATAGGCCAGCGGTGCCTCCTGGAAGCCTCCTGTCTCCTCAGGGTGTCTTTTCAGTCGCTTGGTTAGTTTCTCCACAAATTCCTGGGATGTCTTGGGAGGAAAAAATCATGAGGAAAGAACTGAAATGTGTGTGGGTGTGGGGGAAGGGGTGCAATCCAATTCTGACTCAATCACTTCTACTTGAATGGATGGTTTGTGTTACTGTTGTCAGATTGGACACATGTACATTCAAAATCTTTAACTATACCCATGTGTCTGCCTTAGATCGGAAGCTACTAGACTAGAGTAGGTATTAGCTGTGTCTGATGGTGTTAGTGTGTACAGTTGCTAGCTCAGAACTGCAAACAGAGAATTTTGACAAACACTCTGGATAATTAGTGGCAAAGGATGGAAGGTAGAGCAGAGTAAAGGAGGAGACATGGATATTCCAATGAAGAGCTGTGACACTGATGTTCTCTGATCCTTCTGACTTTCTTCATAGAGTTAACCCAGGATCTAACAGCTCCTACAATTCCAAAAGATTCTAGAAAAGGTGATAGCAGTCTTCTCACTCTGCTTGCCAGCCAGGAGGATATTTCTTCAGCATGCTAACTTCTTGCCATTCTTGTGTGCTTTTGGTTCACTGCCTCTTAGAAGGCTTTCAGAAGAATGAAAACTACAGAAATACCCTTCACATTTTTGAAGTCCATTATCAATCCTACCCACACCCCTCCCAACACTCAACCTTCTTTTTCCATGAAAGCTAAAAAGAATGATAGTTCCTTTAACTCTCTCATGAACTGGGTCAAGAGACCTGACTTCATATACCTTGCAGTAACCTTGTTTGGCTAAATAACTGTAAGTAAATTACTTAACCTCTTGGAACTGCATTCTACATACTGGAGAAAATCACATCATTCCTTCCTTACCTCACAGAAACCATACAAGGAAAAGCTTAGCAACTACTTCTTGGGAAACCACAAGTAATACACAGGGGACCATACAAATAATTGTTTGGGTTTGGAATGTTTTAACACAAACGGTAATGAAAGAATAAATAGATGAATGAAGAATAAATAAATAACTTTGTTCCTCATGCCTTGCTCACTTTTCTCTCCAACTTTCTAGAGAGATAGAGGAGTGAGATACGCAAAGGGCACAGGCAAGGTACAGCAGTTGCTACTACACTGGGCTTTGAAGGAGCCTGGGCTTTGAAGATGCAATGGGCCTAGGTTCTACCCTTGAGGACAAGACCAAATCCCATGCCCTCTCTTAATCATCAGCATCTAGCACTGTGCCCAACCATAATGAAGTAACAATAAATGTCCATTGGATTAGGCCAGTGAAAATACTCTGTAAAGTATTTAATAGTAGATACGTCTCATTATACATTTGTCCAAACCCATAGAATATATAACACCAAGGGTGAACTCTAATGTAAACTATGGACTTTGGGTGATTATGATGTATCAATGTAGGTTCATCAGTTGTAACAAATGTACCACTCTGGCGGAGGATGTCGATAATGTAGAAGGCTATGCATGTGGGAAGCATATGGGAAGTTTCTGTACCTTCATCTCAATTCTGCTGGGAAACTAAAACTGCTCAAAAAAAAAAAAAAAAAAAAAGGCCAGGCACAGTGGCTCACACCTTTAATCCTAGCACTTTGGGAGGCCAAGGTAAGCAGACTGCCTGAGCTCAGGAGTTAAAGACCAGCTGGGCAACATGGTGAAACCCCATCTCTACTAAAATACAAAAAATTAGCTGGGCATGGTGGTGTGCACTTGCAGTCCCAACTACTCAGGAGGCTGAGGGCTGAGGTGAGAAAATCACTTCAACCCAGGAGGTGGAGGTTACAGTGAGCTGAGATGACGCCACTACACTCCAGCCTGGGCGACAGAGCAAGACTCCGTCTCAAAAAAAAAAAAAAAAGGCATTATAAAAAACAAGTCAGGCTGGGCACAGTGGCTCACACTTGTAATCCCAGCTCTTTGGGAGGCCAAGGAGGGTGGATCACCTGAGGTCAGGAATTCCAGACAGCCTGGCCAACCTGGTGAAACCCGTCTCTACTAAAAATACAAAAATTAGCTGGGTGTGTTGGTGGGCTCCCGTAATCCCAGCTACTTGGGAAGCTGAGGTAGAAGAATCGCTTGAACTCAAGAGGCAGAGGTTGCAGTGAGCAGAGATCACGCCACTGCACTTCAGCCTGGGCGATGGAGTGAGACTCTGCCTTTAAAAAAAAAAAAAAAAAAAGGCAGCCAGGCACAGGGGGCTCACGCCTGTAATCCCAACATTTTCATTTTCAGAGGCCAACGCAGGAGGATTCCTTGAGCCCAGGAGTTTGAGACAAGACTGGGCAAAACAGAGAGGACCCAACTCTACAAAATTTTTTTAAAAATTAGCCAGACTTGGCCTGGGCACGGAGGCTCACATCTGTAATCTCAGGACTTTGGGAGGTCAAGGCGGGCAGATCATGAGGTCAGGAGTTCAAGACCAGCCTGGCCAACATGGTGAAACCCTGTCTCTATGAAAAATACAAAAATTAGCTGGGCACGGTGGCTCACGCCTGTAATCCCAGCACTTTGGGAGGCTGAGGCGGGTGGATCACCTGAGGTCCGGAGTTCGAGACCAGCCTGAGCAACATGGAGAAACCCTGTCTCTACTAAAAATACAAAATTAGCCGGGTGTGGTGGCGCATGCCTGTAATCCCAGCTACTCCGGAGGCTGAGGCAGGAGAATGGCTTGAACCTGGGAGGCGGAGGTTGCTGTGAGCCAAGATCGCGCCATTGCACTCAAGCCTGGGCAATAAGAATGAAACTCTGTCTCAAAAAAAAAAATACAAAAATTAGCTGGGTGTGATGGTGGGCTCCCGTAATCCCAGCTACTCAGGAGGCTGAGGCAGGAGAATCGGAGAATCGCTTGAACCCAGGAGGCGGAGGTTGCAGTGAGCCAAGATCATGCCATTGCACTCCAGCCTGGGCAACAGAGCAAGACTCCATCTCAGAAAAAAAAAAAATTAGCCGGACTTGGCTTGGAGCAGTGGCTCACGCCTGTAATCCCAGCACTTCAGGAGGCTGAGGAGGGTGAATCATGAGGTTAGGTGTTCGAGACCAACCTGACCAACATGGTGAAACCCCATGTCCACTAAAAATACAAAAACTTATCTGGGCATGGTGGCACGCACCCGTAATCCCAGCTATTCAGAAGGCTGAGGCAGGAGAATCACTGGAACCCAGGAGGCAGAGGTTGCAGTGAGCCGAGATCACACCATTGTGCTCCAGCCTAGGCAACAGAGCAAGACTCTATCTCGAGAAAAAAAAAAAAAGTTAGCCAGACTTGGTGGCATATGTCTGTGATCCCAGCTTACTTGGGAGGGGCTGAGGTGGGTGGATGACTTGAGCCCAGGAGGTCAAGGCTGCAGCGATTGTACCACTGCACTCCTGCCTGGGCAGCAGAGGGATACTCTACCTCAAAAAAAAAAAAAAAAAAAGGCTGGGCGCGGTGGCTCACGCCTGTAATCCCAGCATTTTGGGAGGCCGAGGCGGGCGGATCACGAGGTCAGGAGATCGAGACCATCCTGGCTAACACGGTGAAACCCCGTCTCTACTAAAAAAAAAAAAAAAAAAAAAAAAGTCTGTTGGATAGATAAATGGATGAATTCATATTCTAATCATTTTACCTGCTATGAAATCTCAAACAAGTTATTAAACCTCACTAGTTGGTTATTCAGCTTTAAAATGAGAATAATACTATCTAAAATAGTATGAAATGAAATTAGAACATGTATAAAAATGCTGGGTATGAAGTAAGTTACATTTTCTCTACGTGAATTTCCTTGACTCTCAACCTCATCTTTGTTATTGATACTCAGATCTATAATTTCAGCCCAATATTTCAAGTCCATATTTCTTTTCTTTCTTTCTTTCTTTTTTTTTTTTTTTTTTTGAGATGGAGTCTTGCTCTGTTGCCAGGCTGGAGTGCAGTAGTGCGATCTTGGCTCACTGCAACCTCTGCCTCCTGGGTTCAAGCGATTCTTGTGTCTCAGCCTCCCAAGTAGCTGGGATTACAGGCACACGACACCACACCCAGCTGATTTGTGTATTTTTAGCAGAGACGGGGTTTCACCATGTTAGCCAGGCTGGTCTTGAACTCCTGGCCTTGTGATCCACCTGCCTCAGCCTCCCAAAGTGCTGGGATTATAGGCGTGAGCCACCGCGCCCAGCCTCAAGTCCATATTTCTAACTGACTCTGAGGCATTTTTAATGTATGATGAATAATCTCAAAATCAAAATATCCAAGATGAAGCTCAATTTTTTCTTACTCCCAAACAGCTCCCAGTAAATGAGACTGAAGCCTTGGAATTACATCAGACCCTTTCAAATCACTGAGTCCTCTTAACTCTTTTGTTGAAATGTTTCATTGATATCGATCCCTCCTTACACAGGATGATGATGATAATGATAACGATGATGGTGGCTAACATGTATACAGTCCTTAGGACGTATCGAGCATTTTCCTGAGGAAACTATATTACCTTATTTAATCCTCAAACAATCCAATGAGGTGTTATTATCCCCATTTTAGAGATAAGAAAACTGAGGCACAGAAAAGTTATATAACTTGCCTATAAAAAAGTTATACTATTAATGAGTAGCAGAGCTAATCCATACTCTTACCAGCCACCCTACACAGTCTCTGTACATGAGACTGCCTCTCTCTAAGAGCACCTGCACAAATAGCAGCTAGGCTAATACTTTGAGTAGTCTTTTGGCTTCAAATTGAAAGATTGGTCTATCCAATCTTCAGTTCAAGGTAAATATGGCATCAAAAAAATCACCCAGAAAGAAAGGGATTAATCTGCTCAGCACGATGCGGTCCCCTGCTCAGGTGGTCAGACCCTGTGCTCACGCCAGGTCACTACCACTAACACGCCTAACCACTGGGGGCACCACTGCTCCTGCCACCCCAAGAGTAAAGAAGAGTAGAATGCTTCCCCCTTGAGTCAGTAAAGATACAGTTATAGATTGTCAAAGAGACACTCTACTCTGCAGCTTAAGGAAATCTGAACAATAAAGACCCCTCAACCCACAGCAATTAGTTAATCAACCAAGTGCAAATTTATACCTAATTTTTTTAACAGCCTTGTCTGGCTCTCAAGAATGGATGCTTGACAGTGGGCTAAAATGTATATCTTGAGGTAGCTTTTTAGTTTGTACTGGTCCTAGGTCTGATGGGATCTCTACCCCAATCAAGATTTCCTCACAATCTTATCTCCAGGATGCCACCTCCCACATTCCCCTCTAGCCCACAGCTACATTTCTCTAAAACCACTCTAACCCACTCTCCATTTCCACATATTGCCCCTAAAGATGTTTTCTCTAAACTAGGGTTTCTCATTCTCTGCACTATTAACATTTTGAGCAAGATAATTCTTTGTTGCCAGGGGCTGTGCTTTGTAGGATATTTAGAATCATCTTTGGCTTCTACACATTAGATATCAGGAGCATGTATCCCTCCCCATCCCCTACCCCCAACTGTAACAACCAAAAATGCCTCCAGATAGTATAGCGTCTGAGTCTAGGGTAGTAGTTGAAAACCACTACCCTAACTAATAGTTCTCGAGGTGTGATCCCCAGACCAGTACATCTGCATCCCCAGGGACTTGCTAGAAATGTCAGTTCTCAGGCCCTAGCCCAGATCTACTGAATCAGAATTTCCAGGGGAAGGGCCTGATAACCTGTGAACTAACTACCTTTCCAGGTGGTTCTGACGGATGTTAAAGTTTGAGAACTATTGATCTAAACATAAGGCCATCCTTAGGGAATAAAAGCAACTCTGCTTCTTTTCTAAGTCTCCATGGCTCCGGCCCCCTAGGTCCAACCCTTGCTTTGATCCACTTCTATTTGTGCTGTTTGATTAATCTATAATCTCTTTTGCCCCTAACCTATTGTTAAGACTGCTCTATCCTCTTCAGAAAACATTGGCTTCCCCACTGGCATTTTAGGCTGGTCCCACTGGAAGCCCTATGGCCTCAAAAGCAGGAACCATCTTTCTCTAGACACAAAGTCAGAAAGGGACCTTCCAAGTCTTCCCACCCCAATGCTCAGGTGTCCCTCTATGTCCCTAACCATCTCTCTGTTCTCTCTCTCTCTCTTTTTGTTTAGAGCTGGGGGTCTCACTATATTGCCCAGGCTGGTCTTGAACTCCTGGGCTCCAGTGATCCTCTGCCTTGGCCTCCCAAGGTGCTGGGGACTACAGGTGTGAGCCACTAGATCCAGCCAAATCCCTGTTTTCTGTCAGCCTCCTCTAGCTCCCTGCTATAAGACAGAAGCAACGATTGGCAAGTCCTGGGCTCAGGGCACCAACAAGTCTTTCTGGCTTTGGTAGCCAGTTCCAATACTTTCCCAGGTTTTATGGATGACTCACCTCTTGGGTACTCTACAGGAAAGTGATCTTCCAAAATTTTTTCATTGTATTTTTCAACTAACATACCTTAAAACATAGAGTCCATTTAGAATGTCCCAAAACAGTGTGTATCATCAGAGTCCATGTGGCAGCAGATCTTTCATCACAACACACCACCAGAGTCAACTTCCTAAATCTTATTTCTCCTTTGCTCAGCAATTGCCAGTAGCTAAACAGTGTTAGCAGATAAAAGTACAAACTTTTTAGTCAGGCTTCATGGTTTTCCATGGGAAGTGATGAGCAGAGCAGTTTGGAGCCAGATTTAACTAGGATTCAATTCCAGCTGGACTGCTGAGTAGCTGCATGACCTGAGACAAGTCATTAAACCACTCTGAGTCTCATTTTCCTGGTCTACAAAATGTAGATAAGTCCACATCAGAGTTTTGCTGTTAGAATCCCTGAAATCATGAATCTAAGTACCACACAAATGCCACTGTTAGTAAAACTTTTTAAATCAAGCTATTTTGGGGCTTTACAACCATTAACTCACCCCTAACATGCTCTCCAAAGCAGGTACACACTTGGTGTAATAAGCAGACACATAGGTGGCCGTATCGAGCTTACCCAAAATTCCTGTACTCTTTACAATGTAGTGCTGAGCAACAAAGAAGCCTCTTCCCCTGTGCCCACACCCACACTCACTTCTGCCCCTCAGCTGCAGGGCTGCCCCAGCCCTCTCAAATCAGAGAATGCGCCTCCTCGCTCCAAGTCTGTCATTAACCAGCTGTCTGGGGCTAAATGATTTCAAAAGCCCCTTCTCCACATAAAATTCTAAAAAAAGAATCATTAAAAAAAGCAACAGGATCCAAGCTAATTGCATATCAATCATGAGTGAATATTAAGCAACTCTAAAACACTAACATAAATCACCAAGAAAATGAAATGCAATTCTGCCCAGACACAGTGCTCCTGTAAAGGTGTGCTTGAGTATACAAGCATCCATATTATCATTAATGCCGGTTCCTCCTGACTTCTCACCAACTGCTCCTCGTCTCCATGGTAACAGCCCTTCCACTCATCAGGAACCTACTGAACATACAACTCCATCGTTTTTTTTTTTTTCTCTCTCTACCCAAGGAAGTCAGAGCAAAGGTAGGATCCACAGGAAACATAATGCAGACAAGTTCAGGGTGGGCACAGCCCCCTCTTCTCCTTTATATCCAAATTCCGCACCCTCTCCCTGCCACCCTTTCCCCTGCAAGGCCCCCTCAGTCCTCTCCACCCTCCCAGGTGCCAGACTGCAAGTCCCCACACTCTCACCATGTTGGAAATGCTGCGGGTATTGGCAGGATTCAGCATGACAATCTCAGTTGTGATGTGGCCCTCCACCGCCTCAGTCATCTCATCCACTGTGCAGTTGATAGAAGGGTCGTAGATCTTGAACCAATTGTCAGCATACCACCCAATGAGGAACCAGACGTACTTCTTCCCAAAGAGACGCTCCTTGTACACCTGAATACAGAGGAGAATGGCTGAGTTTTTGTTTGCTCATTTGTTTGTTTTTGTCTTATCTCACTTGATACTATTTAGCCTCTTGGGAATCAGGGAAGAGCAGTAGAACTAAAAAGAGAAATCTACAAGTCTTGGGGATAGTAGGAAAGGCTGACAATTCTTCCTTCTAAGTTTCTCCCCAGCCCCTGTATTTCTGAGTGGCCTTTTCCAGCCAGTCAGGACAGATGGAATTCATGGGCTTCTCAGGAAACACAAAGCAGTAGAAAAATGAGATCTGAAGAAAGTATCATGTGTGTGCAGACAAGGGATGCAGTCAGAGCCAACAGACAGAGACATCCTATGAATCGTCACCTCAGATCATATGCTATCAACTCAGGCACAGATGCCAAGAGGAGGCCCCACAAGAAAACCAAGGGAAACTCCCACCCAGTGCCCCTCCCTCTTCAGATCCAACTCCACCTCACAAAAAACTTTCCGGGCTTCAGTCTCATAGAAAAGTCCCACGATGATTCGGGCATCCTGGCGCTACAACAGAGAAAGAAACAGCTCCTGAGGGATGCCCGGGAATGCCTGAGGGGCTAAGCCAGATGTCTTCACAGCTTTGATTTCCCATCCCAAAGTGCTTAGTGCAGGGTAACGCTCAACGTATAGTGAATAAACGTCAACTGGAAGATGGAGCTAAACTTCCCCAGGAGATGCTATTGCCTCAGAGAATCAAAACCTGCCCCCGCCTGGCTTTCCTCTCCAACCAGTCACTGTCCCCCAGCTTGGTCCCTCCGTAAACAGAGCCCACCACTCCCAGCCATCTGACCTTCAGGTTTTTGACGGGCACAGCTGGATCTGAGAAGAAACTCTGGCGGAAAGTAATCTCAATTCCAGCCTCCTTCACTCGTTCCTCCAGGTCGTCCAGAGTCTTGGGTGGGAATAAAAAACAAGTTGGAAAAACACGGGGTGCATGAGGGAATAAAGACCAGAGAGGTTAACTGGGGATTTCAGAGCAATACTCAGATAGAGCAAAGAAGCAGCCATTCTGAACCTTCCTTCAACAGCTTCTGTCCCTGAAGTGAGGAGTTCGGGAAGGCATCTGGTCTTAGGATGTGGATTCCAAGTGGGAAGGTGAATGGTGAGCCCCTGCTGAGGCTCTGTGTGGGGGAAGCCACTCCATTCACCCACTCCTACCACTGAAGGCAAAGATGGGGTAAAGAAACATAAAGGAACCAGGAAAAGACAAGGCAAGGACTGGGACAGACAGCATGATGTCAACCTCAAGAGGCAAATGGGCAGACAGACAAAGGATCAGAGAAGAATGGTCTGAATCAGAGTGAAAGTGGGGGAGGATTAAAGGGCCACTGAACACAGTGGATAGAAGACCCAAAGAATAGAATAAAAGGGAGGGAGCAGACTGCCTTCTTCAGATGTAGAGCCTGTATTTCCTCTCTACCTCCCCAAATCTCCCTCTTCCCCCTCAACCTCTCCTTGTCTGTCGGCTTCTCTCTCTTAGTACCAACTACCAGATCCATGCAGCTGCCTTTCTGCCCCTCTCTCTCCTCTCCCTCATTCCTCTCTCTCTCTCTCTTTCCTCTCCCTCTCTCCTCTGTAATCCACTGGCTCCATCCCCTCTGTTCCCATTCACACCCACCCACCACCCCCCTTGAAAGCCTCTGGAATCTGCTGCCTTCCTGGATTCCTATCTCATCTTCGCTCCCATCTCTTGCCCCCACTTTGGATTGAACCTACTTTAACAGAACTGAGTCATTCTGGGTCTATATGTCTGGGGAACAGGGCATCAAACAGGGGAAAAAAATCATAAAATCATAAAGACAGAGAGGATCCCAAAAACTCAACTCATTCTTTCCCCTGGCTACAGAAAGAACTGCACTTAATCCACATGGAATGCGTTCTCTTTCAATGAAGAATCAAGTTCTTGCCCCTAAAAGTGACTCTCACGTCACATCTCCTGGTGCTGGAATTTGAGCTTATGTCCCTTTACCCCTTGCCCAACCCCTCCTCACCGAAGTGAAGACCTCAGTGGTCTGCTGGATGGTAGCAATCTTCTTCCAGCCCCACTTTTCAAAGAGTTTCACGCGGGTAGGGTTGTGGAGTGTGGCTGATGGGTGCGTTCGGAAGAAAGTGGGGAAACGCTGCCGGTTTGACAGGGCTGGTGAGCTGGAGCCATAGGAAAGCTGTGGGGCAGGGAGAGTGAGTGCAACAGGGTCTGTTCACTGAGGACACCAAGAGTGGCCAAGAGTTCCTTTAACCCTCTTCCTGCCTTTGGGTTTCTCTTCCTTACTCTCTCCAAACCTCCCCACCTCTGGTCTGCCTAAGGAAAAGAGATTCTCAAAGGCCCACACACCCCTCACAACCGGGATGCTCTTTCACTGATCTAATTTCAATTCCTTCTGAAGAAGGAGGTCAGCTGCAGCACTGTCAGGCCACTGTTGCTAGGAGGCTGCCTAGCTCAGGTCTGCAGAGGACTCTGAATCTTAGTAGCAGGTCCTCCACACTCCTTTTCAATACAAACCCACAATCGCCATCGTCCCTTCAGTAGAGCTCAAAAGGGAATGACCCCATCTTCTGACCCCCATAGCCCTGCTTACCACAATGAGGTTCCACATCCTAGCAGCCTCAGCCACCAGCGTGGAGACAGAGCTGCAGCCAGGCATAAGGATGATCTTGATAGGGTCGTTGTAGAGCAGCTCATATAGGTACTTGGTGGCTTGGCCTGGATCACACTGAAAGACAAGAGGAGATGAGGGCAAGCTCTCCTGGGGCCCCTCCCCTGTCTGCAATTCCTGCTCTTATCTTTCTCGAACAAATTAGTTCCTTTCTCAATTACTCACTTTCATCATTAATTACCGTTTTCTTCTCCTTTCTGGCATCTCTTCCTGTCAAGTGCCTTTTTTCTCCTCTTTCATTAAACTTCCTTCTCTGTCTTCCATCTGGAGCCTTACCCATCACCTCTCCTGCACACCCCTCCTTTGGTATTAATGAACATACCACCTTACCTCCTTTCAGCTCACCCTCAGACATCCCCCTTCCCTCTGTCACCAAGCCCTTTACCCCATGTTTCTATGCTTCAAACACCAGTGGGTGGAAGAAGTCAGTAGGAATACGGTAAACTCTTTCCACATCCCCAGATAGCTTGCTCAAAGCCATATTATGAAAATTCCTTCCTCACCTCTGCAAACCCCTTCTCCCCACCTTCCATTTGTTTCCTCCCTCTTCTCTTTTCAGAGCTAGTGATAAGTAAAGAGAGAACAGGAACAAGACCAGTAGGGGGTCCCGCTCAGTGATCCATCCCTCCTGCTGGGCGCTGACATTTGACAGGTCCATTAGAAAAAAAGACACTGGGGGGTGGAAGTAGGGAAGAATGTAGGATGAGGAAAGAACAGAGAGAATGAATAGAATGGAACTCTCAAGAAACCAGACAATTTGAGAGGTGCCTTAAAGAGAGGCTTGGAGCTAGGGAAAGTAAACAAGCAGAAAGCTGGAGAAGAAAGGAAGCTTGGGAGGAGGGGAAATGGGGGAGGAAGAGCCAGCCTTGGGTCTCCCACTGCCTGTTCCCCTCCCACTGATATATGACATTTCAGAAGCTGCTGGAACCCCAATGCATGTGAAGACGAAATGGCAGCCAGTGGGGAGCCAGGGCAGAGGGGACACAGACAGGGGGCTCAGGGGACTAAGGAGGGTGAAATGTTGCCAGGAGGGGAGGATAAGTAGAAAGGAAATAAAGAAAGCACTCTGGAGCCTGCTTACCTCCCACTGAGGCCTGACATTTGGGACACGGTGGGAAGTTGGAGAAGGGGGAGCCAGGGGAAGCTGTTGGAATCTGAAGAACCAGCAGTCACTGAGAATTCTCTGTTGCCCACCCTACCCTCACTCTGGCCAAGGGCAGTGCTCAACAACATTGGAAGGTTTTCTCTTTATGCCTCCCACTAGGGCAACTTTGTAAATCTTTACCATTCTCAGGACCCACCTTCCTGCACTCTCCCCACATCTATTACTCCAGATCCTGCTCCCAGCTTCTCCCACAGCCCCTCAGTGCCCCTCCACTTCTCTAAAGACAGGGTTAATAGGAACAATGAGGACATACAAGAACATATAAGATACATATCAACAGGGCAAGGCATGCCCCCCATTTTGTTTCCTGATTTCTTATCTACCTTTTCTTGCAACCGTTTCCCTCTTCCACACACTATTCATCACTGCAGATTCTCTCCACCACGTGATTCTCTCCCCCTCCCCAATAGATTTCCTTAGTTCTCCTCCCTCTCTTTGCTCTTGCAAGGATCTGGATTTGCAGGCAGGAAACCGACTCATTCCAATTGACACATTCTGGTTCTTCTGCCTTCCCATCCCACCCCGCTTGATGCCTCTGATGTTCTCCAGTTCCCTTCTCCCAGGTCCCACGTCTGCTCCCCGCCACCTCCAGGGAATCACCTGTCATGGTGGATGAGTTTGAGCTCACAGCCAGGCCTCCCCTATCTCCTGTGATCCCCTATCATAAAGCCTGCACCCATCTCTCCCTGTCATTTTCTTCACACTCCACTCCCCAAAACCAATGATCTCTCTGACTGTCCCAAGTCTGACCCTCTACCAGATCTGATCCTCTACTTCTCTTCCTGCCTCCCGTACCCTAATACCTAATTATTTTCCTGTACCCTGCTGCTCTTCCCATAGGCATTCTGGGGTTAGCTTACAGCTCAGGAATCCACCAAGATAGGATGTCTATTAGTAAAAATACAGATAAATACTTGGGATTCATCCCTGACCAAGGAGCTAGAATCTGTATTTTTAACAAACTCCTCTGGTGATTCTTATGTACACTGAAGGCTGAGAACCACGAGAAAGTAACAGTCAAAAAGGATTTTAAGTTCTCTTGCCAAGCTCCTGATAATCCTTGTGCTCTCTTCTCTTCAAGCACCCTACCTTCAACCTCACTTCTGTCCCCTCACACACCTATCCCAGACACACACCTATTTCTAGGTGTATAGTGATGTTCTAAAAATGAATATAAATCCTTGGATCACCCCAAGGTTGATATTTGGTAAGATCACCAAATTCTCACCTTGTGTACTCTATTTCACCCTAACCCAATTCCTTAAGTCTCTGGGGCCACATGTCAGTGAAGATAAATTTGAGATCTTAAATCTCCTTCCCTGTGTCACATCCTTCCCTGCACCCCCAATTATTCATGTAGGGGAGAGGGGTGGGAAAAAAAACCTCATTATAAGCTATCCCCTAATACCCCTGGACCCAAATTTGCTTACCTTCTCTCTCTCCCTCAACTCACCTCCCTAATCCCTACATCCCATTTCCCTTCTCACATCCTAGAGGCCACAATGCTATAAGGGAAGGGAAGGTCAGGACCCAAGTTCCATAAGGTGCCCCAAGATCTCTCATTATCCCCACGCTACCTCCTTGCCCCTCTCCCCCACTGCCATTCTTTTCTGTTCTCTTCTCCTTGTATGTTGACTCTTCTTCATCCCCATGCTATTGTGGGGGTTCCCATGTGGATCCCCAATCCAATTCATTTTCCCAGTGCCTCTGCCCACCTCTTGATCATTAGCCTTCCCCAATCACCATATGCCATCTATCCCACAGTCTGGGAATGCTCAACAGGGTTGGGAATAGAAGGATGAGAAGGAGTCAGGTAGGGCTCACCACTACCTTGCTGTTTTGTTAAGATAAATAAACTAGAGCTCTCAAGTCTCTCAAAATTTTCCTCATTCTGTCCCTATTCCTTCCAGCTCCAACCTACGCCAAGATTTTACCTTGTTACCATGGTAAATGTAAACCCCCAATCCAGCTCCCCACCTCTGACATTCCCTCCACCCCCAACCCATTCCAGGGTTAGTTTACTCCCTCAGAGGATCAGTGTCTCCTAATACCTTAAATCCACCACCAGTTTCTCCAAACCCCGACACTTCTGCGAGACTCCCGCAGCGGGGCAGAAGGGTCTGCCTTGCAGCATGCTTAACCATCTTGAGCCCCTAGACCCTCATCTTGGACCTCCAGCCCCTGCGACTCTCCCCAAGCTCCTGCACCCCCAGCCCATCTCCTGCCAGTCACACAAGGGAGGGGTCTGCCTCGCAATCCCAGAGACGACTCAGACAGATGGGGGCGCGTGCAGCTGGCTGGCCCCCTGCCCCGCAAGCCCCCACCTCCCACCCACCCCCATGTCCAGGGCTACCTTGCTGTCGTGGTGGATGAGCTTGAGCTCATAGTCCGGCAGGATGTCCCTGCGGCTATTCACGTCCTCCAGCGCCATCTCCACCGCGGGCTGGCAGGCCTGGCCCCCTGGCCAGCCCCCGCTCATGGGAAACAGTGCCCCGATGTACACTGCGCGCCGTTCTGAGGAGGGGTGCGGGGGGACCCGCGAGTGAGGCCGCGGGAGATGGGGGGAGTGGGAGGCCCACACCGGAGCCACCCCTGCCGCCATCACAACCAGAAGCGGCAGTGGCCACCCCACCCGGGCAAAAGGGGCCCCGGGCCCCATGGCGTGGGGGGCAGGGGTAGCTGTTGGGGAGCGTTAGGAGCTCAGGGGGGACACTTTTCCTGGGGAGGGCTGCTAAGAGGGTGCCGGGGAGGCGCCTCCATCCCTGATTTTGTGGGGAGGAGGGGGCGAGGGCCCCGGAGAAGCAGGGAAGGTTGGCTTCCTACGGCCCCCGCGGCTCTCGCCACCGTCGCCGCCACCGCGGACTCTCCTCGCGGACTGACTGACCGACGGAGGGGAGGAGGAGGAGCAGGAGGGAGATGTGGGGCTGGGAGGGGGCTCTGACGTCACGGGCGGCGCGCGGCAGCGGGGGGTGGGGGGGCGGGCGGGAGCTGGGGAGGCAGGAAGGGGGCGGGGAGGGAAGCGAGCGCCGAGGTGGGAGCGACAGTCGGAGGGGCGGGGAGGGGAGGGGGGATGCAACCTCGAGGAGGAAAGGAACGAAAGAGGAAGGGAGGGATCTCACTTAAGGGGACCCGAGGGGAGGAGAAATGGGGACGGGGCGTGCCAGGAGGGCGGGGTGGGCGGAGGGAGCCGCGGGAGGCTGAAGCACGGAGGAACCAGGGTAGGAAGGGAAGGATGCGAGTGGGACGGGAGAGAAACGGGGCTGGCGCCTGAGGTCTGAAGTGGGAGTATGAGTCGATACAGTGAAGCACTGAGGATGTGGGGGAGAGGAAACGGTTTTGGAGGGAACGAGTTGGGTACGGAAGGGAGGCTGGTTTGAGGGAGTGGTGGGGTCGTGGAAGGGAGCCTGGGGCTGGGTAGACAGAAGCCTAAGAAAGGGAGACAGGACATGGAATTGAGAAAAGACGAGGGAAGGGGTACACGGAAGGAAAAGATGTGGGGAAGAGCGCGAGAGGCCTGGCCAGGGTTGGGATGGGTGGGACAGGCTGAGAAAGTCCATTAGGTGAAATCCTAGGAGGCAGCAGGCTGGAAAAGGTTCCAGCGAAGGTCGCAAGGAACCCCACAGGGGAAAACGTGGTGGGAGCTCAGGGTCTCCCAGCACCCTGCCGCCCTCTGCTGGGCTCTGCCTGACACCGGCGAGGCTCAGTCTGGGAGGAGGTGGAGCCCAGGGAAGTGTAGCCAAGCAGGGACAAGGAGAGACCGCAGCCTCGTGGAAAACCGGGACTGGAGGCAGGAAACAGGTAGGGAGGGAAGGGGGTGGCCGCAAACTGGGGTGGGTTGGGGAAGGTGCGAAAGGACGACGCCCCGTAGCCTAAGGGCAGAATTTCAGGGGGGTGGAGGGTGCAGAGTGAAGGGGAGGGCATTGCAGTGCGCGCGGTAAGGGTTTCTCATCTCACCTGAGTGTGGCGTTCGATTCACTGGCAGCAGGAAAGACGGGGATCAGAGAAGAGTTACCACTGGCGCCCAGCTTCCCTGGCCTGATCCCCAGCCCCCTCCCACACCTGTCCATGCTGAAGACCGGGGAGAGCAGAAGCCTGCGTTTCTGAGGGGAGGGTGCCTGGGGATAAGAACAAGGTGGGTCTGGGGGTAAGGGGGTCAGGACTTATTTTCTTCTTCGATTTTTCATAGGACAACAGAATTTGAGACGGGAATGCCAATAGCTAAGTTTGGGGCAGATCTTGGTTCTGTGGTGCCTGAATATTACAAAATTGGGAGTCTTTAAGAAAAAAAATTACACATACAATTGGCTTTAAGCAATTGCTGTTAAAATCTTATTTCTGCAATTTTTACAAAAGCCTGTTACCATATGAACACATATCCATCGAGCCCTCTATATTATTAGAGCACAGGAAGAGGGCCCTGTAGGTGAGGAACCTTGAAGTCTAAGTTTCAGTAGTGTCATAAGTCCACCCCTGGATGGGACTCTCAATTTCCAGAATAAAATGGTAAACTAGAAGCAGAATAACTGAGTTATGTGAGGAAAGTAAAGCCCAAGGATCTTGAAAGAATCTACCAGGGTAGAGGAAGTATGAGGCATACAAATGGGATGACTGCATCCCAGGAGAGAAGATGGCAGAGAGTTCGGGTGCCTAGAAAAGGGAGAGTTTGTAAAATTACGTGGCAAAAAAAAAAAAAAAAAAGTAGACAGACACAACACTGATTCCCTTAGGGAATAATGGAGGTTGTCTAGGAAGTACAGAAAAGGACCTGTCTTCTTCCCACCCCATCCCTGAGTTGTTCTTCATCTTCTGATAATGCTGCCTCCAATTTTAAGTCTTTTACCCTAATATGTTTCCACCCCCAGAGCTCCCCTTCTCAATTTTTCTTAGTAGAATGTTTGATTTATTTCTGAGTCTTTACAATAAATCAATTATATAAGGAATGGTGAGGGATGAATTCTAGAAGAGGGTGATGCATGGAAATTTCTAAGTTTAGAGAAAGGGAAAATTGGAGTATTTAAACCTGAAGAAGGTGAGAGAGGTGAGATTCATAAAGGAAAAGAGAAAACGTGAGGTCTAAGAATCGGGAGCAGGAAGATTTTTTTAAAAGGTAAAGGAAGGAAGCCCCCAACCTACAGAGGATACCGGGGACTGCAAGAGGAAGTTTGAGGCAGGTGATGGAGGAAAAAGGGACTTTCATCTCCCCTTTCCAGTGTCCTCCCCCACATTTTTATAGCTCTCCATTCTTTCCCATTATCCATTCCCACCCCACTCCCATCCTCACACAAGCGTCCTCATCAGCTGCATGCAGGCAGCTGTTCCCCTCACCCTGGCAGTGGGGCTTGGGGGTGCTCCACTGGCCCTGACTACAGATGCTCCGGGAGCTGCCCACCAGATGGAAGTCGGGGTCACACCGGAAATCCACCCGGGCTCCGTCCAGAGCTGGGAGGTCCCCACCCGTCAGGAAAACCTTCCCATTTTCCAGGGTCAAATAAGACTTGGAGCAGATTCGGACTGTGGAGAGATAGGAAAATAAGAAGAGAGGCGAGTTGAAGAAGGCTCTTTCCCTTTAAAGAGCAGGGGACTCAGGTGCAGGTTTGGGTCCACAAGCATCCTGCTCTAAAGAAAATCACATGTGAAAAGGATTTGCCTACCTATCTTCCAATCCTCCCTTACCTGTGCAAGCATCCACACATTCCCAAAAGAAAAAAAAAATTACCATTTTAGGAACCCAAGATGGGGCTATAAGCACACAAAATGGGATCTCTTCAAAGTCAGCTACAGTGGGCGGTTCTCTGGCTTTGAAATATGTAGATGTATATAACTTTGGATGCACAATCAGATTTGCTTTTCTTATTATAGTTGGCTTCTATTAATATTAAACTGGCTTTTGTTTCTTGGGCATATGGTCTCTGGGTTGGTGACAGAGGTATTCAAAAATGTGATGAAATCATTTTAGAATTTTTTTGTCATCATCTGCCACTAATGATCCTCAAAGAGAATAACTGACAAGATGAATTATCAATGTTATAGGCCAATGATCAGTGGCCTAATGAAGGGAGGATGAAATGAACTGTGCAGGCTGCTAGCTCTACTACCTCCAACCGCACAGAGCAAAATTGCTCTTATGTAGTAGTCATTCAATAAATGTATTTGTGAATTTTGGTATACTGGATTTAAAGTGCTGACTTGCAAGCAGTAATGCTAAGTTTGCGGCAGGAAAAGGAATAGTCTTGAAGAGGGGAGGGGCTTCCGAGGCTACTCACCACAGCGGCTGGGTGTGTCCATATCTGTCCAGGAGCCGTTGGCCAGGCACTTGCGGACCTTGGGCCCCACCACCTCGCGCTCCCCCCGGCACACATACTCAATCTCATAGTCCACTGGCAGGAAGTTGATAGCCTTCACCTGGTCCCGAGTCAGGCCCCGGTACCTGATGCCCCCTTCCCAGGGCGGGTGTATGATCTGGCAACCTAAGGGGTGAGTCGGGGAGGCATACAGAGAGGAATGGTGGGAAAGAGGAAAAGGCAGGCTCCCCAGTGGGAGGAAGGGGAGAGTAGGGCGTGGTCTGTGGGCAGGCTGGGGACAGAGGAAGAGGGATGGGGCACTAGAGGGTGGGAGTGGGGACAGGTACAGATCCCCTGGCTAAAGGACAGAGAGTAAAGGGCCAGGGTTAAAGCTGATGAGAGAACCCACAAGTGGGGAGGGAAGGGTGCTGGGTGGAGGTAAGAAAGAAAAGTAATTAAGAAATCATGAAGGGTATGATATGTGGGTGGAGCTTTTCTTTAAAAAAAAGGCTAAATGAGGATATTCGAGTTGAATTAGGATAGGAGGATAAAGGGAGGCTAATAAGATCATCTGGACAGCAAAGTGGGACCAAGAAAAGGGAGTAATTGAGGTAGTAATGTGGGGCTGGGAAAGGGGATTGAGGCGGAGAAAATGCACAGGAAGGTGGTATAGTGTAGCAATGTGGGCAGAGAAAAGAGGTGCTGGATAGTAACGTGGGGTGACAGAAGGAGGTCAGCAGTAGTAAAGTCGGGCCGAGCAGAAGGGGTTGCCAGACCGGGATGATATGTGGGACTGATGGGATAGTGATGAGGACCAGAAATGAGGAGATGCAGGGAAAGGGAAGTGGAGCGAAGGAGGGCCGGAGGTCGTCGAAGAAGGATGCACCTTCTGAGGTGGCGTTGGGGGTCTGCGCCCCGCCCGCGCCCGGGGGGCGGAGGAAGAGTGGCGCCAGTAGCAGCAGCAGCAACATCTAAGTGAGAGGCGGCCATGAGGACTGGACCGAGCCCCGCCGGCGCGGCCCGCACCCGGAGACTACTCGACCTCTTGCCGGTTGCCTCGCAGGCTCCGACCGGGCTCAGCCTGGGGACCAAGAGAGCGCCCCGCGGAGGAGGCGGGGGCGGAGCCCCGCGCGGGGTGGGGGGAGAGGAGGAGAGAAAGCCTGTCCCCACCCTCCTCCTGCCTCCCTCGGCCCCCAACCCTCCCGGGACTCCACCTCTCACCACCTCCTCTCCCCCGGCCCCCGCGGCTCGCAGAAGCCTGGCTTACCCACGCTCCCGGCATCGGCCGCCTCAGCGCTCCCCGATTCCATCCCCGCGGTTCCTCCTCTCCCCCAGCCCCGCTTCCCCCAGCTGGGCCCTGCGCCCACTGCCCCCTCCCCCACCACGCCGCGCGCCCCCTCTCCGAGCCCTGCTAACCCGGGGCCCTGGCTCTTACCTCGGCGCGCGGGCCCGGCTCCCCGGCTCTCCCCGGGCCTCAAGGCCCCAGGCCCGGCCGCTCCTCCCCGCTCCCCCCTCCCTTCTCCTCCACCTTTCTCCTCCTCCCGTCCCTCCTCCCCTCGAATCCAGGCTCCAGCCTGGCCAGGGTCTCTCCCCTCCTCTCTCGCTTCCCCCAAACCCCACCCCTGTCTCTTCTTCCCCGGGGCGGCGGCAGCCACGGGAGCGGGGAGCGGGGAGCCGGGAGGGAAGGAGGCGGCGCCGGGGACCAGGGAGAGCTCCCGGGCGGAGGGAAGAAGGAGGGTGCAAGGGAAGGCAGGGCGGGGGGAAGAGAGGGGAAGACCGGGGAGAGGGCGCCTCCCACAACCCGAGCCCCGGGAGCCGCCCCGGATCCCAGCCCCGCCCTGGACCGCCCACAGCGCGGTGGGGCGGGCGGTGGAGAGGCGCGGGGCTGAGAGGTGGGGGAGAGGGAGGTGCCCTGGTGCACACGCACTCGTCGGGGGGCGCCGGTCACTGCCGAGGGACCTGCGGGCCAAACAACTGGAAGCTGGGGTGGGGGAGAGGGAACCCGAGCCAAAGGCAGAGGAGCTGGCGCTGAGACAGGGAGTCTGGGATGAAGGTGGAGAAAGACGGCTGCACAAAGAGAAGGCAGCCCTAGATCCGGGTGAGAGGAGAGAGGCAGAGGCAGATGCCCAGGAGAACTGCGACCGGAGGGCGAGAAAGAAGCCTGGGTCAGAAGGAGGTGGGGGAGGGGGACTGAGGACCACCTAAGCGCAAGAAGGGTTGGGTGTAGAAGAGATTTCTGGGAGACTAGAGCAGCTCCATGGTCCAGCAGCATTGCTACTCGCCTGCTCTGCAGGGAACGCGCAGAACGGATTGGAGGCAAAAAACAAAACAGGGAGGGGGACATCAAGGAGAGAAATTGAAGTACGAAGGGAGTAAAAGGACAAGAGAAAAGAACCTCAGGGTGGTTTAGAAGCCAGTATTACCTGATGTACTCCAGCAGAGCCTAGCAAACAGTATTTCTTGACCAAGGGCAAACTGGAAGCTCTAAAGACAGCAGGTACAGACCTTTTTGACGGCTCCAGAAGCTCTTGGCTATACCTTGAAGTGGAGGGGGGTGTGTGTGTGTGTGTGTGTGTGTGTGTGTGTGTGTGTGTGTTGTGCTGTTGTTGTTCGTAGGCCTGAGTTTGGGCTGGGAGAGGAAACAGTGGGCTCCTTGTTGGGGGGGACAAAAAAAAAGCTGCTTTCTGGCTGGTCCTAGGGGGAAAAATGGTAGGAAGAAACCAAACACTGAGAGACTGACTAGAATTGAGATTCTCAACCTCCAACCCTTTTTTACAATAAATATTTTGTAATGACACTTTTACTGTCCTAAATTGAGATTCATAGATGAGGCTCACGCCTGAAATCCCAGAACTTTGGGAGGCCGAGGCGGACTGATCACTTGAGCTCAGGAGTTTGAGACCAGCCTGGCCTGGCCAGCATGGCGAAACCCCATCTCTACTAAAAATAGAAAAATTAGCGTGGTGTGATGGTGTGCGCCTGTAATCCCAGCTGAGACACCAGAATCGCTTGAACCCGGGAGGCAGAGGTTGCAGTGAGCCAAGATCGCACCACTGCACTCCAGCCTGGGTGACAGAGCAAGACTCCATCTCAAACAAAAAGAAAGGGAAGGAGGGAGAGAAAGTCATAGATGATATAACCTACCTACATACACAACTTTAAACAGAAAGCAAAATGCTTCCCTTTCTGTAACGTAAAGGGGAAATGAAAGAAAAGTAACTTGCAATAAAATAACATAAACAGTATTTTAATGTGTGAGTGCCAAGGCCCGACTACCCTAGAAGTCCTGATGGAGTAAGCAGATGCTTCCACCTATTCACAGAACCACGGGGATGAAACTGCTACCAACACAGGCTGATCCAGGTGCTGAGTTGGTGACTCAACTACCTCCAGCATGTTGCCATCAATGAAGTGATTTAACAAAATGTTGAACAACTCTTGGTAGCAAAGTTAATTTTCCCTAATTTTACACACAACTATAATTGCATTCCTAGAAAGTTCACTGTATATTTAAAAAAAAATTTTAAAACTGTATTAAGTTATAGGCTCAGATAATTAAACACAGGTTTTCACTACGTGAATGTCCTGGGGGACTTTTGAGAATCTGGGTGAGGAACAATTCTTCAACATGTAGGTAGTGCTTTGAAGAATATCTTACACCTCTGCCCCAACCATAAATGTCAATAGTGCCCCTTCCCTTATCACCTGAGGTTGGGAGTTCGAGACCAGCCTGACCAGTGTGGAGAAGCCCCAACTCTACTAAAAATACAAAATTAGCCAGGCATGGTGGTGCATGCCCGTAATCCTAGCTACTCAGGAGGCTGAGGCAGGAGAATCACTTGAACCCGGGAGGCGGAGGTTGCAGTGAGCCAAGATCATGCCATGCCATTGCACTTCAGCCTGGGTGACAAGAGTCAAACTCAGTCAAAAAAAAAAAAAAAAAAAAAAAACAGCTAAAAGATGCATCAAAATGTTAACAAGGATTGCCTCTGGGCCATTAATTGTTGCATAACTTTTCTTTTTTACTTTTTTTTTTTTTAAACAAGAAGTTTATTTAAACAACAAGACGCTTGACTTGAAGGGAAAACTATCTAGGATTCTTTTTTGTTTTAGAGTAATTTATCCCTACTTAAAGACAGATTGCTCTGCATGTAACAGCTAAGTACAAAAAAGTTATAAAATTGTCCTTGGTTTTACAATGATAAATGAAAAACATTAAAATTCTCCAATTGAACAAGGTATGCAAGGATTTTTATGTTGTTGTTTTTTTGTTGTTGTTGTTAAAACAGTGAGAGCAAAATAACTTACTGGAATATAAAGATAAGAGCTGAATGAGCATGCCACTAATGGAGAAAGGGGGTATTTTCACAGAATCAGTATTTTCCCCCCCGTCTCCACTTGATGTCAATCAAAACATACCATTGGCTGTTTAGTTTTAAAAAAAAAAAGTAATATGCTTGTGCACATATACCAGTTACTTTATGTACAGTAAAGGAATGGGGAAGGGGGAAATGAAAGAATAGAGAAAACTATACGGTAGTAGTCAGGATGTGGTGGAAGCAAATTGCAGTTTTCTAATTGAGAATGTAATCTTGGTCTTTAAAGAACAGAGTTCTGGAGTAAAGAAGCAGGTTCCCTTTTCAGTAGACACCTCCCGTCTGCTGTTGGAACACATCAATTGTATCTTCATCCTCCATTTCCAACTGTGCAGGTGTGTCTGTTTCATTGGTTGCCCGTCGAATCGGAATCTGATCTGCCTCATTGACAATCCCTGTCGTTCACAATAGGCTTTCATTAGTTTACTAAGTGGTGTATGCCTCTTAATCTTAAACTGCACCACAGAACCATCCTGCCCCGCCACCTTCAAATTAATATGATCGTTGTTCTCAGTCTTGACTCCTTCCTTGGGCTTTTCTTCGGCCATGGCAAGCGCCGGAGTCTCCTCAGCTGCCGCTTCACAAAAGAGGTACCAGGTCCGCTCCAAACGAGCACACAAGCAGCACCAGGAGCGGCAGAAGAAGGAGGCGGCAGCAGTGGACAAGGGGAGAGGGTGCGCGCACGTCGTGCTCTCCCTCCCTCCACCCTCACTTTTCTTTTTTTTTCTTTCTTTTTTTTGGTGGGGGGACGGAGTTTCACTCTTGTCACCCAGGCTGGAGTGCAATGGCGTGATCTCGACTGACGGCGACTTCCGCCTCCCGGATTCAAGCGATTCTCCTGTCTCAGCCTCCCGAGTAGCTGAGACTACAGGTGCACACCACCATGGCTGGCTAAATTTTGTATTTTTAGTAGAGACAGGGTTTCACAATATTGGTCAGGCTGGTCTCGAACTCCTGACCTCAGGTGATCCACCTGCCTCAGCCTCCCAAAGTGCTGGGATTACAGGCATAAGCCACTGTGCGGGGCCTGCACACTTTTCTTTCGTCATATTTGTTGTTCAACTTTTATTCAAATGTTTTACAAGTGTCTCCTCTATAAATCATTTTTAATTGATTTATAAAGGTTTAAAGAAAACCTTCCTAGCAAGTTGCATCAGTATAGCTAAAATCTGTTACTTGTTTGGGAGGCAGAGGCATTTGAGGGTACAGACAAGGGCTCCAATTATGTTCATTATACAAACCACTCACCTTTTTCCACCAGTAGCTACAACTTCCCCCTTTCACATCTTTTCATATTCCAATGTCACTGCCAGGATTCCTGGCCATATTTTTCAGGATATTTGTAGAGGTCCTTCCAGAACCACTACTTGAGTATCCTAATTTCATCCTCCCCACAATCAATCTACTTCCTTCTTTTCCTTTTACATCAAGCACAAAACTTCTTTCCTCTGGAAGGATCCCCAGGCTTGATCCCATCCTTCTCTCACTTCTGTACAATTTGTGCCTTTGGCAATGCCATCTCCTTTTGTAGTTTTTGACGGTTTTTCATAGAGATAGTGGAGTTCCTACTCAGATTACTGGAAAATGACAAATCTTATTCATTTTAGTTCCCATACTTTCTTTTTTTTTAATAATTTTTATTTTTTATTCTTATTTATTTATTTTTATTTTATTTATTTATTTATTTTTTGAGACAGTCTCACACTGTCGCCCGGGCTGGAGTGCAGTGGCGCGATCTCGCTCACTGCAACCTCTGCCTCCTGGGTTCAAGCAATTCTCTTGCCTCAGCCTCCTGAGTAGCTGGGAATTACCGGTGCCCCACCACCACGCCCAGCTAATTTTTTGTATTTTTAGTAGAGACGGGGTTTCACCATGTTGGCCAGGCTGGTCTCAAACTCCTGACCTCATGATCTGCCTGCCTCAGCCTCCCAAAGTGCTGGGATTACAGGCATGAGCCACGGGGCCTGGCCTCCCATACTTTCTTTCTACTTCCTTTTCTCTCTTCTGCCTCATCTTCCATCCATCCCTGAGAGCATATAGCCCAGAATTTAACACTCTGGGAGCCCTGAAAACATATTAACCAACGTAGTTCACTTGATTGATGATCAGGTAGATGCTAGGTACATTTTGGGAGTATCTCATTAAATTCTCACCTAACCACACAGAGTGGATATTCATGTTCTATACTGAGCCTAGTAAACTACCATTTAAAGAAAGTAAGAAGCAAATCAGAGGTCACACAGCTATAAAGCTGACAGAGCCAACATTTGAACTTAAGTTCGTTACCCTATTTTCAAATTCTTTCTACTGCATTGAGAGGCTTAGTTTTGAGGCACTTCTCTCACCCAACTCCCACTCCAAGTCTTTTTCTTTCTTTCTTTCTTTCTTTTTTTTATTGAGACGGAGTCTTGTTCTTTTGCCCAGGCTGGAGTGCAGTGGCACAATCTCGGCTCACTGCAACCTCCGCCTCCCGGGTTCACACCATTCTCCTGCCTCAGCCTCCCGAGTAGCTGGGACTACAGGCGCCCGCCACCATGCCCGGCTAATTTTTTTGTATTTTTAGTAGAGTCGGGGTTTCACTGTGTTAGCCAGGATGGTCTCGATCTCCTGACCTCGTAATCCGCCCACCTCGGCCTCCCACAGTGCTGGGATGACAGGTGTGAGCCACCACACCCGGCTCCAAGGCATTTTCTGTCAAGGGTCAAACTGCAGTTCTATTCTCTCATCTAAAGTAGTGGTGATCACTGGGTGAATGGAAGATGTTCATGTCCTCTTGGGTTAGGATGAAAGACCTGTCTTCTGGGAGAGTTTTCTGTCCTGTAACAGCTCTTGCTCTTTAGAAAAATGTATAGGGCAAAGGTTTATTATTCAAACGTGAAGTTATTTACACTCTGGGATTCACTCTGGCTTTTTAGTGAGGTTTTGAATCCTTTGCATCATATTTAATATCACTAAAATAGGATATTTTTGTGAAACTGTTTGATCCTTCCCCTCAGTTTCCATTTGTGTGTTCTCTTTCTTCCCGTCTTGATAGGCACAGGCACTCAGAATCACTGGGCCAGAAAGAAGTAAGAGAGTAGGCCGGGCACGGTGGCTCATGCCTGTAATCCCAGCACTTTGGGAAGCCAAGGCGGGCAGATCACGAGGTTATGAGATCAAGACCATCCTGGCTAACACGGTGAAACACCGTCTCTACTAAAAATACAAAAAAAATAATTAGCCGGGCGTGATGGTGGGCGCCTGTAATCCCAGCTACTTGGGAGGCTGAGGCAGGAGAATGGCGTGACCTGGGAGGCGGAGCTTGCAGTGATCAGAGATCGAGCCACTGCACTCCAGCCTGGGCGACAAAGTGAAACTCCGTCTCAGGAAAAAAAAAAAAAAAAGAGAGAGAGAGTAAGGGAACATCTTTCGTTAATAAACCCTCTCTATTGCTCCCCACACACAATCCTAGTTTGGTTGCTGTCTTCGTCTGTTTGGGCTGCCATAACAAAATCTCTTGCACCGGGTAACTTATGAACAACAGAAATGTATTTCTGACAGTTCTGGAGGCCGGGAAATCCAAGATTAAGGCACTGGCAGATTCAGTGTCTGGTGAGGGCTGGCTTCCTCATAGACTGCCATCTGCCATCTGCGATCTAGCTGTGTCTTCACATGGTGGAAGGGCAAACAAGCTCCCTGGGGCCTCTTTTAGAAGGGCACTAATCTCATTTGCAAAAGTCCCCACCACTTAATACCACATTGCATTGGGGATTAGGTTTCAGAACATGAATTTTGGGGGAACACAAACATTCAGACCATAGCAGTTGTACATTCTTGGCAGTTCTGGCCTTGGTTTATTGTGCCAATAAAAGTAAGCTCATGAAGCTATTTCTATCATGTCTTTACAGGCATGTACAGGTGAGCCCAGTTTGGGAGTCACAAAACTTCAGTGAAATTAAAAAGCCACACTATGAGTACCTGCACTAGCACTTACCACTCTCACACACAAGAATCCCTGAGGCAGTGGGGATCCTACCCCTGTCTCAGGAGTGCACAGAGCCAATAACCAAATTACAACATTGACATTGTGAAGTTGCCTCTAGAAATAATTTCTCAATAAGTACACCTTTATATAATAAGTGAATGAACACAATGTAATTAAATGCTAGATTAACCTAAGAAACAAAAAGGAAAATAGCTTCTTTGTCCGTTCATCTACAGGATAATGAGGTCATGTTAAAAGACTTAGAAAAGGTTCAGTTCTCCTGCCGGGCGCCGTGGCTCATGCCTTTAATCCCAGCACTTTGGGAGGCCTAGGCGGGCGGATCACCTGAGATCAGGAGTTTGAGACCAGCCTAACCAACATGGAGAAACCACCCATCTACTAAAAATACAAAATTAGTCGGCCATGGTGGTGCATGCCTGTAATCCCACCTACTCGGGAGGCTGAGGCAAGAGAATCGCTTGAACCCAGGAGCTGGAGGTTGCAGTGAGCTGAGATTGTGCCATTGCACTCCAGCCTGGGCAACAGGCAAAACTGTCTCCAAAAAAAAAAAAAAAAAGGTTCAGTTCTCATAAACACAAATTTAATGAGCATTTTGAAGATCTCAAAATAAGTATTATATTTAATTAAACATGTGTAATTAAGTATATACTGGTATGAATATCTACAAATAATTATTCATACTAATCTGAAAAACGTATGCATCATAATGTGTGTATATAATTGGTTGCTAGGGGATTTGTTTGTTCATTTTGCTGCAATAGATTTCTGTCTCTCGTCATATTCTGTTCAAGTACCTAAAATGATTGCTCACTTATTCGAAGCACACTAATGAAATAATACTCAGAGTAAAAGGATATATCACCCAGATTTTTCTATTAGAAGCTACACAATACTCAAAAATCTATCATTTAATATGTGTATGCAGGTCTAAAGCCCATAATAAGCAAAAATATATTTTCACGTTAAATGTATGGCTATTTACACTAGATGAGGTAAAGAAAGATTATAAATAGCTTCACATCTCGTTTTGTCACAGAATGAATGCAAGTCAGGCCAGGCTTTGCCGCCAAATGAGTTACAAAATTTTGGTTTTCAGAGTATTGTGAATTTTGGAATTGCAGAAAAGGATATGTGAAACTGTTTATAAACATGAGAAGATGTTTACAGATAGATGTTTTAGAAGTCAAATGAACAAATCTGAAGCAACAGACTAGAAATTCTATTCATGGAAATATGATAAAAATGCCAGTAAGAGGGCTGGGCGTGGTGGCTCACACCTATAATCCTAGCACTTTGGGAGGCCGAGGCGGGTGGGTCGCTTGAACTGGAGTCCGAGACCAGCCTGGGCAACATGGCGAAACCCCATCTCTACCAAAAATACAAAACCCCGTCTCTACCAAAAATACAAAAAATCAGTTGGGCATGGTGGCAGGTGCCTGTAATCCCAGCTACGGGGGAGGCTGAGGAAGGAGAATTGCTTGAACCTGGAAGGCAGAGGTTGCAGTGAGCTGAGATCACACCACTGCGTTCCAGCCTGGGCGACAGAGCAAGACTCCATCTCAAAATAAAATAAAATAAAATAAAATAAATTTTAAAATGCCAGTAAGGATCTCCATAAAGGCTATGTATGAAAACCTGACCATGTCACATCCATGACCCTATTACAGCAGGTCAGATTAATCTTACCCTAGTCCAGAGAACCACGGGAACCACTGAGTCCTAGTGGAGGGAAAGCCTGGAACAGATGTGAAGCAAGCTTGGCTTTTAGCAATTGAGAGTAAACAAACACCTGCTGAGTTTACTCTTCCTTGCCTGTCTTTCTAAGCCATCACTCTGAAGACCTAAAAAGCAGACATGACTCATACACACCTTCAGATGCTTTCAGTATTTGTTACACCTAGATCTGTGCAGAAACTGAATACCTTATTGGTGCATAATTTACAAAGAATTCTCACATTAGCTCTTCTAATTCTTTCTGTTGTTTCTATATGATAATATCTCCATTTGTCAGATAGGAAAACTGAAGCTCAGAAAGTTTGAATGAACTTCATAAGATCACACAGCCAATAAATACCAGAGCTTGGCCTCAAAGTCAAGTCTCAGGTCCTTCTGCCCTTCACTAACAGTGCTCCAGCCATGGTCGTCTGACTGCTGTTCTTTAAACTTCCTTAACTTTCAACTCAGAAACCAAACACACCCAGCTCCCTCTGCCTGGGCGTGGTGCTCTGTTCAGCCTCCTCACCCCACACCCATGTTGCTAACAGCTTAAATGGCACCTCCTCAGTAAAGCCTCCCCTGAATTCCCCAGACTTAGAACACTGTTTCCCCAATCCCACTAGCCACTCTCATATATGGCATACTGTAGTCATTGTTTTGTTTGTTTGTTTTTTAGAAAGAAAGAGAGAGAGAAAGAAAAGAAGAAACGAAAGAAAAGAAAAAAAGAAAAGAAAAGAAAATCAAAATCCATGTGGGTGTGGTGGCTCATGCCTGTAATCCCAGCACTTTGGGAGGCCGAGGCAGGCAGATAGCTGAGGTCAGGAGTTCCAGACCAGCCTGACCAATATGGTGAAACCCCGTCTCTACTAAAAATACAAAAATTAGCTGGGGGTGGTGGTGCATGCTAAAGGGAAGGGAAGGGGAAGGGGAAGGGAGAGAGGAAGGAAGGGAGGGAGGAAGGAAGGAAGGAACTTATCTCCGTCTGGGTAACATGAGGAGACCCTGTCTCTACCAAAAATTAAAAATATTAGCCGAGTGTGGTGGCATGAGCCTGTAGTCCCAGCTACTTGGGAGGCTGAGGCAGGAGGATCGATTTAGCCTAGGAAGTCAAGGTCAGTAAGCTGCGATCATGCCAATGCACTCCAGCCTGGGTGACAGAGAGAGACTCTGTCTCAAAATAAAAATAAAACCACAAAACTTATCTCAGTGGTAATTAAGGTAACTGTGGAATCGTGTATTTACATTTGCCTTCCTGACCAGACCATAAACTCCAGGAGGGCAGGGATTTTGACTATGTGGCTCATTTTATCCCACTAAAAGAGCTACATATTTTCTGACTCAGAGATGAGTTTCATTCCATTGTACAGAATGATCACACCAGTTTCCAAGTCTATTAATCTAGCGGTCTCTGTTGTTTGTTGAAGACCTACTAGGTATTGGTAAAATGGGTTGCTTTGTTCCATGGGCCATAATAGTGACACATTCTAAACACATTTAAGTCATTCCACCCTATAAGTTACAGGATAATAATAATAATAGCATTTATTTTACTATAACCAGTTTTGGGCTGTGTGTTTTACTTGGATTGTCTCACTTGCTCCTTATAGCATTCTCTGATATAGATATTAGTCTTCCCATTTACAAAATGGGAAAACTGAAACTCAAACATGTTTAATAATCTGCACAGTGTCTCACATGTAACAAGCCAACATGAGATTAGTGATTCCAAAGACCCTGCTCAGCCCAATGACAAGATGTGGAAAGCACCCTCAAGGCACCCAGGGGTCTCTCTCCCTGAGAGTCCTGTGCATATCAGCAATGCTGCTAAGGATTAAATCACTGCGGTTATCACTATGTGGGTAAGATTTCTGTTAGTAGAAGATCCAGAAGATTCACCCTGCCATAGAGCAGGGGGCCTTGGCTGAGCCATAGGCAGAATCACTCTCCAAAAAGACTTACCAGTGTTTATCTGAATATTTTCTTTTAGCAATAACTTTACTTACTTGCGTTATTTGTAGGTGCTGCCATTTTGCTGTCCATGATGCTACTATGCTCAGTACCCTTACTGTACTGCCCAGTAGCCCTTACCATTAGCAAACTAAAGCTTCCTCACCAGCATTAGACCTGGCAAGACCTCTGTGCATCCCCCACCACCCATGAGCATTTTGATAGCATTGCAAGTATAATCTCTGGTGCATGCACAAATTCTGCTCCACATAGCAGCGCTAATGGTGGCCCACATCGGGAATAGGAGTAGAGCAAGATGTTACCAGGAAGAGGGCCTTACTTCTCTTCTCTCTCTTCTCGCTGCTTTTTTGTTTGTTTGTTTGTTTGTTTTGTTTTGTTTTTTAGATGGAGTCTTGCTCCATTGCCCAGGCGAGTGTAGTGGCGCAATCTCAGTTCACTGCAACCTCTGCCTCCCAGGCCTGTCCCAGCCTCCCGAGTAGCTGGGACTACAGATGCCTGCCACCACGCCTGGCTAATTTTTGTGTTTTTAGTAGAGATGGGGATTCACCTTGTTGGTCGGGCTAATCTCAAACTCCTGACCTCAGGTGATTCACACGCCTTGACCTCTCAAAGTGCTGGGATTATAGGCATGAGCCACTACGTTCAGCCATTCGCTGCTCTTAAGAAAGTACTTTTCCAAAGATCATTCTCCTTGGTCTTATCTTAAGATCCTGCTATGAAATAGGGACACGGGTGGAAAATTTTCACCTGTGCCTGCAGCAAACTTTCATTCTGTCTGAATAATTATAAGTAGGATGGGGGAGGGGAGAAGAAAAAGAAAGAGACCATGATCTGAAGAACCTTAACTGTTCCCCTGTTATCCCTGGTTACTGTCAAGCAGCTAGCAGGCTAGGCTAGGTGGGGTATCTTCTTTAACTCTACTCCTGCATTAGCTGTTCTAAATCCTAGAACTCATGCCCTGTTTGAAATTTCTTTCCCTATGCCCAACTCAAGTGATGCCATCCTATTTTCTATTTTCCACCATGGGAAAAATGGAAAATAACAGGAGAAATGTATTAAGAAAGCATTCTTGAATTTGAGTTTGTTAACTTTTTTTTTTTTTTTAACAGTCTTGCTCTGTCACCCAGGCTGGAGTGCAGTGGTGCAAGCTTGGCTCACTGCAATCTCCACCTCCTGGGCTTAAGCAATTCTTGTGCCTCTGCCACCTGAGTAGTTGGGATTATAGGCATGCACCACCACGCCCAGCTAATTTTTGTAATTTTAGTAGAGATGGGGTTTCACCATGTTGGCCAGGCTGGTCTTGAACTCCTGACCTCAAGTGATCCTCCCACCTCGGCCTCCCAAAGTGCTGGGATTACAAGCATAAGCCACCACCCCCGGCCTGAATTTGTTAACTTCTTACCAACATTTTACAAAGAAGATTGAAGGTAATGTGGGTTCTAAGACTGAAGAGTACAAGGTAAGCTGGTGGTTAATGGGGAGGAGGGATGATGGATGAACTGGTCAGGGAAGAGGATGAAATGGCTCAAAATAGAGGTACAAATAGAATGGGCTGGGCTCCTCCAACCATTCCTTGTGATTTTATTTTTACTTTTTTTTTTTTTTTTTTGGTGGAGTTTCACTCTTGTTGCCCAGGCTGGAGTGCAATGGTGCGATCTCGGCTCACTGCAACTTCCACCTCCTGGATTCAAGTGAGTCTCCTGCCTCAGCCTTCTGAGTAGCTGGGAATGCAGATGCGATCTCGGCTCACTGCAACTTCCACCTGGGTTCAAGTGATTCTCCTGCCTCAGCCTTCTGAGTAGCTGGGAATGCAGGCGTGTGCCACCACACATGGCTAATTTTTTGTATTTTTAATAGAGATGGGGTTTTGTCATGTTGCCCAGGCTGGTCTTGAGCTCCTGACCTCAGATGATCCGCCCACCTCGGCCTCCCAAAGTGCTGGGATTACAGGTGTGAGCCACCGCGCCTGACCTATTTTTACTTTTTTAAAAGACAGGTCTCACTCTATTGCCCAGGCTGCTCTTGAACTCCCGGCCTCAACCAATTCTTCCTGCTCAGCCTCCTGAGTAGTTGGGACTACAGCACTCACAACTGTGCCTGACCCTTCTCTTAATTTTAACTCCTGAGTGATTTTCTTCTCTGGACCCCAAGGAGTCATGATATCTCTAAATTATATCCTGAAGTTATTTCAACTTTAGAAAATAAAGTTTTAGGCCTGGTTCAGTGGCTGACACCTGTAATCCCAATACTTTGGGAGGCTGAGGCAGGCAGATTGCTTGAGCCCAGGAGTTTGAAGCTAACATGGCAAAACCCCATCTCTATCAAAAAAAAAAAAGAAGAAGAAGAAGAAGAAGAAAAGAAAAAAGGCTAGGCGCGGTGGCTCACACCTGTAATCCCAGCACTTTGGGAGGCTAAGGTGGGCAGATCACGAGGTCAGGAGTTCGAGAACAGCCTGACCAACATAGTGAAACCCTGTCTCTATTAAAAATACTAAAATTAGCCAGGTGTGGTGGTGGACACCTGTAATCCCAGCTACTCAGGAGGCTGAGGCAGGAGAATCACTTGAACCGGAGAGGCAGAGGTTGCAGTAAGCTGAGTTTGCGCCATTGCTCTCCAGCCTGGGTGACAGAGTGAGACACCATCTCAAATAAAAAAGAAAAGAAAAAAAAGATCTTGGAATGCTTTTTTTCTGCCTGTGTATTGATATTATTCTTAAGGGGCTCATAAGAAAACTAAATATATATATTTACATATATATATATATATAAAATCACCCAGGTTGGAGTGCAGCGGTGCAATCTCAGCTCACTGCAATATCTGCCTCCAGGGTTCAAGCAATTCTTTTGCCTCAGCCTCCCCAGTAGCTAGGATTTCAGGCATGCACCACCATGCCTGGCTAATTTTTGTATTTGAAGTAGAGACAGGGTTTCGCCATGTTGGCCAGGCTGGTTTTGAACTCTGGACCTCAAATGACCCTCCTGCCTAAAGTACTGGGATTACAGGGGTGAGCCACCATGCCTGGCCCAGAAAATATTATTGTTATTTAATATGACCTGCCATAACTACCATTAAAAGTAGTACAGGTGTGCAAAAGAAACTTATCTGGCTATGGCTGGGCGCGGTGCTCACGCCTGTAATCCCAGCACTTTGGGAGGCTGAGGCAGACTGATAATGAGGTCAGGAGATCAAGACCATCCTGGCTAACATGGTGAAACCCTGTCTCTACAAAATATACAAGAAAAAATTAACCGGGCATGGTGGCGGGTGCCAGCTACTCGGGAGGCTGAGGCAGGAGAATGGCGTGAACCTGGGAGGCGGAGCTTGCAGTGAGCAGAGATCGCGCCACTGCACTCCAGCCTGGGCAAGAGAGCAAGACTCGGTCTCAAAAAGAAAAGAAAAGAAAAGAAATCTTACCTGGTTGTAAGATTTTTTTCTCATTTAGTCAATAAATATTTATGGAATAGGGCAGTTTGGGATCACACACATGAGCTAAGCATGATGTCAGCCTTCATAGCTCCTACAATGTGGTATGGTGATTTTTTTTTCTTTTTGAGATGGGAGTCTCACTGTGTCAACCAGCCTCAAACAGTCCTTCCATCTCAGCCTCCCAAGTACCTGGGACTACAGGTGCATGCCACCATGCCCAGCTACTTTTTTGTATTTTTGATAGAAACAGGGTTTTGCCATGTTGGCCAGGCTGATCTCAAATTCCTTTCCTCAAGTGATCCGCCTGCCTTGGCCTCCAAGAGTGCTGGGATTACAGGCATGAGCCACTGCACCCAGCCAATGATTTTAAAACTGGAATACAGAAAGAGAAGAAGAAAGTCATGCTCCATCTTTATTATTTAAAAATCAGAACAGATACACATATTTGTTGTGAGCACTAATTAAAATATCCTTAAAGTTTCCTTACCTTGGAGTGGAATTATTTGCATATGTATACACATGATGCTGACTTTAGAAGAAAAGTTACAAGTTAAAACACGTTTGATTAATAAAAGAAAAAGAAATAAATTATACATAAATTTAGCTTTGTTGCTGAAAATCACCTCTCCAAACATAGAGTTCAGGTTGGGGCAAATAAAAAATTGCATAAAACAAAAAGGCTAAGAAATGGTACAAAAAACTCAGAGAACCACTACTTCACGTTTCCCAATAAAGCATCTTTTATATTTATAAAAGTTAAGCCTGCATATCTCTGCCCCCAATTGCAGCAGAAACACCTGAAAAAGAATGCCAGTCTGGTCTTGCTCTGACAATGGTTTTCTGACTGACCTTGAGCCTGTCACAACCCGTCTGGCCTCAATTTCATCAACTGTAAAATAAGAATAAAACTATTTGATATCTTTAACTCACATACTATTGTGAGAAATAAATACAATCATAGACAAATGTTTTCAGAATGTGAAAATGCTATAGGAACACACTTTTTCTCCAGTGGCTGGCATAAAAGTGTTGGTATGCTATACCACCAAGTCATTAGATATGAGTTAATTTCTGGATTACTGTTTCAGTAAGAATAAGCTCTACACAACTTCAGCAAGTGATGTTGGTATGTCATCCACAAAGTTCTATCACCCTATTCCATAGCATACCCCTGTTGAACTTCCCACATCCCTGTCTTCCCTTAGCTTCCTGTATCCAACCTCAGCGCAATAGCTCAGTTTGACCATTAGATGGTACCAGTTACAAGGCAAACTTAGGTCCCTTCAGAAACTGAGCATTTCTAAAAAGCAAATATTTTTTCAGGTTTGTTTGTAACTTAAACAACAAAAAAATCATTATTTTAAAGGCCATATGCTCACTGTGAAAATATATCAGGTGGTGTATGAAATAATAAGTAAATTATCTGCCGGGCGCGGTGGCTCACGCTTGTGATCCCAGCACTTTGGGAGGCCTAGGCGGGCAGGCAGATCACGAGGTCAGGAGTTGGAGACAAGCCTGGCCAACACAGTGAAACCCTGTCTCTACTAAAAATACAAAAATTAGGCCGGGCGCGGTGGCTCACGCCTGTAATCCCCGCACTTTGGGAGGCCGAGGCGAGCGGATCACGAGGTCAGGAGATCGAGATCATCCTGGCTAACACGACGAAACCCCGTCTACTTAAAAAAAAATACAAAAATTAGCCGAGGGTGGTGGCGGGCGCCTGAAATCCCAGCTACTCAGGAGGCTGAGGCAGGAGAATCGCTTGAACCTGGGAGGCGGAGGTTGCAGTGAGCTGAGATCACGCCACTGCACTCTAAGAGTGAAACCATGTCTCAAAAAAAAAAAAAAGTCAAAAATACTAATAAAAATACTAATCTCGTAGTTAACAGATTGCTGTGACCTAGAGCAAGTAAAGGTGTAATTATCAGCCTACAGGGGTTAGAGTGGCAAGAAGATGCCTGAGGGTGAGCCTACAGCCTAAAAGATAATAGAATACAAAGGCTGAAGACCTACAGGCAGGGATTCTTTGTCATTCATTCTTTCAGCAAACTTATTCTAATATGTATCCCTCACTATTCAATGCCCAGGAGGGCACAGGGAAAATAAGACGAAGTCCTGCCCTCACTGGCTAACATTCTAAGCACAGGTGCTGCACAAGAGGTGTTATGTTTTTTGGGGGAGCCAGACACAGGCCTAAGCACTTTATGTACCTTGTCTCATTTAATCCTCACATCAGCACCACGAGGTGACAGAATTATCATTTTGCAGTTAAATAAATTGATATTTCTTCATGGCCAGGTGCAGTGGCTCACGCCTGTAATCCCAGCACTTTGGGAGGCTGAGGCGGGTGGATCACCTGAAGTCGGAGTTCGAGACCAGCCTGACCAACATGGAGAAACCCCATCTCTACTAAAAATACAAAATTAGCCGGGCATAGTGGCGCATAGCCTGTAATCCCAGCTACTCGGAAGGCTGAGGCAGGAGAATCACTTGAATCCAGGAGGTGGAGGTTGCGGTGAGCCGAGATCGCGCCACTGCACTCCAGCCTGGGCAACAAGAGCAAAACTCCGTCTCAAAAAAAAAAAAAAAAAAAAGAGAGATTTCTTTAAGCTCTTTGCCTAGGGTCACAGGTCTTTCCACAGGACCGTAGACTAGAGTCAGATGTGTTCCTCAATCAATTAGGAAAGGGTGGTGCTGGAATTTGCATCTGAGTATTCCAAGCTTCTATATTCTCATATTCTGGAATGAGGATATTATGAGTCCTGAAACAACTCTAGAAATTCTAGGCTACATAATT
Source organism: Homo sapiens (assembly GCF_000001405.40). NCBI lineage: Eukaryota > Metazoa > Chordata > Mammalia > Primates > Hominidae > Homo > Homo sapiens. The sequence continues at coordinate 915,076 of NT_167247.2, forward strand.
ATCCCTCCATAACGTGTTCTCTGCCAGAATAATAATGAAAAAAAAGTACTGTGGTGGCCAGACCCCAAGATGATTGGCGAAGTGAAAGTTGCCCAGTTCCAAAATGGCCACCACCGCACTTTCCTGGCGTCGGAGCGACTACGTAGTGACAGAAGGACCATCAGCAGGTGGGTGCTCACAGGGACTGTGCCAGTTGCCAAACTGGCCACCTGGGCCTTTCTTCTCCTGAGCAACAGCCAAGCAACATTATAGGCTTCAGGCCTACCTAGCCCAGGCTGGGTTAAAGCAGATAAACGAAGCGGACAGCGGAGGAAAAGCACGTAACCAAGTGCAGTGGGTCTGAAGCGAAAGGCAAGAAAAGCTCTGCCCTTAGGAACGGGGTGTCACTGCGCGGCTCGCAGGCACCTCTCTTTGACCTATTTATAATCTGCGCCTTATTCTCCGCCCCCAAAGGCTGCTGGCAACCAATTCTCGGTGGCGAAGTCGTGACGTCAGCTGTTGCGGGTCAGATTGGGAGAGCTTCCTGGTCCTTACCTAGCAAGATTCTGCCGCTAGGTGGCGAAAAGCGAAGGGGCCAAAGAAATGGAAAGAAGGCGAGGAAAAGCGGGAGAAGATGGGGAAGGAAAATGTATATTCTTGTATCATCCTACAGCTAGGCAAAAATATTAGGATAATGTGGCCTAACCTCCAGTTCTATGTTGGCTGGAAAATCCAGGAATGGGAAGCTCACTCCCGTAGTTCCCACTCATTCCCACCACGGTTGGACAGCTCTGAAGGAGGGAAAATTCTTTCTTTTGAGCTGAAATCTGCCTTCAGAGTCTTGCACCCAACTGTTCTACCCCACGGGGACCTACAGAACAGCCCAAAGCCTCTTACGCAGGACAACCCATAGCAGTTTGATTAAAATCAGCGCAAACCCATTCCCATTTGGTGAGGGGGGAGGGGGAGGGGCAAGCCTCAGTGCCTGACTCACTTGACTCACAAGAAGCTGAATGTTTTTCCTTTTGAAAGATAAAAATATTGGTGAATCTCAGACTAACAATAGGGAATACACAAAAATGGAAAAAATGTTGATAGATAAAATTTAAACCTTTGGTAGAACATAATTAGTTTTTTGTTCTCTACATTTTTCCATATCGTTTCTAATTTTTCTACACTGTATGTGTTACTTAAAGAAATAAACCAGTAGGCCAGGCGCGGTGGCTCACGCCTGTAATCCCAGCACTTTGGGAGGCCGAGGCGGGCGGATCACGAGGTCAGGAGATCGAGACCATCCTGGCTAATACGGTGAAACCCCGTCTCTACTAAAAAAATACAAAAAATTAGCCAGGCATGGTGACGCACCCCTGTAATCCCAGCTACTCAGGAGGCTGAGGCAGGAGAATGGCGTGAACCCGGGAGGCGGAGCTTGCAGTGAGCCGAGATCGTGTCACTGCACTCCAGACTGGGCGACAGAGCAAGACTCTGTCTCAAAAAAAAAAAAAAAAAGAAAAAGAAATAAACCAGTATGGCCGGGCGCGGTGGCTCATGCCTGCAATCCCAGCACTTTGGGAGGACGAGGCGGGTGGATCACGAGGTCAGGAAATCGAGCCCATCCTGACCAATATGGTGAAACCTCGTCTCTACTAAAATACAAAAAATTAGCCGGGCGTGGTGGCGGGTGCCTGTAGTCCCAGCTACAAAGGAGGGTGAGGCAGGAGAATCCCTTGAACCCGGGAGGTGGAGGTTGCAGTGAGCCAAGATCGTGCCATTGCACTCCAGCCTGGGCAACAAGAGCGAAACTCCGTCTCAAAAAAAAAAAAGAAAGAAAAGAAAAAGAAATAAAGCAGTATGAAAGAGCAGCCCCTGGCTGCATTCACCACAGCACCCATGCTCACACATGCTACAGGCGCTCACTTGCTGGGAGCTGCCTCACATTGATTCGGATCAGTGTTCTCATTTCTCCGACCTACCTAGGAAGCATCTGGCTAAATTGATGTAAATTAGACATTTTATAGTCTATCGGTCATTGAGCCTCAGTGGAATATCTAGACCAATTTAAACACACAAATATTATGGGAAATAGGGCCACAAAAGTAGAAAAGAAAACGTGAATTCCTCTTTATATTTATGCCACTAGAGGGAGTTCCAGAAGAAAATCACTGCATGTAAGGGCTAATGACTGTATTTACTGAGTGGTTACTGTGTACCATTCACAGTTCACAGGGACTCATTCATGTCATTCTCATGATAACCCTGATGAAGTGGATGATATTATTCCCTCACTCACTAAGGAGAAAGCCAGGGTACAGTGAAGTATACAACTTTGTGCAGGGCAATTTATCAATATTTATTGAAATTACCAAAAAACATGCTCTCTGAACAAACTATTCTACCAGTGTAGAAAGCAGAGTAAACTTCATGGGTGAGTGACCAGGGCAGTCACACAAGGGCCCCATGCTTAGAAGGGATACTGTGTTTGGGTTCTAAAGCTCTGTGGTTCCTGTCTTGAAATTCTTAATAATTTTATCTTTCAATTTGTGTCTTATAATGAAGTCCGATGAGAAAGCAGAACATGGGCTAGAGACTTTTGGAGCCTGGCTCAAGCGAGGTCCTGCTCCCCATGCCTCCCAGCCTCCCCAGGACTGGTTTTCAGCTGCCGGCTCCACCACCTTCTGTGCAGGCTCGCTCCCAGCAGGGGCCTGGGAACAGTGGAAAGGAGGGGAGCGGTCAGGCATACACACCTCCCTTGCCAAATGGAAGGCATGGCCCTAGGCACTTGTGAAGATCTGCACTTCCCCCTAGGTACTCCTGTGCCTGGAGTGTGACATTAAATTAAAAAAAAAAAGGCCGGGCGCGGTGGCTCACGCCTGTAATCCCACCATTATGGGAGGCCAAGGCAGGCGGATCACGAGGTCAGGCGATCGAGACCATCCTGGCTAACACGGTGAAACCCCGTCTCCACTAAAAATACAAAAAAATTATCTGGGCATGGTGGCGAGCGCCTGTAGTCCCAGCTACTTGGGAGGCTGAGACAGGAGAATGGCTTGAACCCGGGAGGCGGAGGTTGCAGTGAACCGAGATTGCGCCACTGCACTCCAGCCTGGGCGACAGAGCGAGACTCCGTCTCAAAAAAAAAAAAAAAAAAAGAAAAGAAAAAAACCCCACATAATAGGTTGACAGTGGAACCACAGAAAAAAGGAAAAGGTTGGGTTTTTTTTCTGCTTTTTATTTTCTATTTTATTATTTTTTAATAGATTTATTTAACTAGAGATGGGGTCTCACTATGTTGTAAAGGCTGGACTCGAGACCCTGGGCCCGAGCGATCCTCCAACCTGGTCCTCCCAAAGTGATGGGATTACAGGCGTGAGCCACTGCACCTGGTCTTTTCCTGCTATTAAACAAGGAGCTCCATAGTTTCATTTTGCCCCTCAAAATATGTAGCTGGCCTTAGTAGACTGATATTCATTGCCAAATTATATGTAAGAGCAAAAAGGTTGAAAATGATGGCCTGACATTGATCAATTTGTGCCTTTAGGTAACATATAACTGTAATATAACTGCAATACAACTAGAATATAACTCATAAAGGCAAGAATCTTGTCTGCCTTGCTGAAAGTTTTATAATCAGGGCCTAATATAAAGTATGACACATAGCACTTGCTTTTAAATATGTATTGATTTAAATTAATTGAGTACATTTTTGCTTCATCCTAGTAAAAATAGGTATTTAAAAAACTGAAACAGTCTAAATGTCTTGGGATGCTACTTAAATAACTATATTATATTCATCCAATAAAATATTGTAAGCTGTTTAAAAATAACAAGGATGTTCTTTAGGTACTGATAAGGAAAGAGCTTCAAGATAAATTGTTACCATTTATGTAAAACAGGTGGGAGAAGGGAGAGGGAGGGATGTGTGAGCGCTACTTGCAGTACTCACAGGCAGTGACTTTCGTGGAGCGCCCTCTAGTGGTATATATATACAAACGGAAGGATTTAGAGAAAATACAGATCGGCTTTAGCTGGCTGAGATTTATTTTCAAAGCATGTTACTTTATAAGAATCAATTTTTATTTAAAAAATTTTTTTGAGATAGGGTCTCACTCTGTCGCACAGGTTGGAGTGCAGCAGCACGATCAGTGCTCACTGCAGCCTCTCTCTCTTGGGCTCAACAGGTGCATGTCACCACGTCCAGCTAACAATCAATTTTCAAAAGTACAAAAAAGCCATATTATGTATTAATGTGGAATTATGAATTAAGTAGACAACAAGAATCAAAACAGGGTGTCTATTATCACTTCTGATAACATAAATAATGTAAAGATACATATTTTACAGATTATCTGTAAAAGCTTATACAGTACTGTTGCTGGGTATTTATGTAGGAAAGCTACCATTTATTGAATGCTTACTATTTCACATATGGACAGCATAGAGCATGTTAAAAAATTACCACACACATTTACTGTATTCAATGTGTCACTCTGAATATATTACTGTGTACATGGTCTGTCATTGGACATGGTGAGAGATGCAGATTAAGCTGAAATTACTGAGGACAGCAACACTGGAAGAAAATTGAGCTGGGTGTAGTGGCTCAGCCTGTAATTCCAACATTTCAGAAGGCTGAGGCAGGAGGATCACTTGAGTCCAGGAGTTTGAGACCAAGGGAAAGAAAAGAAAAGAAGCTTTCATTTAGCCAGGCATGCTGGCACATACCTGTAGTTTCAGCTACTCAGGAGGTTGAGGCATAAGGTTCACTTAAACTTGAGAGGTAAAGGCTGCAGTGAGCCCTGATCACGCCACTGCTCTCCAGCCTGTGACAGAGAGAGACCCTGTCTCAAAAACGAGAAAGAAAGAAAAAAAGAGGCAACTCAAGAACTCAGGAATACTTGCAGGATCTCATAACATATGCTATACAAAATCAATTAAAATAATATTTAAATGCTGAAAGAAATGAGCAGCTCCCAGGGTGATACAGGGTGGTTTCACTTCTTGGACACATCTACACTGAGCTCTATTCCTGGCAATACCTGATGTTCCCATACCCCAGATTTCTTTATTTTATTTTGAGACGGAGTTTTGCTCTTCTTGCCCAGGCTGGAGTGCAATGGCGGGATCTTGGCTCACCGCAATCTCCGCCTCCTGGGTTCAAGGGATTACCCTGCCTCAGCCTCCCGAGTAGCTGGGATTACAGGCGCACGCCACCATGCCCAGCTAATTTTTGTATTTTTAGTAGAGGCAGGGTTTCTCCATGTTGGTCAGGCTGGTCTTGAACTCCCAACCTCAGGTAATCTGCCCGCTTCGGCCTCCCAAAGTGCTGGGATTACAGGCGTGAGCGGGCCCAGCCCCTATACCCCAGATTTCTGCAAGTGGCAACACCACTGGCTTCATTTTGCTGGTGGCCCCTCTGGCCTTCCCTTGTATATATCACCTTTGCCCAAAGACCATGTCAGCCAAGGGACTGCTCTCACAGCTCCAGGAATCCTCCCCTTTCAGGAAATTTGAGGCAGTTGAGGGCATGAAAGTAAATAAGCTGAGCTCATCAGAGGCCTTGTATTGTGGTGGTTAAAAGAGCCAGTTCTAGGACTAGAAAGCCTGGCTTGAAATCCCAGCTCTGCCACTCCCTAGTGGTGTGACTTTAGCAAGTTCCTTTACCTCTTTTGTACCTCCCTTTTCTCACCTGTAAGATATGGGTGATAATAGTTTAATATTTGTTTTGTTGTTGTGAGGATTAAAGGTGTTAATGCAAGTAAACCACTTAGAACCACAGCACATAGAATATCTCAGTAAGGTGGTTAGTTTTTTTTATTGTTGTTTTCAGAGATGCTGTGATTTCTCCAAAGTGGCTGTGATGGCTCGGCAGGCTCCTGACCCTCTCTGCTCCCACATGCCTCCACCCTCATCCTGATCTCCCATCCAGCTTTTGACAGCTTGCTTGGTGCTGGACAATTGCACACATCTTACCACCCCCAAATCCTGCCCAGAAGCATCTTGTGCATAACTCTCCTACCTGAATATGCAACAGGGAGAAAGAGCGTCCCAGGACATTTTAGGTTTTTGAAGAAAAAAAAACCCCTTTGGTAAAAAGCCAGAGATCCACAGCGGCCACTTTTTCCATGGGATTGACCCCTGCAATCTTGACTTTCAACCACACAGCACCAGAGTAGCCAAACATTGCTTGTGTCCAAACGCTGGCTGCCTTGAAGGGTGAAAGAATAAGCAGTTCCCAAACTCAGCTGACCTTAATGTCCTTCTAGCTCCTTACGCCCATCTCGGACAAAAGCAGAAATGTATGTCTCAGTTGTGTTTCTACCCCTTGCTGCCCAATATAAATTTTTGTGTTGCCCAATATAATTTTTTGTGACGATGGAAATGTTCTGTATTTGTGTTGTCTGATGAGATAACCACTAACTGTAGTGCTATTGAGCATTTGAAACATGGCTAGTGTAATCAATGAACCAAATTTTTAATTTTATTTAATTGTAATTAATTTTAAGTGGCCACATGCAGGGAGTGACTGCTGCATTGGACAGCACGGCTCTAAATTGAGCCTTTTTTCCTTATTTGGTGAGGCATACTTGCCTTAAGATTGGGAAGTCTATTTTTGGAACCTGCTACCAATGCTGGTCTCACACTTGCAATTCTCAGCTGAGCCAAGAGGTGAGAGAAAGGTCATTTTCCATTCCAGATCTCACTCTCCCCTGTGACACTGAGGAAACTGGCAAGTGATGTGAAGGCTGGAGAGCGTGTCCTGTATGCTGGCTCTGTCCCTTCTGCCTGTGTTGACTGACATAGTTAGTTGCTGCCCTTGCTGGTCTCCCTTCCTCCAACCTTGCCTCTCTGAGCACACCTGACATTCATCTCATGACTTCCCTAAAAACATTCTTTGGGAACAAGAAACTAACAAATCCCAAGTGACCTATCACATATACAAACATACAGGGCAGAGTTTGGATTCGCGGTAGAAGAAAGGGAGGTTAGACATTAAGAAGAATGGTCTGGTGATGACAGTTGTGAGATAATAGAAACAGGAAAAAGAAATCTAAGTTTTCTTTCTTTTTTTAAGAACCAATAATAATTTCTCTCTTTTGACTAGTCAGTAGGGCTGGGGTGGATTGGAGGAAGCTTACATATTCCATGAACAAGCCTCTTCCTAAGGTCCTGTAAGTGATCCTGCCCCACTGATTAGCCCCTAGAAGACCCTTCAAAGGTTGGATCTCCAGGAGGGAGTGGGGGAGGAAAGCCCTGTACCAGGCAGCCTCTGCTCCATTGCTCTGGGGGGGTGGGGAAGGCAAACCCTGGTCATCCCCTCAGTCTGTAGCCCTTTTGTGTGAGTGCCTGGCAAGGGTGACGTGGGGCTGTTTCTGCGGGCACAGCTGCAGCAATTACCGGAGTGGAGGCAGGGCCCAGGCAGCACTGCCCTCCAAGATCTTCCCTTGGGCTTTTCAGCAGTAAGGGGACATGCACCCCAAGGGCCTCCACTTGGCCTGACCTTGCTGCGGGGGCTCTCTGTCCCCAGGAACAGTAGAGATGGCAAGCTTATCGAGACCCTCTCTGCCCAGCTGCCTCTGCTCCTTCCTCCTCCTCCTCCTCCTCCAAGTGTCTTCCAGCTATGCAGGTAAGACATGTTTTTTTTCCTGCCCTGGGGAGACCCTGAAAACAGAAAGGCTAGTTTCCTGGGGCTTAGCTCCTTCAAACATCCTCAAGTTGCTATATTATCTTTCTAAAACATAGACCTACTGACATGCCTCCCTTCCTCAGAAACCTTCCGTGGGTGGTTCTTACAGCCTTCAAGATGGAGTCCAGACTCTTTTTTTTTTTTGAGACAGAGTCTCCCTCTGTTGCTCAGGCTGGAGTGCAGTGGCATGATCTCGGCTCACTGCAACCTCAGCCTCCCTGGTTCAAGCGATTCTCCTGACTTGGCCTCCCAAGTAGCGGAGACTACAGGCGCCTGCCACCACACCCAGCTAAATTTTTTCTTTTCTTTTTTTTTTTTTTTTTTTTGTATTTTAGTACAGACGGGGTTTCACATGTTGGCCAGGATGGTCTCGATCTCTTGACCTGCTGATCCGCCCGCCTCAGCTTCCCAAAGTACTGGGATTATGGGCGTGAGCCACTGCACTAGGCCTAATTTTTTTATTTTTAGTAGAGATGGGGTTTCACCATGTTGGCCAGGCTGGTCTGGAACCCCTGACCTCAAGTGGTCTGCCCTCCTCAGCCTCCCAAAGTGCTGAGATTACAGGCATGAGCCATTGCGTCTGACCCAGACTCCTTAATGTGACTAACTCAAGGCTTTCCTTGAACTACTTCTTACTTGTCTTTCCAGCTTTGTCTTTTCACCTCTCAAATTGAGATAAAATAATAACAACCTCTTGGAGTTCTCATCAGGATTACATGAAATGAGATATGTAACATGCTTAGCAGTGCCTGTCCATAGTAAATCTCAATAAATGTTTGTGGAATTATAATATCTTGTCATGTTTGAGACTTTGCTCTGCATAATCAGGCACCAGTAGGTTTTTATAAAGGAACCCGGCTGTCACGTGCAGAGGAGAAATAAACAGAAAGTTTCCCATCCTCAGGGAGCCACCTGACTGACAGAGGCACAGTGCATCCACTCTCCAGGTCTAGGGGAGAAAGCAGCCTTATTTCTTAGTAGCTCAGAATCTGACTTGAGAAACACATCCACATAGAAAAAAACAAGGAACTTTTTCGGGTCAGGGTCCGGGAGCCACAGTGAGGTGGAAGATACAGGGGAAGGAAGAGGGAAATAGAGCCATCCCCAGGGTGGAAGATCTCAGAAGAGAATTTGGGAAACAAGGTATGAACAAGGACTGAATAGTGAGAAGTGATGGAGAGACAGCTAAAGTAGATGGAGTGACAAAAGCAAAACCTCTAAGGGTAGAATAGGCAGCAATTTGGCCAAGTCCTAACAGGGAGGCCCATAGGAGGATTCAACCTCAAGATGCTGTGCCACATTCCAAGAGGGAACCTAAAGGCTGGGCTGAAGAGTCAGAGATGGCTACAGCTGGCAAAAAGATGGGCAGATGCTGAGAGGAGATGATTGCTAAAATGTTCTGTCCAGGACATTCACAGTATCTCTATAACCAGAGTCTTTTTTGTCGTTGTTGTTCTCAAGAAGGAAACTTGAGGCCGGGTGTGGTGGTTTATGCCCATAATCCCAGCGCTTTGGGGCCAAGGCAGGCGGATCACCTGAGGTCAGGAGTTCGAGACCAGCCTGGCCAACAGTGTGAAACCTCATCTTTACTAAAAATACAAAAATTAGCTGGATGCGGCGGTAGGTGCCTGTAATGCCAGCTACTCGGGAGGCTGAGGCAGGAGAATCACTTGAACCTGGGAGGCGGAGGTTGCAGGGAGGCGGAGGTTGCAGTGAGCCAAGATTGCACCACTGCACTCCAGCCTGGGCGACAGAGAGTAAGACTGTCTCAAAAAATAAATGAATAAATAAAAAGGAAGAAGAAGAAGAAGAACAATTGCAATCCTCCCTGGCTCTAGAATGTCATTTAAAAGTCGAGTGTCTTCTTCCTTCCCTGTTTTGAAGCAGCCCTTCTCATGACAGGCTTGCTTGCCAAGGTTCCCTCTGACCTTAAATCTCTTCCTTTTGGTGTCTTGGACAGGGCAGTTCAGAGTGATAGGACCAAGACACCCTATCCGGGCTCTGGTCGGGGATGAAGTGGAATTGCCATGTCGCATATCTCCTGGGAAGAACGCTACAGGCATGGAGGTGGGGTGGTACCGCCCCCCCTTCTCTAGGGTGGTTCATCTCTACAGAAATGGCAAGGACCAAGATGGAGACCAGGCACCTGAATATCGGGGCCGGACAGAGCTGCTGAAAGATGCTATTGGTGAGGGAAAGGTGACTCTCAGGATCCGGAATGTAAGGTTCTCAGATGAAGGAGGTTTCACCTGCTTCTTCCGAGATCATTCTTACCAAGAGGAGGCAGCAATGGAATTGAAAGTAGAAGGTGAGTAGTGCCATATAATATTAGGTATTAACTGTTGGGTGGCCAAGAACAATTATTCTCTCAACTGAGATGAGATCCCTCAACCCAAACATCTCAGTCCTGGGAATGATTTCCATAAAAATGTACACATCAATAAACAGAAACTCATGCTTAGGGATGTCTGTTGCATCATTATTCAGAGTAGCAAGGAAATTGGGATCAAAATCAATGCCTTTGAGTAGGTAAGTGACAGAATGAACAATGGTAGCCATACTGTGAATATTATGCAGGCATTAAAAAGATTATTTTAGCACTAGGCCAGATGGTTTGGAGGCCTTCTATAAGGTATTATTGAGTGATAAGAGCAAGCTGCTGTAGGATACAAAAACAAAAACAAAACCCTAGGGCATGGTGGTTTGCCTCGCAGCTACTCAGGAGGCTGAGACGGGAGGCTGGCTTGAGCCCAGGGGTTTGCAGTTACAGTGAGCTATGATTGCACCACTGCACTCCAACCCGGGTGACAGAGCAAAGACCTTCACCCCCACTCCCTACCCGTCTCTAAAAAAAACAAAAACAAAAACAAAAAAACCCTTGGGCCCAGCGCCGTGGCTCACGCCTGTAATCCCAGCACTGTGGGAGGCCGAGGTGGGCAGATCACAAGGTCAGGAGATCGAGACCATCCTGGCTAAAACGGTGAAACCCCGTCTCTACTAAAAATACAAAAAAAAAAAAAAAATTAGCCAGGCATGGTAGCAGGCGCCTGTAGTCCCAGCTACTCGGGAGGCTGAGGCAGGAGAATGGCGTGAACCCGGAAGCGGAGGTTGCAGTGAGCCAAAATCCTTCCACTGCACTCCAGCATGGGGGACACAGCGAGACTCCGTCTCAAAAAAAAAAAAAAAACCCTGTATTTGTGAGCGCACACACACACACACACACACACACACCTGTGCTTGGTCCTAGTGAATAAGCAAGTAAATCAAATGTCTAAATATAATTATAGAAAGGAGATGTCACCTTTTGGCTGTACCTCCACTATTTCATTCTGCAGAATTGCAGAATTTCTTTTTTTTTTCCTTTCTTTCTTTTCTTTTTTTTTTTGACACAGAGTCTCGCTCTGTCACCCAGGCTGGAGTGCAATGGCGCCCTCCGCCTCCTGGGTTCAAGTGATTCTCCTGCCTCAGCCTCCCGAGTAGCTGGGATTACAGGTGCCCACCACCACACCCAGCTAATTTTTGTATTTTTAGTAGAGACAGGGTTTCACCAGGTTGTCAAGGTTGGTCTCAAACTCCTGACCTCAGGTGATCCACTCGCCTCAGACTCCCAAAGTGCTGGGATTACAGGCATGAGCCATGGTGCCCGGCCTCAGAATTTCATTTTCAACATGTTTTGCATGATGGGTGATTTTGGAGAATATTTTTTGCTCTATCGCAGGATGATTAAGATGTGGACAAGGTGAAGCCGATGGAGGGGGAGCTTTGAAAGTTACTTGCTATTTAATTGAGGAACTAAACTGCTTTGAGAGCCTGGGGGTCAGATCCTCTGCCTTTTCCTCCTCCCCACCTGCAGTGCAAACATCAGACAATTGATCACTATTGTATCTTGGAGGTGGGAGTGACCATTGCAGTGCTGGGACCAGAAGATGGCATTGTATGTGGAACAACAAAGCACTATTTCTAGAGACTGCCTGCAGGGATATGGAAATAGCTTTATGTGTCTCAGAATGTTCTTCATACAGCTGTTTTTATTGGGGAAATTCTACTTGCCGAAAAGTTTGATAGTGAGACCCTCTCCAGTTTGCAGATTTTTCTCCTTCCTGCTCAACAACTTCCTAGCTCAGTAACTGCCTCTCCCAACAAACTCCCTCAGTTTCACCACACCAAAAAAGGAAGACAAGCCGGTTGCGGTGGCTCACACCTATAATCCCAAAACTTTGGGAGGCCGAGGCGGGTGGATCACCTGAGGTCGGGAGTTCGAGACTAGCCTGACCAACATGGAGAAACCCTGTCTCTACTAAAAACACAAAATTAGCCTGGCGTGGTGGCGCATTCCTGTAATCCCAGCTGGGAGGCTGAGGCAGGAGAATCGCTTGAACCCCGGAGGCGGAGGTTGCAGTGAGCCAAGATCGTGCCATTACACTCCAGTCTGGGCAAGAAAAGTGGAACTCCATCTCAAAAAAAAAAAAAAAAAAAACAAGGAAGACAAAAAGAAAAGCAGCTAAAGACTTTGCCTCAGGGGAGAAAGTTCTCTTTTGGGTTGCTATCCACATTCCAACCTCCTGTTCCCACCTCTTCGTCTGCATGCCTAAGAAACTGTTTTACAAGTAAATAAGGGACGCTTTGTCTAGGCTTTGGAGCCAGGAAGTTGAGACAAATTTAGGAATGAGATGAAGTAATGGTATTATTGCAAGTCTCAGGTGTAACTACCTCTGCTCTTTCTCTGAAGAGTTTCTAATTTCTCTTGTTTACTTATTTTTTTCTTGTCATTTTTGTGATTTTATTACTAGTTGTCTCTAATCCTTTCTTTAAATTCTTCATTATGAAACATAAAAACAAATGCCAGGCGCGGCAGCTCACGCCTGTAATCCCAGCACTTTGGGAGGCCGAAGCGGGCAGATCACCCGAGGTCAGGAGTTCGAGACCAGCCTGATCAACATGGAGAAACCCCGTCTCTACTAAAAAATACAAAATTAGCTAGGCGTGGTGGCACATGCCAGTAATCCCAGCTACTTGAGAGACTGAGGCAGGAGAATCGCTTGAACCGGGAGGCAGAGGTTGCGGTGAGCCAAGATCGCGCCATTGCACTCCAGCCTGGGCAACAAGAGCAAAACTCTGTCTCAAAAAAAAAAAACCACATACAAACCAGAGATAATATTATAATGAGCCTCCAAGTGCCTACCACCTTGCTGCAGCACTTGTCAATCCAGGGACCACCCACCTCACCGGCTCCCCACTCATTACCACCCTCCCCTACTCAATTACTGAGGTAAATCCTAGGCAGCATGATCATTTCTTTTTTTTCTTTTTATTTATTTTGAGACAGGATCTGTCTCTGTCACCCAGGCTGGAGTGTAGTGGCATATCTCTGCTCACTGCAGCCTCTGCCTCCCGGGCAGAAGCCATCCTCCCACCTCAGCCTACATAGTAGCTGGGACCACAGGCACACACCACCACACACTGCTAATGTTTTGTATTTTTTGTAGAGACTGGGTTTTACCATGTTGATCAGGCTGGTCTCAAACTCCTAGGCTCAAGCAATCCTCCCACCTCGGCCTCCCAAAGTGCTAGAATTACAGGCGCGAGCCACTGCACCCAGCGAAGAACACTTTTTAAAAAATAAATAGGCCGGGCGCGGTGGCTCACACCTGTAATCCCAGTACTTTGGGAGCCCAAGGAGGGCGAATCATGAGGTCAAGAGATTGAGACCATCCTAGCTAACATGGTGAAACCCCATTTCTACTACAAATACAAAAACAAAATTAGCCTGGCGTGGTGGCAGGCGCCTGTAGTCCCAGCTACTTGGGAGCTGAGGCAGGAGAATGGAGTGAACCCGGGAGGCGGAGCTTGCAGTGAGCTGAGATCATGCCACTGCACTCCAGCCTGGGGCAACAGAGTGAGACTCAAAAAAAAAAAAAAAAAAAGCCCCCCCTCCCCACACACAATAATATAAATAAATAAATAACCACAATACTATTATCACATCTTACAAACTCAACAAAAATTTCTTAATATCATCAAATACCCAGTTTGTGTTCAAATTTTCCTGATTGTTTCATAAATATACTCTTACAGTTGGTTTCTTTTAGCGAGATTCAAATGAGACCCACCTGTTGACCTTTGCCCTTAGGGTTTCCCAGGGTCTGAATTTTGTTGACGACATTCCCATGTTGCTATGTAATACGGTCCTCCATGCCCTGTGTTTTTCTGTAAACTGATAGATGTGGAGGTGCAATGACATTTGTGTTTGATTTACTTTGGCAAATATAGTTCATCAGTGATACTCTATACTTCTTGTTGCTTTACATCCGGAGGCTGATAATGTCTGCTTTTCTCTCTTTTCTAATTATTTGTGAAAGGAAAAATGTGGGGGGTTGGGAGAAAAAAACCCTTAAGTACATACTCGCTAAATCACATTGCTACAGGTAACTTCCATTAAGAACTTGAAAGTAAAGGTAGCTGCATTTTCCCCTAGGGAACACAATGATAGACAGGAGCCTTAGTCTACAGCTTGAAGGATTGTAATTATACCTAAGCAACCCTCCTGGACCAGTTTAATGTTATTAGCTGTGATGTATCCCTACCTTTGATGTCATTATCCTTACTTAGCTCCCTTAAAGCAGAGATCAAGATGAAAAGGGCTTCAGCTGCAGCATGGCACATGGAGATTAGAGTGGGGCTTTTGGATGCTGAGGAGCAGACCTAGAATGGGAAATAGATGGGAGCCACAGAAGTGAAGGTCCCCCTCCCTCATTGCTCAACCTACTCCACATCTCCAGGTCTGCACATCTGTTCAGTTACTGAATCCTGTGTAAGCTACCTTCTTTTTCTTTTTTCTTTTATTTATTTATTTATTTTTTTTTTGAGATGGAGTTTTGCTCTTGTTACCCAGGCTGGAGTGCAATGGTGCAATCTCGGCTCACTGCACCCTCCAACTCCCAGGTTCATGCAATTCTCCTCCCTCAGCCTTCCAAGTAGCTGGGATTACAGGCTGCACCACCATGTCTGGCTAATTTTTGTATTATCAGTAGAGAGAGGGTTTCACCATGTTGGCCAAGCCGGTCTCGAACTCCTGACCTCAAGTGATCCACCCACCTTGGCCTCCCAAAATGCTGGGATTACAGGTGTGAGCCACCATGCCCGCTGTAAACTACCTTCTTAAAAGCTCTAGAAGAGGGCTTTTAACCTTTTGTTGTGTGTCATGCACCTTCCGCAAGCTGATGAAGTTGATAGACCCATCTCAGAATTTTTTTTTTTTTTTTGAGACAGTGTCTCACTCTGTCACCCAGGATTGGTTGCAGTGGCACGATCATGGCTCATTGCAGCCTCCACCTCCCAGGCTCAAGTGATCCTCCTGACTCAGCCTCTTGAATAGCTGAGACCACAGGCTTGTGTCACCATGCCCAGGTAATTTTTAATTTTTTTTCGTAGAGGCAGGGTCTCACATTATGTTGCCCAGTCTGGCCTCGAGAACTCCTGGGCTCAAGCAATCTTCCTGCCTTGGCCTCCCAAAGTGGTGGGATTACAGGGGAGAGCCACCACACCTAGCCAGAAGAATGTTTTAAATACACCAAATAAAACATTTATACCAAAATACAGTTATCAAAATATTAAATTAACAAGAGTTAGGGTGACCCTATTAATTAGTGTAATTTCAAAATAGTAATGAACATAAGTGATAGTTTGAGATTTCTGTGACTTTTCTAATGTGACGTGAAAATATTTGTGATTTTTCTTTTTCTTTTTTTTTTTTGAGATGGAGTTTCGCTCTTGTTGCCCAGGCTGGAGTGCAATGGCAAGATCTCGGCTCACCTCAACCTCCGCCTCCTGGGTTCAAGCGATTCTCCTGCCTCAGCCTCTTGAGTAGCTGGGATTACAGGACTGTGCCACCACGTCCAGCTAATTTTGTATTTTTAGTAGAAACAGGGTTTCTCCATGTTGGTCAGGCTGGTCTTGAACTCCCAACCTCAGGCGATCCGCCCGCCTCGGCCTCCCAAAGTGCTGGGATTACAGGTGTGAGCCACCGCACCTGGCCAATATTTGTGATTTTTATTGACGACAAAGTCAAAGGTTCTCTTCATATTATTGTGGTGTATCGCCTACAAGCATAATTAAAATAAACACTAAATTTCAGTTTAAAGTTTACTGAAAATAAATATGTATTTTTTATTCCCTATTTAAGCTTTGAATCCCCTGACTTCCTATACCATTACCACTGTCCTAGTTCAGGTTCATGTTGTTTTTTACTTTAATTGTTATCACAGTCTCTTAACATTTCTCCCTATGTTCTCCAGTCCTGTAGGTGCTAAATCTGACGTGGTCACTTCTCAGCTTGGAATCCTTCAGTGCACCACCACAGCCTTGAACTACATATTTGAAATACATATTTATTTTCAGTAAACTTTAAACTGAAATTTAGTGTTTATTTTAATTATGCTTGTAGGCGATACACCACAATAATATGAAGAGAACCTTTGACTTTGTCGTCAATAAAAAGTCCCTTGAGGGACTTCAGATGTAAGTCCCTTAGCTGCTCGTTAAAACTCCCCCAGCCTGACCCAATACACAATCTTGACTTTAAACCACTTGTCATTCTAAATCACTAGCATTTCCTGGAAAAAAAAGCCATTTTTCCTTCAGGGCTAAGCTCAGGGACCAATTCTGTGTCACCTTCTTTGAATCCTGATGATATTCACTTCTTTATTTGACCTGATTTATTGGGCCCCAGACACCATGCTGAGTGTTGGGGATTCAGCTCTGGACAATGTCAAATGTCAGTCCTGCCTTTCAGATCCTTTCTACTGGGTGAGCCCTGGAGTGCTGGTTCTCCTCGCGGTGCTGCCTGTGCTCCTCCTGCAGATCACTCTTGGCCTCGTCTTCCTCTGCCTGCAGTACAGACTGAGAGGTACAGGGCAGAGGGTGGGTGGATCAGGATCCTTTCTTTAAATGAGCTGGCTTCTTGGAGCTACACCACTTAACATGTATTTGTGAGTGACTTCTGGGTTCAGAAGTTCTTCTCACTATTGAGTGATAAAGAAAAAAAATAACTCCATGATGAAAGAGTTTTACATCTTACGGAATGCTTTCATATGAATAATCGGACCTAGCATTTCCCTATGAGCTAACTATGCCATATAGTAACCCCATTTTACAGAGGATACAACTGAGGCCAGGAGTAGTTCAGTGACTTACTCAAACCGATATAACTTATAAGTGGTAGAGCTGAGGCCTCTGTATCATACCTAGCAGCTCCATGCAACTTGGGAGAGTGTGAGCTTCGAAGTCAGACAGGTCTAGGCTATTAGGAGTTTTGAATAAAGATACTGAAGTGAAAGTCTCTACCACACAGTAGGCGTTCGAAAATTGTTTCCTCTTTCTCCATTCAACACTGAGGACTCAGGTTCAGCTGCTGATGAAGCTCCTCTTTTTTGCCTAGAGCTTTCATTCTGAGCCTTCTCCTCCTACCAAGTGTCTCCCCAATGCCAGAGCAGGAAGAGTCTTCACTCCTCCCCATGCCCCACCTCCCATTTGTTACTAAGAGGAGAGGAGAAAGTAGCAAGGAGGGTATGGGGAATGTTCTGGGGGAATGGGTGTTGGTGCGATCAACAACAAAGTCCTTTCTCTCACCTTGAATTCATCCCAGATGCCTGCTTGTTTACTTCTTCCACACAAAAAAAGGCCTTCAGCCCTCATGGCTGAGCAGAAAGAATCTGAATGTTAGAGTCAGGCAGCCTGGGTTTGAATTCCATCTCAGGTACTGAACTCTATAGCAAAATTCTTAGATTCTCCAAGCTTCAGTTGCCTTGTCTGTCAAATAGAGAAAACATCCTTCGTCCTAAATTGTAGGGAGGATTAAAGTCATGCAAAGTGCCTACTACAAATCCAGTCACAAAGTAGCTAGCTACTCACTAAATGTTCAGCTCCTCCCTCCTCATTCAGATGGGAAGTGGCTTTAGATAAACAAAGTGGCAACGCAGTGGGCTGGAGCAGCTCTGTGAACTGAGAATCCAAGAAAAGGGGCGAAGAGCAGCTGGGATGTATTGGATGCTTGTGCTGGCTTGGAGCATTGCTCACATTCTTTATTCGCTATTGTATCTAGACTATAGCTAGAGAAAGAGCCGCAACCATTGGCTTTAAATCCAGTGCTCTTCCTACTCTCCTGAGGTTGTTTCCAGGCTGCAGAGAAATAGCCTGCACAAGGGGCCCAGGCGCTGGGTGTGGGAGGGTCCCCACCGAGAGCCAGAACATGCAGGAACTAAAATGTTGCCTTTTTCTATTTTAGGAAAACTTCGAGCAGAGATAGGTGAGTTCCAGTCATCGTTTCTCCCAATTCTTGCCTTTTGGTTTTTTGGCATAACGGAAATGGTCCCATTCTTGGACCGTCTCTCCCTCTCAATACCCTGTTTTCCCCTCAGTTTCCCTTTCTCTACAGTGGGTGTGTCGTGCCTAGAACAAGTTTTAAGTAATTAAATAACAAAGACTCAGGATAAAAGATCCTTTTTGAGTGCCCTACTAAATCCATTTCCATTTGTTTCTCTTTCAGAGAATCTCCACCGGACTTTTGGTAAGTTCCGGCATGTCTAGGCCCTCCCAGGTCAACTTGGTATTTCACTCTAGTTCCAGTCACCTGGGGGAACAAGGACCCCTGGCTCCTGGTTGAGTCCCTTCCTCTCTTCTCTTTTCTTTCTTTAAATAAGAAGTCATTTGCATTTAGGATTGGTAAAATCATAATAAAAATACTCATGTACTGTTTTTATGTGCCAGGCACTATTCTAACTACTTTACAAAAACGTTATCTTATTCTGTTTAACTCCTTATGCACATGATCTCTCTTTTCAGGAATGGCAAAACAGAGGTAAATAGATCGTTTACACGTAAACCTGATGTCTGGTTGGGGAGGTGAAACAAACAGAAACAAGACACAACTGTATCACCTGTACTTATATTTCTGCTTTACAAACTCAGGATGTTTCCATGAGTACAGAACATGACTAATCAGAGAAGACCTCATAGAGGAATAGAAAAGCCACCAAGCCCCACTAGGAATTGACCCCTCAAGGACATGGTTTCTAGCCTTTTTGTTCACTGCAGATTGCCCAATGCCTAAAGATAATGGCAACAGAAGAGCACCCAAATATTTGTTAGATAAATGTTGCAGACACTAGAAGGTGTCATTAGGGCACAGATGGTACCTTCTCTGAGCAAACTTCCTTCACAGCTCCTCCTCCCGAGGCTGTAGGTGACTCTACTCTTGTCACCTGGCACACAGAGTTCTATCGTACGATTTAGGAAATTAGACCAGTGTGTGGACCACACACACACACATCTTTACACACCCAAAGAGGAGGAATAGTATCTTTGTTTTGGAGGACTTGACTATGAAAGGTCTTAACTCCTTTTTGTACCATGAATCTCTCTGGCACTCCAGTGAAGTCTAAAGGACCCCTTTGCAGAATGTTTTTAAATATACACATAAAATAGAACACATAGGATTGCAAAAACAATCATTGTACTAAAATACAGTTATCAACCGATAATCACATTTGTGATATAGTAACATAAATGTTTCTTTTTTTTTTTTTTTGAGGCAGAGTTTTGCTCTTGTCACCCAGGCTGGAGTGCAATGGCGCGATCTAGGCTCACTGAAACCTCTGCCTCCCGGGTTCAAGCGATTCTCAGCCTCCTGAGTAGCTGGGATTACAGGTGCCCGCCACCACACCCAGCTAATTTTTGTATTTTTAGTAGAGACTAGGTTTCACCAGGTTGGCCAGGCTGGCCTCGAACTCCTGACCTCAGGTGATCCACCTGCCTTGGCCTCCCAAAGTGCTGGGATTACGGGCATGAGCCACCGTGCCCGGCCATAAATATTTCTTTAGCCAAAGTAATACATTAAGTAATGTAGCAGCAAGTCTAATAACCTGTAATTTCTTTCTTTCTTTCTTTCTTTCTTTTTTTTTGAGATGAAGTTTTTTTGAGATGGAGTGCAATGGCACAATCTCGGCTCACTGCAACCTCCACCTCCTGGGTTCAAGCGATTCTCCTGCCTCAGCCTCCCAAGTTGCTGGAACTACAGGCGCATGCCACCATGCCCAGCTAATTTTTGTATTTTTAGTAGAGACGGGGTTTCACCATGTTGGCCAGGCTGGTCTTGAACCCCTGACCTCAGGTGATCTGCCTGCCTTGGCCTTCCAAAGTGCTGGGATTACAGGCATGAGCCACCAGGCCCAGCCCAATAACCTTTAATTTCAACATACTAATAAACATAAACAGTATTTCAAGATTTCTGCAATAACTCTAATGGGAATGAAAACATCTGTGGCTTCCATTGGTAATTAAGTCACAGGTACTGCTCATATTGTGGTTAGTTGTAAAATGTTTTGGTTTGTTTTGTTTTTTCCAAGACTTGGGGGAATGGGTGTTGGTGGGATCAACAAGAGTCTTGCTCTGTGGCCCAGGCTGGAGTGCAGGGGCAGGATCTTGGCTCACTGCAACCTCCGCCTCCCAGGTTCAAGCGATTCTCCTGCCTCAGCCTCCTGAGTAGCTGGCATTACAGGCATGTGCCACCACGCCCAGCTAATTTTTACATTTTTAGTAGAGATGGGGTTTCACCATGTTGGCCTGGCTGGTCTTGAACTCTTGGCCTCATGATCCACCCGTCTCGGACTCCCAGAGTGTTGGGATTACAGGCATGAGCCACCACACCTGGCAGTTGTTACATTTTTAATGAAAGAAAATGTTAAATCCAGTTATTGAAAATAAGGAGGCAGTACTTTTCTCATCCAAGTTCATGGACTTTCTGAATTTTGTCCCCAGAGTCCTTTGGTGTTCTAGGACCCCAGGTTAAGGAACCAAAAAAGACAGGTGGGTGGGGCATGAGGGGGAACACATGTTAACCCTGTTTGTTCTGGTGAACAATTCAGATCCCCACTTTCTGAGGGTGCCCTGCTGGAAGATAACCCTGTTTGTAATTGTGCCGGTTCTTGGACCCTTGGTTGCCTTGATCATCTGCTACAACTGGCTACATCGAAGACTAGCAGGTGCAGTGGCTGGGCAGCAGGCAAGACCACCAAATAGTGGGGGACCAAGTCAGCTCTGAATGGGAAGCCAAAAGAGAATAGAACCAGGACTCAAGATTAGGGGAGCTGGGATTTCCTTATTCCTCTGTCCCCATGCCCAACCCCAGGCTCTTCTGAGAAACTGTGAAGAGAACCACTTACTGGATCTGTGGGATCCCCCAGTGGAAAGGGCAGTGTGGGTCACTCCAAATGTCCATAGGGAGGATGTGGGGAAGGTGCTATTCATCTTCCACTAATCACATATTTGTTTCTTTTTGTTTTCAGGGCAATTCCTTGAAGAGCTACGTAAGTTCTCTTCTCTCTGTTATAAGCAGAGAATAAAAAGCCAGGAAAGGGAGACAGAAGCAACAAGAGGAAGAGGCGGGCTATTGAGGGATCACATTCCCAGAGGAAAGGAGGAGCTGGAGAGCCTGGGTGGAGGGAAGACTCCTCCTGGGAGGTAGAGGGCAAAGAAGCCAGCTGTTAGAGACACATTTACAGGTGGCAGAGAAGCTGGAGGCACTCCTATCTGCCACCTGATCCATTCCTCCTTCACTGCCCCTAAGCAGGAATCCAACCCTAGCTGGTCTCATTGCCCATTCCACAGCAACTGCCCAGTGCCTCACCTCTCAGATCAACCATTGAGGCAGGAATGGAGACAAGATGACCCCAAGGGCTTTTCTTCTCCCTAGTTCAATGGTTTTATGATACAAACTACTGACATACGTTTTTCAAGTTATTTTCTCCTTCTTCTAGGAAATCCCTTCTGAGTGATGTCACATCTTGGCAGGGGTGGAGGAGAGCCTGGTTGCCCAGGGATTTGTCCTTGGGGACATCTCATCCATCAAGTTGCACACTCACTGGCATCTTTGCTATGGGGACATTCCAATTTGCACTTTCAGGAACACTCTGAATTCCAAGTAGAATTGATTTCCCTTCTTCTGTCATCTACCTTTTCTCTTCATTTTCCCATTTTTATTACCCTTCTTTCCATTTCTCTCTCCAGTCTTCCACCTGGAAGCCCTCTCTGGCTAAGGACAGGCAGGTGCCCCTCTCTCCATCAGAGGACACCTGTACTGGAGAGCAACACAGGATGGTCTCTGCCATGAACTGGAGGCCAGGAATCTCCTCACTGAAAATTACAGTATGGTAACTTTGCAAATGGTGGTTGTTTCTTCCAAGACTCCAGCCCTGATTGCGCAAAACTGAAAGGCATGTGAAGGGAAGGAAGAGGAAGAGTGCAAAACATTGAAGAGAGAGCTGAGTGAGCTGAAGAGTGAGGATATGAGTAGCCCCAACCCAAACCTGGAGATGGGGAGAAACCTACAGAATACTAGCCAGAGCTCCTCCTTGTCTTGGCAGCCTACTAGGGACCTGGGGAAGCAAAAACGAAAGCTGGGCAACATGCCTGCTTTAGAATGTTTTCCTTCTACTTACACATCTTCCACAGGTCTCAGAATCTTTCCTTCCTCTCATCCTTTTCTCCTATCTTCATATCTATCAGAGTATCCACTGTTTATTCAACAACTACTACTTGATGGTCAGACACAAACAAACAAGCTAGGTGCTAATTAATAAAGATACGAGTTTTGGCCGGGTGCGGTGGCTCACGCCTGTAATCCCAGCACTTTGGGAGGCCGAGGCGGGCGAATCACGAGGTCAGGAGTTCAAGACCAGCCTGGCCAACATGGTGAAACCCCATCTCTACTAAAAATACAAACAATTAACTGAGCATAGTGGTGGGCACCTATAATACCAGCTACTCCGGAGGCTGAGGCAGGAGAATCGCTTGAACCCAGGAGGCAGAGGTTGCAGTGAGCTGAGATCGCGCCACTGCACTCTAGCCGGAGTGACAGAGTAAGACTCTGTCTCAAAAATAAATAAATAAATAAATAAATAAATAAATAAATAAATAAAAAATAATAATACAAGTTTTCATAAGCACACTTCTAACCCCTTGTCTTTTATGTATTTCCTTCCTTATCCACGCACCTGTCTCCCTCTACTCCAGCCTCATTACCCCAGAGGTCAGTCCTCAGGAAAACTAAACACAAAGAAAGAGCTCAGTCAGAAAGGCCATTTATTTATGTTTCAAGATGCTCACTGCCTCCTTTGTTTTGTCTCCTTTGCAGGCCTTCTCTCTTAGGCCTCTTCTCCTGGGGGTATGGATCCTGGGGGGAGATTGATCACCTCCATGCTTCCATTCCTCCCCAGCCATAGTGGGGACATCATGAGAGAAGCCAAGCCACTGGCCCAGGATCACCCGGCATTTATGGTGGCTGCTCTGGCACAGGTCCTTGCCTTTATAGCCCCTCCAGTGATCCATAAGGCCCTCTTTCTCCCCAAAGGAGAGGTCACAGATAGGGCAAAGGTAGCTCTTCTGCTTCCAGTGGGTCTGCTGGTGTCTGACCAGCCTGGAAAATGAGCTGAAAGACTTGCTGCAATGGAAGCAGTAGTTGGGCGGCTCTGTGAGGTGGGCCTTCTGGTGTCTGGAGAGATAGGATTTCTTGCTAAAAGTCAAAGAACAATGGGGGCAACAGAAGACATTGAGTCTTGAGGGCTTCACTGGATGAGAGTTGGATCTGGCATCCTGACAGAGGGTTCCAGTGATGGGTGCCTGGGTCCTGGTCACAGGTGCTTGGTTCTTAAGTACAGATGCCTGGTTCTGGGCCATAGGACCCTCAGTTCTAAATATGGGTTCCTGGGACCTGGCCACTGGTGCATGGTTCACATCCAAAAGCCCCTGGATGGACCTCTGGCTTCTGGCGATGGGTGTCTGGAATTCAGCCTGGGTGCCTGGAATCCTCAAAGTACACTCCTGGTTTCCATCCACTGGCTCCTGGTTTTGGTGTATCTTCTGGTGGCGTTTGAGCTCAGACTGGTCCCGGAAGCTCTTCCCACACACAGAGCATGAATGGGGCCGGTAACCCAGATGGACGCGGCGGTGACGACTTAGTCCAGAAGCATCACAGTAGGTCTTGTCACAGAGCGTGCAACAGAAGGGCCTCTCCCCAAGATGCATGCGTCTGTGATAGCTGAGGGACTTGGGGCTCCGAAACAACTTCCCACACTGACTGCAGCTGTTAGTCAGCTTGGGATTGTGAACAAACTGGTGGCTATAGAGGTAGGAGCGCCTGCTGAAACATTTGCCACAGGTGTAGCAAAAAAAGGGTGGCCCAGCCTGGGATGCTTGAAGCACCCGGGTCCTGTCCATAGTCCCAGCTGGGGCAGATAGGGGGCACTGGCCGGCCCCTCTGCATGCAAGGAAGACCTTGTCATCACTAGTCCCCTCATCTCTCAGACTGGGATGTTGTTCTCGAAGCTCTTTCTTCTTGCCTTCTACAGTGAATGAGGAAGAATAACACAAAATTCACTGTAAGAACTCCAACAGAGGCTTGGCATGGTGGCTCACACCTGTAATCCCAGCACTTTGGGAGGCCGAGGCCAGCGGATCACCTGAGGTTAGGAGTTCGAAACCAGCCTGACCAACATGGTGAAACCCTGTCTCTACTACAAATACAAAAATTAGCTGGGCGTCATGGCATCTGCCTGTAATCTCAGCTACTAGGGAGACTGAGGCAGGACAATCACTCGAACCCGGGAGGCGGAGGTTGCAGTGAGCCAAGATGGTGCCACTGCACTCCTGCCTGGGCAACTAGAGTGAAACTCTGTCTCAAAAAAAAAAAAAGAAAGAAAGAAAAAGAAGAAGAAGAAGGAGAAGGAGAAGAAGGAGAAGGAGAAGAGAAGGAGAAGAAGAAGAAGAAGGAAGAAGAAGAAGAAGAAAAGAAAAGAAGAAGAAGACGAAGACGAAGAAGAAGAAGAAGAGGAAGAAGAAGAACTCCAACACAGCACTCCATTCAGCCTAACACACTTCTTGTCTCTGCCCTTGCTCTCCCACCCAACACATTCATCCTTACCCTTGGGCCTCATAGGCTAGAAATAAGAAGAAAAAAAGAAAAAATTGGCTTTTCAAATTAGAAGCAAATAAAAAGTTAACTGGAATCTTTCAACACTGTCAGAAATGTAAATTTTAACTTACAACAACACTTCTTGAAATCTATCTTATCTCATTCTCAATATTGCTCAAACTCCCATAGACAATCCACAGACACCCACATAATAATGCATCATGAACACTGGGCCACTTGAGGGTGAAAAGAGGTGTTATTAATAATCAAGCTGGGATGAGAAGTATAAACCAGGACTGTCCTGGAAAACCAAAAAGTGTATCAGCCTGGCTTGATATCTCTCTCAACTATTTACTACCAGGGACAAGCCTCCCTTACTCCAACCCAGCATGAAACCTATCTCCTTTGCTTCTCTTTTCTCTTGGAAAGAACATTTTAATCAGAGCACTATCATGGACATAAGCAACTTTCATGTCATCTCTCAATCTCTAGAAACTGAAGACATCTACTTCTCCTGAAAGACTTAGATCTTCAGCCAGCCAGGCACGGTGGCTCATGCCTGTAATCCCAGCACTTTGGGAGGCCGAGGTGGATGGATAACCTGAGGTCAAGACATCAAGACCATCCTGGCCAACATGGTGAAACCCTGTCTCTACTAAAAATACAAAAATTATCTGGACACGGTGGCACATGCCTGTAGTCCCAGCTACTCGAGAGGCTGAGGCAGGAGAATCGCTTGAACCCGGGAAGTGGAGGTTGCAGTAAGCCAAGATTGTGCCACTGCACTCCAGCCTGGCAACACAGCGAGACTGTGTCTCAAAAAAAAAAAAAAAAAAAAAAAAGAGAGAGAGAGAGAGACTTGGATCTTCAACTTGAAGTCAAGGGACTTGAGCCTATGATATTAAGCTCTCTTTCAACTCCAAGTCTGACCAGGCTGGACAGAGGTACACTAGGAGAGCATCTATAGAGCATTCATCCTCTTCATCAGCTCTCCATCCTTTCAGGGGTTATCCTGGGCCCTTTTCCCCTTCCTCCCTGCTTGGCAATTCTTACCTGAAAGGCCTTCTGTGTTTGGGAGATGGACAAACTCTCTCCACTGTTCCTCTTCTTGCTCAAGCTTGGTGATTAGCTCTGGCTTATGCAGAAAGATTCTGGCTGATGTGTGGGAATGAGAAAGAGTTGAGTTGGTCCCAGGTATGGCCCCTTCACATCTGATGGGGACAACAGGCTACCTCCTGTAGCCTTTGTTTAAGAACCATAACCTGGGACATGTAGATGCGGAAAGGAGACATTAAAAGGCCAGCTGCTAGCAAAGTACCTGGTTCTCAGGAGTGACTTAGTAAATATTTGTTTGATGAATGGAAAAATTTGCATATTTTGAGAACACTGTCATCATGTTACAAGTGTTATCTTTGCCTTCATGCAGGCTATCATTTCTTCTCTTTACCACTGAGCTTAGTGACTCAGATCTTTCACACCTGGAAAGCATAGAACCAGGGGTCAGTGAAACTAATTGTAAGCTGATCTACCTGTCCAGGGAAACCAGATGTTCCAGGGCCCTTAGGACAGGGGGCTTGCTGAGGGAAGCCCAGCCTCTTACCCACAGATGTTAGATTCTTAAAGGTTTCCGACATAACATCCTGGTAAAGGACCCTCTGGCTGGCATCTAGACAGTCCCACTCTTCCTGGGTGAAATTCACTGCCACATCCTCAAAGGTGACTGGCTTCTGGAAGAACAGGAGAGACTCAAGAAGTTTATATAAATATATATGTGTGTGTGTGTGTGTGTGTGTACAAGATTAACATCCAGTCTCAAGATTCAGAGAATTAAAACCTAAGAGAAAGATAAAACCATGGAAGGAAGAGAGAAATATTAAAAGACAGACACAAGGCCAGCAACTGTGAAGTATAGAAAGGAAAGGAGGCCGGACGCGGTGGCTCACGCCTGTAATCCCAGCACTTTGGGAGGCTGAGGCAGGCAGATCACGAGGTCGGGAGTTCGAGACCAGCCTGACCAATATGGTGAAACCTGGTCTCTGCTAAAAACACAAAAATTAGCTGGGCATGGTGGCGCATGCCTGTAATCCCAGCTACTCAGGAGGCTGAGGCAGGAGAATTGCTTGAGCCCGGGAGGCAGAGGTAGCAGTGAGCCAAGATCGCGCCACCGCACTCCAGCCTGGGTGACAGAGCGAGACTCCGTCTCAAAAAAAAAAAAAAGAAAAAAAAAAAAAGGAAAGGAAAGATGAAGAGAAAGGGAGAAAGATAAGATGTGGGGGAGAGGAAAGAGGATATGCAGATATGCAGAATATAAACAGGAAAGCAAAGCGAAGGAAAAAATGCTGCCACTCTAACAAATTTCAGGAAGTACTCCATGAAGGATGCCAGGATGGTGCGGGAGATGGAGAAAGGTCTTGCAGCTCCTTTTTCTGGATGTCGTTCAGTCTGGAACAATCTGAGATTTCATTTGACCTGCAGGCAGGAGTATGTATGAAAGAGCTCCTGGAGTCCAGGACCTGGACCCCACCTCTCTCTAGCTTAGTCTCCTCACCTTCTTCACCCGTGCCTCCCTCCAGCAATCTCTCTTCATGGCTTCCTGCAGGGTGGCAGCTACCTCGCCCACCCATGGGAGCGTCTTCTGTACAGGTTCGATTGGCTTCAGCTGTTCAAACATCTTCTCTTCTGTGGTGTCTCTTTCTAGCTTTATCCACTCCTGGCCTGGTGCCCAGGCCTGACTGGATTCCTTCCTGGGGCTATCTACCTCCCAGTAACTGGGCAGATGGAGAGGCCCAGCAAAGGCCCCAGGGTTTGATGTGGCTTCCTGTGACAAATGTATCTGCTCCAAGAGGCTGTCTTCCTTTTTTGTTCTGCTGTCCAAATTCTCCTCTTCCACAATTGAGAACAATTTTGCTTCCCTCAAAGCTGGGCCACCGAGTTCAGGGCCCTGGTCACCCTTGGCTCACCAGCTGCCATTGTTTAGTAACAACACCAGCCTGGGCTAGGTGTCTGCCGTCTGTTCTACCCTGCTTCTAGAAACCTGAGGTCAGAGAAAAACAAAACATATCAGCAAGAGGGAGGGTAAGAAACAGCTTCCTTATTTGGTCAGGGAATGCCAGCAGTTACTAAACCCCTACAGTGTGCCACTGGATGCTCTCAGCAATGAGGTAACAATTACTGGCCCTGTCTTAAGGACCTAATGCAGAGATGCTAAATAATTTTCCAAGGACAAGTGGACATTCTTGATCTACAAAAGTTAATGTTTAAACCTAATGTTAATGTTAGACTCAGTACCATTGGAAATCATGTAGCTGGGGTAACCAGGCTAGGATCTGTCACAGATCACCTCGAGTGAGTCTCTTTATTCTTTCTGACTTGGTTTCATCAGAAATGTGAGAATAAAGGAGACACTCTCTAAGATCTCTTCCATGACCAAAATTATACACACACACACACACACACACACACACACAATTCTGTGATCTGGATTTTCAATACATGTAGTAGTTCCCCTTTATCATGGTTTTGCTTTCCAATGCTTCAGTTACCCATGGTCAACCATGGTTCAAAAATATTAAATGAAAAATTCCGGAGGACAGGCACAGTGGCTCACACCTGTAATCCTAGCATTTTGGGAGGCTGAGGTAGGCAGATCATCTGAGGTCAGGAGTTCGAGATCAGCCTGGTCAACATGGTGAAACCCTGTCTCTACTAAAAATACAAAAAGAAAATAGCTGGGCATAGTGGCACACATCTGTAATCCCAGCAACTCAGGAGGCTGAGGCAGGAGAATCACTTGAACCCTGGAGGTGGACGTTGCCATGAGCCAAGACTGCGCCACTGCACTCCAGCCTGGGACATAGAGCGAGACTCCGTCTCAAAAAAAAATCCAGAGATAAACAATTCCTAAGTTTTAAATTGCTTGACATTCTGAGTAGTGTGATGAAATCTTGTACCTTTTCTCTCTGGCCTGCCCAGGATGTGAATCATCCCTTTGACTAGCATATCCACACTGCAGACAATACCTGCCCATTAGTTCCTTAGTAGCTAGCCATCTCAGTTACCAGGTTGACTACTGTAGTATAGCAGTTGCCTGTGCTCAAGAATGCCTTATTTTACTTAATAATGACCCAAAAGCACAAGAGTAGAGACGCTGGAAATTCAGATATGCAAAGAGAAGCCATAAAATAAAAAGGTAAAAATTCTTGTCTTAAGGAAAGAAAAAATAATCATATGCTGAGGTTGCTAAGATTTACAATATAAATTATTTTGAGAGAGATACCACATTCATACAACTTTTATTACAATATATTGCTGTAATTGTTCTATCTTATTACTAGTTATTGTTGTCAATCTCTTACCATGCCTAATTTGTAAATTAAACTTTATCATTATTATGTATGTATAGAAAAAGAAAACCATAGTGTATACAGGGTTTGGTACTATTCATGGTTTCAAAGTATCCACTGGGGTGGGGCGCGGTGGATCACTTCAGGGCAGGAATTTGAGACCAGCCTGGCCAACATGGTGAAACCCCGTCTCTACTGAAAATACAAAAATTAGCTGGGCGTGGTGGCACGCTGTAGTCCCAGCTGCTCAGGATGCTGAGGCAGAATTACTTGAACCCGTGAGGTGAAGGTTGCAGTGAGCCAAGACTGTGCCACTGTACTCCAGCCTGGGTGACAGAGCGAGATTCTGCCTCAAACAACAACAAAAACAAAGTATCCACTAGAGCTCTTGGAACATATCACCTGTGGATAAGGGGAACCACTGTATATACAGATCTTTGTGAAGAATACTGCTAACAACCCAAGAGCAATCACTTATTCAGGGCTCACAATGAGCCCAGCACTGGAGTTCCCTGCTCATCCTTGGAAATTTCCTGCTCAGATGCAAACATAGCTGAACTCTCACCTTTTCCTGCTGACAGCCACTCACCCACATCTCCCTTACTAGAGATAGAAAGAAAAGAATAAAGACCAAAAAACCCTGTTGACTATTTTTTCCTTTCACTTTTTGAGAAGTGTTAATAGAACTGAAAATACCAGCAAGGAAAAACGCCCTCGAGGAATAGAGTTAATTGGATCTCCAAAATGTTGTCATGAAAGGTGCATTCCTGGGATATGAATTTGATTTCCTTCCTTTCTTCCTCTCTCTTTCTTTCCTCTCTCTCCCTTTCCTTTCCTGTCTTTCAAAACCATTCGCACTCCTTTTATGAGGCATGCAGATCTTGGATTATTCTTCCACTTTCCAGCCAACTGCACTTCAAAACAGCCTTAATAAGGCTGGGCACGGTGGCTCAGCCTGTAATCCCAACACTTGGGGAGGCCGAGGCGGGCGGATCACCTGAGGTCAGGAGTTTGAGACCAGCCTGACCAACATGGACCTCGTCTCTACTAAAAATACAAAATTATCCCGGCGTGGTGGCGCATGCCTGTAATCGTAGCTACTAGGGAGGCTGAGGCAGGAGAATCGCTTGAACCCGGGAGGCAGAGGTTGCGGTGAGCGGAGATCGCGCCATTGCACTCCAGCCAGGGAAATGAGAGTGAAACTCCGTCTCAAAAACAAACAAACAAACAAACAAACAAAAAAAAACGCCTTAGTAACAGTGCCTTCAAGAACCTGGCCTTCCAGTTCTCTGGCAGAGAAGACCTACTGCTGCCGCTAGTCCTCAAGATGGCATTTGCTGGAGGCGGTAGGCAGAGGCCCTAAGTGTGGATTCTAACCCCCGTGGGGACTGAATCTCTGCGGCTGTTGCTTGCCCAGGCACGTTTGCCTCCCATGAACTTCCTTCATCCACAGGGCCCCAAACCTCATGCCGGCGGGAGGAGGAAGGAGACTGGGCATAACTCATCAGACTTTCGACTGTAAGAGCTGGAGGCCGCCTGCGGGCTTATCTGTACCCGGGCCTGTCCCCACCCTTCCAGAATGTAAATCCTCTGAGGGAATGTGTCGTCGCCATCTTTCAGTCCTTTGAGTGCACCCAGTCTCTCTCCAACCCAAAACCCTTTATCCACAACAATTCTGAGAATGATGAGAATCCCCCTCACCCCTCACACCGCAAACAGTTGCAATGCTTAGTGGGATTCACCCTTGTCGTCACCAACCCTGCTACTCCAGCCACGTGAGTTTTCCGCCTGTCAGCCAAGCAAAATGGCCTTCCTGCAGTCGCACGGCCCTTTGGTCTCTGCTCAGGGCTTCGGGGACCCTTTCCAGCCATTGCCCTGCACCTACCCACCAGATCGCCGCCCTGGTGGGCGCTCCTGGCCCTGTCCTCCGCGCTTAGTTTGTCATTGGGCGCCCAGATCCGGAACCCCAGCCTCGAAGCTTCCGGTGGCCGGGAACAAAGCCGGTTTTGCTCACTGTCGCCTGGCAAAGCAGGCGCTTGTTAGCACCCACTGAATGCGCTTATGTGCTCAGAAACGGTCCCATTGGTTGGGACTACCTTCCCCGATGCCCATCCGCCCAGAATCTTCCTTCTGGGATGCCGACTTTTTCAACACGTGCCAGGAGCCCTTCCTCGGCCCGGAATCCCCAGAGTGCCCACAGTGGACAGGGCACCTGGATACACCCCAGACTAACCCACGTTTCCCCGGAGGACCCCAGAGGTTGGAAGCCCCTCCAAGATTAGGGGCGCAGTGCTCCCCTGGCCTGCGGAAGAGTCAGAGGAGTGGGGACAACATCCAACATCAGCCTCTACTACCGCTAGCGCGACTCCCCGCCGCCGCTCTACTCACCTGACGCGCGCAGTGGACCGCGATTTAGGGGCACAGGGTCTCCCGGGGACCAGCGGCTGGAGCGCTCCGGCCGAGCACCCGCAGTCCCGGCGCCGCGGCCCCACCCCGGCCCCGCCCTCTTCCGCTCCCTCCCAGTCATCAGGCCACCGAGAATGTGCCCCTTGACCCAGATGAGAGGGTGAGCCCGCCAAGGTCAAGCTTCCCATCCTAAGAATCACAGACAGCCCGGCCATGCACCACCACTTCGAGCCTCCGACCAACTGATAGCTGCTGGTCCCAAGTAGCGCTAGGATTTTCGCTTTCCCAGTCTTAATTGACTCTAAAAGAAGAAGAAAAAAAAGCCTGGGCGCGATTGCTCACACCTGTAATTCCGGCACTTTGGGAGGTCGAGGCTGGTGAATTACCTGAAGTCAGGAGTTCAAGACCACCCTGGCCAACATGGCGAAACCTCGTCTCTACTAAAAGTACAAAAATTAGCCAGGCGTGGTGGCGGGCGCCTGTAACCCCAGCTACTCAGGAGGCTGAGGCAGGAGAATCGCTTGAATCCGGGAGGTGGAGGTTGCAGTGAGCCCAGATCACGCCACTGCACTCCAGCCTGGGCAAAAAGAGTGAAACTCCATCTCAAAAAAAAAAAAAAAAAAAAAAAAGAGGAAAGTATTTACGAAAAAAAAAAAAAAAGACCAAAGTATTATGATTAAAACACGCGGCTGAGAGCGGTGGCTCACACCTGTAATCCCAGCACTTTGGGAGGCTGAGGGGGCGGATCACCTGAGGTCAGAAGTTCGACCTCAGCGTGGCCAATATGGCGAAACCTTGTCCCTATTAAAAATACAAAAGTTAGCCGGTGGTGGTGACGCACACCTGTAATCCCAGCTACTTGGGAGACATTGCCGTTACTGGGCAAGTGTTCTTTCAAGAGCATCTTATCTGAATTACTATAGTACTAAAGAATGTCTAGGCTGGGCCCCCGTGGCTCACTCCTGGAATGCTAACACTTTGGGAAGCTGAGGAGGGAGGATTGCTGGAGGCCAGGAGTTCAAGACCAACCTGGGCAACATAGCAAGACCCTTTCTCTAGAAAAAATGAAAACAACTTGGCCAGGTGTGGTGGTACATGCCTTTAGTCCTAGGTGCTTAGGAGGTTGAGGTGGGAGGATTGCTTGAGCTCAGGAGTTTGAGGTTACAGTGAGCTATGATTGCACCACTGCATTCCAGCCTTGGCAATGGAGTGAGGCCCTATTTCTAAACAGAACAAAAAAAAAGAATGCCTGCTGATAAACCTTGTGACAGGACGTTCATGAAGGATGAAGAAAAGATTTCTTTTATTTTTTTATTTTTATTTTTTTGAGACAGAGTCTCGCTCTGTTGCCCCGGCTGGAGTGCAGTGGCGCCATCTCAGCTCACTGCAACCTCCAACTCCTGAGTAGCTGGGATTACAGGTGCGTGCCACCATACCCGGTTAATTTTTTTTTTTTTTTTTTTTTTTTTAGTACAC
Organism: Homo sapiens; assembly: GCF_000001405.40. Lineage (NCBI taxonomy): Eukaryota > Metazoa > Chordata > Mammalia > Primates > Hominidae > Homo > Homo sapiens. The sequence continues at coordinate 947,927 of NT_167247.2, forward strand.
ACAGGGTTTCACCATGTTGGTCAGGCTGGTCTCAAACTCCTGACCTCATGATCTGCCTGCCTCAGCCTCCCAAAGTGCTGGGATTACAGGCGTGAGCCACCGCGCCCGGCTAGAAAAGATTTCTTTCTTTTTTCTTTTTTTTTTTTTAATTATACTGTAAGTTTTAGGGTACATATGCACAACATGCCGGTTAGTTACATATGTATACATGTGCCATGTTGGTGTGCTGCACCCATAACTCATCATTTAACATTAGATATATCTCCTAATGCTATCCCTCCCCACTCCCTAGAAAAGATTTCTTGTGGAGTTTTTAAAAAGTCCTTTGAAACAATTCTTTTCTTTTCCTTTTTTTTTTTTTTCGATACAGAGTTTTGCTCTTGTTGCCCAGGCTAGAGTGCAATGGCATGATCTCGGCTCACCGCAACCTCCGCCTCCCGGGTTCAAGCGATTCTCCTGCCTCAGCCTCCCTAGTAGCTGGGATTACAGGCATGCACCACCATGCTTGGCTAATTTTGTATTTTTAGTAGAGATGGGGTTTCTCCATGTTGGTCAGGCTGTTCTCGAACTCCCAACCTCAGGTGATCCACCCACCTCGGCCTCCCAAAGTGCTGGGATTACAGGCATGAGCTACCACGCCCAACTTAACAATTCTTACTTCAAACATGTAAGCATGACGTTCCTCTCCTTCATGCCTTCCTGGCCTTTTTTTTTTTTTTTTTTTTTTTTTTGAGACAGAGTCTCGCTTCTTCACCTAGGCTAGCGTGCAATGGTGTGATCTTGGCTCACTGCAACCTCCACCTCCCAGGTTCAAGCAATTCTCGTGCCTCAGCCTCCCCAGTAGCTGGGATTACAACCACATGCCAGCACGTCCGACTAATTTTTGTACTTTTAGTAGAGATGGGGGTTTCACTATGTAGGCCAGGCTGGTCTCGAACTCCTGACCTCAGGTGATCCGCTCGCCTCGGCCTCCCAAAGTGCTGGGATTACAAGCGTAAGCCACCGTGCCTGGCCTGGCCCTATTTTATCTGGGTCTGACAAAAGTTATTTCATCCTAGTATCTGCAATTTTTCCGCAGAAAATTACAGAGACGCACAGTGAATGTGAAAGGAGGGAAATTAACAATAGCTATTGGCAGAGCCAAACAAATCATTACACTTTAGCTGGATCATCTGGGAGTTGAGACCTTGAGGGTATAAGGAGGTAGCATGTCAATGCTTGTTAAGAAAGAATGGCAACAACTGTGCTGCCTTACAGATCAGCACCTTCTGCAGTCTGCGAGCCCAACCTTAGATCCATTTGTAGGCAACAGTAAAAGGTCTCATATTTTCATCGCAGTGAGCCCTGACTGCCATCAGGAAGATTTGGTCCTCTAGGTAAGATTTCCCTGAGACAAAGTACTATGGGAAATCAAGTGCATATTCAGCCTCTTAGTACTCTGGGTTGGTGTTACCGTACTGACGAAGGCGATCCATTGATGAAAAACAAACTGACCTAAAGAAATGTAAATAAATGCTTGCAGTCAGCCCTGTTCCTCTGAAAAATTCCCCTAGCCCTTATGTTGAAACCTGATGAGAACTTTAAAAATGTTAACTTGGTAATGGATGGAATCCTCCTCATTCAAGGTTACCCCTGTGCAAGTCAAGCTCAAGTCAGCCTGAAGGTGCAAACCCCATGGACTCAGCCAGAGCCTATGGCTGTGGGTGCTAGATCCAAGGCCAAAACTGATGGCATCAGCCATCAGGATGTTTCTGCCCAATATAAAGTATTGGGTGGGCTGAGAACACTGAAAGCTTGCCATGCAGAAAGAAACTGAAAGTAAATGCGTGACTTTAATGGAACAGAACTTGTTTCTCCCTCCATGCTCCCGATCCCTTTAGATCCCTTTATCTCACCTCAGCCACTTTAAGACAAAAGGTGATTAGAGGTGTAGAGAAGTTCTAATGGGATACATTCATTTGCAGTAGTCCCCCAAGGTACTGTGATAGGCAGAATTCTAAAGATGCTTTCCCCCTCAAGATTGCTTCCCCTGGTTATTCAGTCAAATACTAATCAAAGTACAGATGCTCTTCAATTTAAAATGGGGTTATGTTTCAATAAAACCATTGTAACTGAAAAATATTTTCAAGTGGAAAATGTATTTAATGCACCTAACCTACTGAATATATTAGCTCAGCCTAGCCTACCTTAAATGTGCTCAGAACACATTTGCCTACAGTTGGGCAAAATCACTTAACACAAATCCCCTTGTATGATAAAGTGTTGACTATCTCATGTAACTGGTTGCATACAGTACAGTATAGAGTACAGTATCAGTTGTTACCATCATAATTGTGTGGCTGATGGGAGCTGCAGCTCACTACTGCTGTCCAGCACCGTCACAGAGTATCATACTCTCTAACCCAGGAAAATATCAAAATTCAAAGTACAGTTTATACTGAATGTGTGTTGCTTTCACATCATCATAAAGTTGAAAAACTGTAAGTTGAGCCATCGTAAATCAGGGACCATCTGCACCACTATGTAGGGATTATGCTGTTGTAATTGAAGTCCCAAGACAATTGACCATAAAACAGGTTATCTGGTTGGGCCTGATCTAACCACATGAACTCCTTAAGGGGCAGAAAAAACAAAGATCAAAGAGAAGTTGGGAAGATTCAAAGCAAAAGAAGTATTCAGTGTACCATGGCTGTGTTTCAAGATGGAGGTGGCCATGAGCAAAAGAATGCAGGTAACTTCCAGAAGCTGAGAGCAACCCTTGGTTGACAGCTAGCAAGGAAACAGGAACCTAATTCCTATAATCACTTCTTCTCCCCTTGTCTTCTTCCCTTTCTTCGTGTGTAAGCGCATTATACTATCTCTGTAAGCACAAAAATTGCCTAAAATTTAAGTGTAGTTTTCTGATCGCTTGTAAAACTGACACAGCTATAATTATCATCCATGTTAAAAACACCATCCCAGTTAGAAACCTGTGAGCCTCTCCCCAAGCAGAACCCATTTATCCTACACAGGTGTCATCAGAGCTGATTCCTTTCTATGCCCCTTTATCTCTAATGTCCCTATTCTGCTCCTGTTTTCACTTCACCAGCAGCTTCTCCAACTCCCTAGGCCAATGCCCTGAGAATTTCCCTTCCTCTCCCCCATCCTAGGGATGGAGAGTAGGGGTTGGTCCCCAGGATAAGCCACATTTATCCCTGGAAGCAGCAGCAGAAGTGACAGTATGTTTGTGGGGTCCACTTGTAACCTGGGAACCACTTGTTTTGGCCTGGAAACCTCGCTCTGTCCCGAGGTCAGAATCCACGGTCACTAGGTGGAGAGGAAACATCTATGTCAGCGTGGATTTGGGAAACACTTCAGATTCCGAGCCTAACACGGGACTGGGGCGCCCCCTTGGGTACGTTGTCCTGTCCAGTTGCTGAAAGCCAAAGGTGACAATGGGGAGGTCTCAACCTGAGGAGGAGGCCAAAAGAGTCCGGTCTTCTGTTCTCAGCCCGGTGACCACACACAAGTGCCGATGTTCTGCTCTCTTGGATTCTGATTGAGCAGCCTGGGAGAGGACTGGGCTGCAGTCTAAACTGGACAGATATGGCTGGTGTGGAGGCTGGCTGTCAATGAGGGAGTGAAGGTAAGCCGCCCGAAAAGTAGATAATTTTTACTTCCACTTTCTTTTTCTTTCCTGAGCACTAGTTATAAAAATATCCTTTTAAAATCTAAAATATTGGCCAGGCACGGTGGCTCACACTTGTAATCCCAGCACTTTGGGAGGCCGAGGCAGATGGATTACCTGAGGTGGGGGGTTTGAGACCAGCCTGACCAATATGGAGAAATCCTCTCTCTACTAAAAATACAAAATTAGCCGGGCATGGTGGTGCATTCCTGTAATCCCAGCTACTCAGGAGGCTGAGGCAGGAGAATCTCTTGAGCCTGGGAGGTGGAGGTTGCGGTGAGCCAAGATCGCGCCATTGCACTCCAGCCTGGGCAACAAGAGCAAAACTCCGTCTCAAAAATCAAATCAAATCAAATCAAATCAAATCTACAATATTTTTGGATTTACAGAAAAGTTGCAAAGATAGTACATAGTTCTCCTATGTTCCACATTCAGTTTCCCCTATTATTAATGTCTTATTTTATTATACATTTGTGACAGGTTATGAAACAATATTGATACATTGTTACTAACTCCTATTTTATTTGGATTTTATTCTTTTCCCTAACATCACTTTTATGTTCCAGGATCCCAACCAGGATACATTACATTTAGTCCCCTTTATATCTCCTTAGCCTCCTCTGGTCTGTGACAATTTCTCAGACCTCGTTTTTGATAATTTGGTATTTCTTGAGGAGTACTAGTGAGGCATATTGTAAAATGTCCCTTAATTTGAGTGTGGTTGACAGGGCTATAGGTTTGGGGGAAGAAGAGCACAGAGATGAAATGCAATACTCTCAATACAACATACCAAGAGTGTATATTACCCAGTTGATTTATCAAATGATTATGTTAACCTCCATCACTTGGCTAGGGCAGTGTTTCCCAGTCTATAATATATAATTTTTAATAGCAGCCCAAAAAGACTAAAACACTTGCCCTTGCATGAAGAACCCTGTCTGACTTCTGGGAGCCCAAGGAGACGCAGGGGAGGTCCACAGCGAGAAGAAAAGGGGGCTCAGGTCGTCTGTCCTCAGGTCTATGGCCACTTGGGGGTGGCACCTCTCTGGTGTCTCAGACACAAATTGAGCAATCAGAAAAGGCTGGGATGTCTGTGGTCTGAGTTGGGCAGAGGTGGCTGACCCTGGAACCTGACATCAATAGGGGGATGAAGACAATTTCTGAGCAGCCCCAGTAGTCAGAGGACAAGAGAACTCTGGAGCCCCGCACTGTCTCTGAGGTTCCAATCTTTTCTCCCTCTTCCCAGCCCCTTGATAGGAAACCCTGGGAAAACTAAAAAGTATACTGTTTTTTCTTTAACTCCCTATTCCTTTCCTCTTCTGAGGGTTGTTGTTGTTGTTTTTTTTTAATAAACTTATTAATTTTAGAATACTTTTAGATTACACAAAAGTTGAAAAGATAATACATAGTTCTCACATATGTCACACTCAGCTCCCCATTGTTAACATATTTTTTTTTTTTTTGAGGGAGTCTCACTCTGTCGCCCAGGCTGAAGTGCAGTGGCACGATTTCGGCTCACTGCAACCTCTGCCTCCGGGTTTCAAGCCATTCTCCTGCCTCAGCCTCCTGAGTAGCTAGGATTACAGGTGCGCGCCACCATGCCCAGCTAGTTTTTGTAGTTTTAGTAAAGACAGGGTTCCACCACATTGGCCAGGCTGGTCTCGAACTCCTGACCTCAGGTGATCTACCCGCTCAGCTTCCCAAAGTGCTGGCATTACAGGTGTGTGCCACTGCCCCCAGCCCCATTGTTAACATCTTATATCACTATTATACATTTTTCACAACCAGTGAGACAATATTAATATAGTATCACTAAACTTTATTTCGATTTCATTAGCTCTTTCTGTTTTGAAACAAAGTCTTGCTCTGTCACCCAGGCCGGAGTGCAATGGCATGATGTCCACTCACTGCAACCTCCACCTCCCGAGTTCAAATGATTTTCATGCCTCAGCCTCCTGAATAGCTGTGACTACAGACACATGCCACCGTGCCTGGCTGATTTCTGTATTTTTAGTAGAGACAGGATTTCACCATGTTGGTCAGGCTGGTCTCTTACTCCTGACCTAAAGTGATCCACCCGCCTTGGCCTCCCAAAGTGCTAGGATTACAGGTGTGAGCCACCATGCCCAGCCAGGTTTCATTAGTTCTTTTAACTTCCTTTTTCTGTCACAGGATTTCATCGAGGATATCACATTGTATTTAGTCCTAATCATGTCTCCTTAAGGCTCCTCCAGGTTGACTTTGTTTTCAATGACTGTCTTAGTATGTTGAGTATTACTATAACAGAATAACTTGAAACTGGGTAGTTTATAAAGAGAAGATGTTTATTTAGCTCATGATTTTGCAGGCTGGGAAGTTCAACAGGATAGTGCTGGATCTGGCAAACTTCTGGTGAAGGCCAAATGTTAGGTCAAAACATTTTGGAGAAGGGGAAAAGTGAGTGGCATGTGCAAAAACATCACATGGGGAGACAGGGAAGCAAGAGAGAGTCTAGGAAACCAAACTTGCTTTTATAACAACCTGCTTTTTGGTAACTAACCTAGCCCCAACAGAGTAATAAATTACTCGCTCATGTGGGAGGACATTAATCTATTCATGAAGGATCTGCTCCTGATGACCCAAACGCCTCCCACTAAGCCCCACCTCCAACACCACCACCACATTGAGAACTTTTTTTTTTTTGCCTGAGGTTGGGAGTTTGAGACCAGCCTCACCAACATGGATAAACCCTGTCTCTACTAAAAATAGAAAATTAGCCAGGTGTGATGGCACATGCCTGTAATCCCAGTTATTCAGGAGGCTGAGGCAGGAGAATTGCTTGAACCCGGGAGGTGGAAGTTGCAGTGAGCCAAGATCATGCCATTGCACTCCAGCCTGGGCAACAAGAGTGAAACTCTGTCTCAAAGAAAAAAAAAAAAGAGTAAACAAAATTTAATTTTCCTAATGGAAAAAATTATGGTGCATTCTATAACAATAGAGGACTCACAGAAAACTTTGCAGGTAGATATATCAATAGAGCAATGAAAACAAAGGTATGTAAGTAGTAAATAGAAACTTCAGAGTAAATAGGTAAGAATTCCACAAAACTCAATGTACTGAAGGTTCATTTTACTCTCTAAAGGAGGAAGAACAGTCGTCTTGATGGGTGTGTTTAAGGGGCAATGATTGTGATGGAGTCTCAAATATTTCCTGACAGATTTTCTGATGTGTAACAATTTTCCTGAAAATGCAAATGATTCAGATCTTTTCTTTATCTTTCATTGTTTATTAATATCATATAAACACCAGCCTGACAAAAATGGTGAAACCCCATCTCTACTAAAAATACAAAAATTGGCCGGGCGTGGTGGCACGTGCCTGTAATCCCAGCTACTCAGGAGGCTGAGGCAGGAGAATCCCGTGAACCAGGGAGGCAGAAGTTTGCAGTGAGCCGAGATCGCGCCATTACACTCCAGCCTGGGCGACAGAGTGAGACTCTGTCCGCCCCGCGCCCCCCTCCCCCCACAAAAAATAAACAGCAGAACACCTTAACTATGAAGAGAATACAATATCATTCATTTGCTCTCTTTTTTTCTAGTATCATTTATCACACACACACACCCTCACACCTTTTGCTCAATAGGTAAACATCTCTTTCACTTCTGTATCACTTTCTTTCTTTCTTTCTTTCTTTTTTTTTTGAGACGGAGTCTCGCCCTTTAAGTGCAGTTGCGCTGTCTCTGCTCACTGCAAGCTCCGCCTCCCGGGTTCACGCCATTCTCCTGCCTCAGCCTCCCGAGTAGCTGGGACTACAGGCGCCCGCCACCGTGCCGGGCTAATTCTTTGTATTTTTAGTAGAGACTGAGTTTCACCTGTTAGCCAGGATGGTCTCGATCTCCTGACCTCGTGATCCGCCCTCCTCGGCTTCCCAAAGTGCTAGGATTACAGGCGTGAGCCACCGCGCCCGGCCTCTGTACCATTTTCTCCACTTTGAGGCAGAGTCTCTCTCTGTCGCCCAGGCTGGAGTGCAGTGGCGGGATCTCGGCTCACTGCAAGCTCCACCTCCCGGGTTCACGCCATTCGTCTGCCTCAGCCTCCAGAGTAGCTGGGACTACAGGTGCCCGCCACCACGCCCGGCTAATTTTTTTGTATTTTTAGTAGAGACGAGGTTTCACCTCGTTAGCCAGGATGGTCTCGATCTCCTGACCTAGTGATCCGCCCGCCTCGGCCTCCCAAAGTGCTGGGATGATAGGCGTGAGCCACCGCGCCCGGCCTTTTTAAGACAGAGTTTCGCTCTTGTTGCCCAGGCTGGAGTGCAATGGCCCGATCTTGGCCCACCACAACCTCTGCCTCCTGGGTTCAAGTCAAGCGATTCTCCTGCCTCAGCCTTCCGAGTAGCTGGGATTACAGGCATGCACCACCACGCCTGCCTAATTTGTATTTTCAGTAGAGAGGGGGTTTCTCCATGTTGGTCAGGCTGGTCTCAAACTCCCAACCTCAGGTGATCCGCCGGCCTTGGCCTCCCAATTTCCTGGGATTACAGGCGTGAGCCACCGCACCCAGCCTGGTTTAATACTTTTTATTTAGTGGCACAATGCCCAGGAATGAATTAAAGTCATTAAATGAGGACTAGGTTGCTATGCACTTGGCTGTTTCTGGACTTCCTGTGCTGTTCCATTGGTTGGTCTATTCATTCACCAGTGCCACACTGTTCTAGTGACAGGGAATTTGTAAAATATTTAACTATTAGGCATAACTAGACACCCAATTCTCAATTTGTTTTTTTCCCCCAAGGGATTTTCTAATTATTCTTATTTATTTTCTCATGTGAACTTTATAATCTACTTGTCTAGCTTGAGAAAAAAAGTAGTTGTTGGCATTTTGATTAGGAGGTATTACATTTGAAAATTTACTCTGCAAATGTGCTGTATAGTCTTCCTATTTGAGAATGTTCTTCTGTACTACACAGCCATAAAAAGGAATGAATTAACAGCATTTTCAGTGACCTGGATGAGATTGGAGACTGTTATTCTAAGTGAAATAACTCAGGAATGGGAAACCAAACATTGTATGTTCTCACTGATATGTAGAAGCTGAGTTATGAAGACACAAAGGCATATGAATGATGCAATGGACTTTGGGGACTTGAGAGGAAGAATAGGAGGGGGCAAGGGACAGAAGACTACAAGGTGCAGTGTATACTGCTCGGGTGATAAGTGCATCGAAATCTCACAAATCACCACTAAAGAACTTACTCGTGTAACCGAATACCACCTGTACCCCAAGAACTTATGGAAAAGAAAAAAAAAAGTTCTTCATTTTTTTTTTTTTTTTTTTTTTTGAAATGGACTCTCATTCTGTCACCCAGGCTGGAGTGCAGTGGTGTGACCTCGGCTCACCACAACCTCCACTTCCCAGGTTCAAGCCATTCTCCTGCCTCAGCCTCCCAGGTAGTTGGGATTATAGGCTCACACCACCACACCCGGCTAATTTTTGTATTTTTAGTAGAAGCAGGGTTTCACCACTTGGCCAGGCTGGTCTCAAACTCCTGATCTCAGGTGATCCTCCAACCTCAGCCTGCCAAAGTGCTGAGATTACAGGCGTGAGACACCGCACCCGGCCCGATTTGTTCATATCTAATTTTTAAATTTCAGATGTGTTTTAATGTTTTCATTTAAAGTTTGCACACTTCTTAGTAATTTTTTCATTAAAAACCTTTTTGTTTCTATTATATATGAGGTTATCGCCTCACAAAAATTTTAACTTTTTATTGTTTATATGAACAAAGGCAATTGTTTAATGTTTGGGAATTTATATGCTACTATATGCTATTTCTTTTCTTTTCTTTTCCTTTACTTTTTTGTTTTTTTTGAGAGGGAATTTCACTCTTGTCGCCCAGGCTGGAGTGCAATGGCGCGATCTGGGCTCACTGCAACCTCTGCCTCCTGGGTTCAAGCGATTCTCCTGCCTCAGCCTCCCAAGTAGCTGGGATTTATAGGCACGCACCACCATACCCGGCTAATTTTGTATTTTTAATAGAGGCAGGTTTTCACCACGTTGGCCAGGCTGGTCTTGAATTCCTGATCTCAGGTGATCTGCCTGTCTCAGCCTCCCAAAGCGCTGGGATTAGTCGTGAGCCACCTCGCCCGGCCTAGTCCCTTCTTTCAAATTTCATCACCACTCTTTGCTTGTTTTTCTTTTTTTCTTTTCTTTTCTTTTTTTTTTTTTGAGACAGAATCTCGCTCTGTCAGCCAGGCTGGAGTGCAGTGGCACGATCTCGGCTCACTGCAAGCTCCGCCTCCCAGGTTGAAGCGATTCTCCTGCCTCAGCCTCCTGAGCAGCTGGGACTACAGGTGCGTGCCACCATGCCCAGCTAATTTTTGTATTTTTAATAGAGGTGGAGTTTCTCCATACTGGCCAGGCTGGTCTCTAACTCCTGATCTCGTGATCCGCCCACCTCAGCCTCCCAAAGAGCTAGGATTACAGGTGTGAGTCACCGCGCCCGGCCGCAATTTTTTTTTTTTTTTTTTTTTTTTTTTTTTTTTGAGAAGGAGTCTGGCTCTTGTTGCCCAGGCTAGAGTGCAATGGCGCCATATTGTAGCAGGACGAGCCGCAGACAAAACTCCTCAGACACCGAGTTAAAGAAGGAATGGGTTTATTCGGCCGGGGGCATCGGCAAGACTCCTGTGTCAGGAGCCGAGCTCCCCCAGTGAGCAATTTCTGTCCCTTTTAAGGGATCACAACTCTAAGGGGGTGCGCTTGAGAGGGCCGTGATCGATTGAGCAAGCAGGGGTTATGTGACTAGGGGCTGCATGTCCCAGTAATTAGATCGGAACAAACAGGATAGGGATTTTCACAGTGCTTTTTTTTTTTTTTTTTTTTTTTGAGACGGAGTCTCGCTCCGTTGTCCAGGCTGGCGTGCAGTGGCGCGATCTCGGCTCACTGCAAGCTCCACCTCCCGGGTTCTCGCCATTCTCCTTCCTGCCTCAGCTTCGGGAGTAGCTGGGACTACAGGCGCCTGCAACCACGCCCGGCTAATTTTTTGTATTTTTAGTAGAGACGGGGTTTCACTGTGTTACCCAGGACAGTATCGATCTCCTGACCTCGTGATCCACCCACCTTAGCCTCCCAAAGTACTGGGATTACAGGCGTGACCCACCGTGCCCGGCCTGAAAAATCCACTGTTAGACTGATGGAATTTCCTATATAGGTTTTTAGGACACTTTTTCTCTTCTCTTGCTCATTTTAAGATTTTTTTTCCTTTACATTGAGTTTAGATTGTCTGATGACTATTTGTCTTGGTGAAGTCCATCTTGCAATGTATTTTCCAGGAGTTCTCTAAGTATCTTCTATCTGGATTTTAAATCTGTAGCCAGGGTTAGGGAAGTTTTCCTCAATTATTTCCTCAAGTAGATTTTCCACACTTTTTACCCTTCATTCTCCCTTAGGAATACCTATGATTCATGGGTACAGATGTTTTACATAACCCCATACTTCCTGAAGGCTTTGTTCATATTTTAATTCTCTTTTCTTTCTTTTTGTCTGACTGGGTTAATTTGAAAGACCTGTCTTCAAGCTCTGAAATTCTTTCTTCTGCTTGGTCTAGTCTATTGTTAAAGCTTTCAGCTGCATTTGGAACTACTTTGATGAATTTTTTATTTCCAGGTGGTTTAATTTTTTTTTTTTTTTTCTTTTGAGAAGGAGTCTCGCTCTGTCGCCCAGGCTGGAGTGCAGTGGCGCAATCTCGGCTCACTGCAAGCTCCGCCTCCCGGGTTCAGACCATTCTCCTGCCTCAGCCTCCTGAGTAGCTGGGACTACAGGCGCCTGCAACCAGGCCCGGCTAATTTTTTGTATTTTGAGTAGAGACGAGGTTTCACTGTGTTAGCCAGGATGGTCTAGATCTCCTGACCTCGTGATCTGCCCGCCTCAGCCTCCCAAAATGCTGGGATTACAGGCATGAGCCACCGCGCCCAGCCCAGGTGGTTTACTTTTTTAAAAATATTTATCTCTTGGTAAATTTTTTATTCATATGCTGAATTGATTTTTTACATTTCTTTGTGTTGTTTTCAACTTTCTCTTGGATTTCATTGAGCTTCTTTATAATCATTATTTTGAATTATTTATTTGGTATTTCAAAGATTTTATTTTTGTTAGGATCTATTGCTAGAAAGTTAGTGTAATGTTTTGGGGATGTCATAACACTCTTTTTTCAGAGTATGTTTTCAAAACATTCTACTGTTTTCAACAGAGAAACAAAGGACTTACTTAAAAAATAGAAAACATAGAGAGTTCCAGAATCATTTCTTTGGTTCCTTCTCATCTGTAGAAACTTTCTCTTCTTATTTTTGAATTTATTTCATTTGGGCAGGATTTTTTTTTCCCTTTACTATGTGACTATAATGTATGTTGTTTAAGGTCCTTTGCATTTGGTTGTGAATGCTTTCAGTGGCAAAGACTCTGTAGTTGTCCCCTGGTTATAGATAGCCTTTGTATGGTGGCTTTCTCAAATGCCAGTTGTGGTGGTGATGTACTGGGAGTGTGAACAGGCTCACAGCCTCCTGCAGGGCCAGGATGGCAGAGGTTTAAGAAGTTTATCTCATTTCCTCTTTTGGAAGAGATGAGAAGTTTATTTCCACTCATGTGCCCTTTTGTCAACTGATTTGTATTGAGGTGCGTGGTTCAGCCTCCAGAACAGTAGGTGGGCTTATGCCTAAAAGCCTATGTGGCAGAAGCACGTGAGTATATGCTTCATCATTGTATACCTAGAAAAGTTCTCTGTTGCCTCAGGAAATGTGCTGGTAAGTGGAATGTACAGCAGCCTGGGCTCCCTGCTCAGCACCAGAGAGGGGGACATAGCTGAGTAGAGCTGGATCCCCAAGCCTGCCCCACAATGGTGAGCACAGGCAGCAGCTTTCAGGCAGGAGTGATGGCATGGGAAACTTCTGGTGAAACGTGCCTAGGTCTCCACAGATGAGGAGAGGGCTGCCCCAGCTTCATGACCTGGCCAGGCAGGAATGCCATCCATTTCCCTGTCATTCCCTAGTCCTGGCATCGGGGAAACTCAAATTGACCAGACACTACTCTCTATCTCCAACTGCAATGTAGTTGAGACTCATTAAAGATGTCTTCTCCTCAGCTCACCATTTAAATGTCTTTGGTGCAGAGCATCCTCCCTCAACCCCAAACACATAGCTTTTCTTTTTCTTTTTTTTTTTGAGATGGAGTTTTGCTCTTGTTGCCCAGGCTGGAGTGCAATGGCGTGATCTCAGCTCACCGCAACCTCCACCTCCCAGGTTCAAGCAATTCTCCTGCCTCAGCCTCTCGAGTACCTGGGATTACAGGCATGCGCCACCACGCCTGGCTAATTGTTTTTGTAGTTTTAGTAGAGACAGGGTTTCTCCATGTTGGTCAGGCTGGTCTCGAACTCCTGACCTCAGATGATCCGCCCACCTCGGCCTCCCAAAGTGCTGGGATTACAGGCGTGAGCCACCGCGCCTGGCCTGCACATAGCTTTTCAGCTTTCCTGCTCTCCACTGCAGGAATGCTAGCACTCCCTGTAGAGAGGGGAAAGGGCCCTGTCTTTCACACAAGCCTGGCCCAAATGGCCACACTGCCAGTGGAAACACAGTCACCCCTGATAGCCCTAGAAAGGCTCTTCTCTGGCACACGTGCCAATTTCCCATGGGAGTGGCCATGCTGTGTTTGAAGCAGTGGTGGATGGGGGAAGGGCAGGAGAATTTCCCCTTTCCATGCCTGATTCTAAGCACTGGGGCTGCTTGGCTGCTGGGATGGAACTACACTCCTTCAGCGCAGAGCTGAACACAGTGTCCACGACTCTGCTGGAAGTGGTGCAGTCACTCAGCCCACAAACAAGGAGCTCTTGGACACAGATGAGTACATGGTCTGGCCTCCTTTGTCCCAACTGGTACTTTTTTTGTGTACTGCAGTCTCCCTTTCCTTAGGAGCAGCAATCCCTGATGGCTAGACCACTGGGAACCCTGCAGCTCCACTGGGTCCAGCCAGCCCTGTGTGGCTGCCACAATCCAAGTGGGCACTGGGGGCATGGCTGCAGGAGCTTCTGTGATGTGAATATACAAAGGTTGGGGTTCCCTGGGAAGGACACAGTCCCCTGATGGCTACACTCCTAATATGGCACCCTGCCAACACTGCCCGAGTCTGGAGGAGGGACAAGTGACCCAGCGCAAGTTGGTTGTCTGGTGTGATGCCCTCCAGAAGTTCCCAAATCGCCATGCACATCAGTGTTTGGCTTTGTGAGGGCAGAGGAGCTCTCCGACAGTTCAGATACTGGTGGTCTTCCTTAGGGACGACGGGAGTCAAAACACTCCTATCTTACCTTTCAATGAAATACCAAGTCTCTCAAGGTTCCTAGCTGATTTCTGCCAGCTTCTTACTTTCTTCTTTTTTTCTGTCTCAGCTTTTCCCCATGAGTTCTGAAACATTCTGATGTGATTCTGACAGCTATTTCCACACTCAGGCTGGGCCCTGGAGGAGTGCCCTCTGCTGGTTCTCTGAGACCTGTGGCTGGGATCATCTCTGATAAGGTTTGGGTGTTTGTCCCCTCCAAATCTCATGTTGAAAGATCCCCAGTGTTGGAGCTGGGGCCTAGTGGGAGGCGTTTGGGTCATGGGACCGGTTCTCTCTTGAGTGGCTTAGTACCCTGCCCATGGTAATGAGTGAGCTTTCACTCTATTCGTTCACACGAGAGCTGATTATTTAAAAGAGCCTAGCAGCTCTCTTGCTCTTTCTCTCTCCATGTGACACACCTGCTCTTCCTTTGCCTTCTGCCACAAGTAAAAGCTTCCTGAGACTTCACCAGAATCCTAGTGGAGCTGGCCCCATGATTGTACAGCCTGCAGAACTGTGAGCCAAATAAATCTCTTTTCTTTATAAATTACTTAAACCCAGGTATTCCTTTACAACAACGCAAATGGACTAATACAGTCTCCCTCTGCTGCCTCCAAGGTCACTCCTTGATCTTCACTGCTTTAGGCAGCCTTTTACCCTACTTTGTAGTTGGAGCTTCAGGGGCTTAACATCTTAAAAGTTTTATTTTATTTTTTAATTTATGCTTTTTAAAAAAATTTTTTTGAGATGGAGTTTTGCTCTTGTTGCCCAGGCTGGAGTGCAATGGTGTGATCTCGGCTCACCGCAACCTCTGCCTCCTGGGTTCAAGCGATTCTCCTGCCTCAGCCTCCCAAGTAGGTGGGATTACAGGCGCGCAACACCATGCTCGGCTAATTTTTGTTGTTTTAGTAGAAACAGTGTTTCACCATGTTGGTCAGGCTGGTCTCGAACTCCCGACCTCATGATCTGCCCGCCTTGGCCTCCCAAAATGCTGGGATTACAGGCATGAGCCACCGCACCCAGCCAAATGATTTTTAAAAAATAATTACTATGTATAAAATAACAAATAGGTAATTTGGGTAATTTCATTTTGAACTCTTTGGCTAAATATTTTATGTACATATTGTCTCAGCAATCAGGAATTAAAATTTATAAACACTATTAACAAGCAATACTCTCTGATTTGAAGGAGAATCTAATTTGGAAGTCAGTCACATGATGATTGTGTTTTTAAGTTTTTTTTTCCATGCATTTGTTATTTTATGAATTGGTCTGAATGATGAGGCCAGGCAAGTGTATACATCTTTTCACTGGTAGAAAAATCTGTAGCAAAGCCTGTGCCCTTTTTACAACAATGACTTTTTTTTTTTTTTTTTTTTGAGATGAAGTCTCACTCTTGTGGCCCAGGCTGGAGTGCAATGGTGCTATCTGGGCTCACTGCAACCTCCATCTCCTGCCTCAACCTCCCGAGTAGCTGGGATTACAGGCGTCCATCAACAGTCCCGGCTAATTTTTGTATTTTTGGTAGAGGCGGGGTTTCACCATGTTGGCCAGGCTGGTCTTGAACCCCTGACCTCAGGTGATCCACCCGCCTCGGCCTCCCAAAGTGCTGGGATTACAGGCATGAGCAACCACACCCAGCCTGGATTTTGAAAAATGTATAGAATCATATATCCACTACCCTAGTACCATCTACAACAGTTCCTTCATCCTAAAAATTTCCCTTTGAATGTTCTTTATCCCTTCTCCCTCCAACCTTCGATAACCATTAACCTGTTTTCTGTCCCCATAGATCTGCTTTTTCCAGAATGGTATATGAATTGAGTCAGATAAAATGAAGCCTTTTGTGTCTGACATTTTTTTCACCTGGTAAAACGCATTTAAGATTAATTGATGTATGGATTAATAGCTTATTTACATATATATATATATATATTTTTTTTTTTTTTTTTGAGGCAGAGTTTTGCCCTTGTTGCCCAGGCTGGAGTGCAATGGCGCGATATTAGCTCGCTGCAACCTCTGCCTCCCAGGTTCAAATGATTCTTCTGCTTCAGCTTCCTGAGTAGCTGGGATTACAGGCATGCGCCACCACTCCCGGCTAATTTTGTATTTTTAGTAGAGACGGGGTTTCTTCATGTTGGCCAGGCTTGTCTCGAACTCCTGACCTCAGGTGATCCACATGCCTCGGCCTCCCAGAGTGCTGGGATTACAGGTGTGAGCCACTGCGCCTGGCCAATTTGTTTTTTTTTTTAAATAAACATAGACAGCATCTCGGTATGTTGCCCAGACTGGTCTTGAACCCTGGCCACAATCGATCCTTCCACCTTGGCCTCCCAAAATGAGCCACTGCACCAGGGCAACAGCTTTTTTTTTTTTTTTAGACAGATCCTTGCTCTGTTGCCCAGACTAGAGTGCAATGATGCAGTCTTGGCTCACTCCAACCTCTGCCTCCCAGGTTCAAGTGATTCTCCTGCCTCAGCCTCCCGAGGAGCTGGGACTACAGTTGCTCGCCACCACGCCTAGCTAATTTTTTCTTTTTGTATTTTTACTAGAGACGGAGTTTTGCCATGTTGCCCAGGCTGGTCTCAAACTCCTGACCTCAGGTGATCCACCTGCCTCAGCCTCCCAAAGTGCTGGGATTACAGGTGTAAGCCACCTCATCTGGCCTGACAATAGCTCATTTCTTATGATCCATATGGTTATACCACAGTTTGCTTAGTCTTGCATGGCTGAAAGATATCTTGGTTGTTTACAGTTTTTAGTGAACATATGTAAAGCTGCTATAAATATTCATGTACAGGTTTTTGTGTGGATATCAACCTTGAATTAACTTGGGTAAATACCTAAGAGCATGATTGATGGTAAGTCTCTCCTTAACTTTATAAGAAACTTCTAAACTGTCTTTCAAAGTGGCTTTACCGTTTTCCATTCCCATTAGCAGTGAGTGGGAATTCTTGTTGCTCTGTATATTTTCAGCATTTTTTATTGTAAGTTTAAAAAATTTTAGCTACTCTAATAGTGTAGCAGTACTTTGTTTTGGTGTTCTGTTTTGTTTTGTTTTTTGAGACAGAGTCTCACTCTGTTGCCCAGGCTGGAGTAAAGTGGTGCGATCACAGCTCACTTCAGTCTCCACCTCCCAGGTTCAAGCAATCCTCCCGTCTCACTCTCCCAAGTGGCTGGAATCACTGGCGCATGCCACCACACCTGGTTAATGTTTGTTTGTTTGTTTGTTTGTTTGTTGAGACATTGTCTCGCCATGTTACCCAGGCTGGTCTTGAGCTCCTGGGCTCAAGTGATCCTTCTGCCTTAGCCTACCAAAGTGTTGGCATTGAAGGCATGAGCCACTGCACCCTGTTGGCATTTCCCTAATGACAGATGATCTTAAGCATATTTTCAAGTATTATTTACCACCCATATATCTTCTTTGGTGGTGTCTGTTGAGATCTTTCACCCACTTCTAAAATCAAGATTTTTTTCCCCAATTATTGTGTTTTAATTTTGTTCACATATTATCTTTACAAGTCCTTTGTCACATCTATAACTTCCAGTTTTTTGACAAGTATTTTCTTCCAGTCTGTGCCTTGTCTTCTTTTCATTCACTTACCAGTGTTTTTGTAAAGCAAAAACTATTAATTATGATAAAGTCTAATTGATTTGTTTTCTCTTTCATGGATTGTATTTTTGGTGTTTTATCTAAAAACTCAAACTCAAGGTTAAGATTTTCTCCTTTATATTCTTCCAGAAGTTTTATGGCTGTGCATATTATTTTTAAGTCTATGATACATTTTGAGTTACTTTTTTATAGGTGTGAAGTATTGTCAAGTTTTTTTTTTTTTTTTTTTTTTTTTGTGATTGAGTCTTACTCTGTGGCCCAGGCTGGAGTGCAATGGCGTGATCTCTGCTCACTGCAACCTCTGCCTCCCAGGTTCAAGTGATTCTTCTACCTCAGCCTCCCGAGTAGCTGGGATTACAGGCATGAGCCACCACACCAGCTAATTTTTGTAACTTTAGTAGAGGCAGGGTTTCACCATGTTGGCCAAGCCAGTCTCAAACTCCTGACCTCAAGTGATCCACCTGCCCCAGCCTCCCAAAGTAGATGGATGCCAATTGTTTCAGCATCATTATTGAAAGGAGATTCCCTTCTTCATTGGATGACCTTTGTACTTGTATTCAAAATCAAGTGACTCTATTTTTGTCCTTCCATTTCTGGCCTCTCCATTCTGTTCTGTTGATCTATGTGTCTGTCCTTTTGCCAATACCACACTCTCTTGATCACTGTCCTTTGCAGAAAGACTGGAAATAGTATCTAATAATTTTGAAAGGTATGTTTTCATCATCATTCAGTTGAAAATATTATCTAACTTCCCTTATGTTTTCTTCTTTGATCCGTAGGTTATTTAGAAGGAAGATTTAAAATTTTCAATACTTTTTTGCCCCTAGACAACTTATTATTGATTTCCAATAAAATCTATTTTGGTCAGAGTACATATTCTGTATGATTTCAGTCCTTTGAAATATGTTGTTACTTGTTTTATGTCTCAACATATGACCTGTGTTAGTGAATGTACCATATTCACTTTACAAAATATATATTCTGGAGCTGTTGAACACAGTGACTGTAAATGTCAGATCAAGACGGTTGATAGTGTTGTTCATTTGTATTTTTAAAAAACTAAGAAAAAGCTGGGCGCGGTGGCTCACGCCTGTAATCCCAGCACTTTGGGAGGCCAAGACGTGTGGATCACCTCAGGTCGGGAGTTCGAGACCAGCCTAACCAACGTGGAGAAACCACGTCTCTACTAAAAATACAAAATTAGCTGGGCGTGGTGGTGCATGCCTGTAATCCCAGCTACTCGGGAGGCTGAGGCAGGATAATCGCTTGAACCCAGGAGGCAGAGGTTGCAGTGAGCGGAGATTGTGCCATTGCACTCCAGCCTGGGCAACAAGAACGAAACTCCATCTCAAAAAAAAATTAATAAAAAAAAAACTAAGAAAAAATAGAGCATCTTTAACTTCCCACCATATATTTGGCATTTCCAGTGTTGGTCACTCCTATCTGAAGACTCAAGTTACCATCTGGTATGATTTCTTTCAACCTGGGAAACTCCTTCAGTATTTTTCTTGCAGTAGAGTTATGTTTGCAACAAATTATCCTAGTTTTATTTTATCTGGAGACACCTTTTCATTTTTCTTCCCTGAAAATATTTTTACTGGATGTGCAATTCTGAGTTAGGTTGTTTTCTTACAGCACTCAAAAAAATGCCATTTCATTGTCTTCTGACCACCATAGTTTCTGATGACAAATTATGAACACATGGACTGGTCATTCTCATAATTGTTCTCATGTATGTAACGTGTCATTTTTCTCTGATTATTCTCACGATTTTCTGTGACCATAGGCTGCTCAGGGCTGGACTTGGATATGGCCATAAAGTGGTACTGTAGGAAGTGCAGTATCCTGGAATTAATTCCGGACCTTGGAATTAACAGGGCTGGGCCCCTTAGCACCTGCCCTTAGCTCTCCTTTCCCCAGGTCCCTAGAAACCCCCTCCTGATCTACACACACACACACACATGCACACACAACTTCTAACAGGGCCCTTCTCGTTTTTCTCTCCCCCCTGGTTCCTTCCACTCTCCCCCTTCTCTTATGATCCATTTCATCTCCCTTCTGCTCTCTGGACCAAGGCCCCAGGCCCGGACTCCAGGCTTGGAGCTCACAGGCTGATTCCTGGGATGAGCAGCCTCCACCTGCAGGAGCAGCAGCAGGAACAAGGGAGGGGACAGGAGGGCAAGGCCCCATTTTGGAGGCTGAGGGACTAGGTCATGTGGTAGCAATGGTTTGGGGGTGGATGAGCCCCAGATATGATCCCACTGTTTTGGCCTGGAGGTATCTCTTCCCTAAAGCCAAAATCCAGAGTCACTCAGTGGTGGGAGGAAACGTCAGTGTCAACATGGATTTTGGGAAGCTGGATGGACTCAGAGCCTGACTTGAGATCGGGAACCCCTTTGTATGCAGAGCCCTGTCCAGGTGCTGGGAGCAGGAGAGCCTGGGAGGTCCTGGCTAGGGAGAAAGGGGAGCGGGATCTCTGTCCTCGGCCCTGTGGCCACACGGGGGCGTCGCTGCGCTGCTCTCGGATTCTGAGTGCTCTCCTGGACGGGGCTGCGGGCTGAATGGGCAGACGGGGCTGAACCTGAGGTCATCCACGCTGAGACGGAGGTTCCTCCTGAGCACCTCTGGAATCCACAGGACTCAGGTTAGATTTGTTTGTCTTGCAACGTGAGGCAATTGTGGTGTAGCAAGATCTGGCTCTAGAATTCTTATGGCAAAATAGCTGTCATAGAATCCAACTAGAATGAGAGTCCAGGGCCTGGGTTGACTGCCCTGGGCACACCTGACTCTTGATGGGGTTGCCAAAATGTAGCTTGGCATTTACAAAAATTCTTTCCAAAGATTGCATCAAAGTCCAAAAGAATTATGTACAATTTCATTTCTGATGTCTCTGGCTGTGCTTTCGAAAGGGCAGGAAGAGCCATGGAAAGAGGCTGAAAGGCCCCTCTGGGAATTCTCAAATCTCTTTTCATAGCAGTAACTTGGACCTAGACAGCAAAGCCTGAAAGACACAGGTAGAAGGATCGCGAGGCGCAGCCCTCCCTTCTGATCAGCACAGGTATGGCTGTCTGGGCGCTTTTGCCCCTCTGTGTTCAGCAGGATGGACTCTGCAGTGAGGCGCAACCCCTGTCTCCCCACTGCCCCAGATCAGAAGCATGTTTCCTTATCTTGTTTTCCACACACTCCTTTTCTTTTTCTGTCTTGTGACCACGAATAGAATAGACAGGCAAGGTCCTGTAAGACCAGGTAAAAGATGTTACTGATGCACTTTGGAAGGCTGAGGTGGGCGAATCACAAGGTCAGGAGTTTGAGACCAGCCTGGCCAACATTGTGAAACCCCATCTCTACAAAAAAAATCAAAATAAAAATACAAAATTTAGCCGGGCGTGGTGGCATGTGCCTATAATCCCAGCTACTCAGGAGGCTGAGGCAGGATAATCGCTTGAACCCGGGAGGTGGAGGCTACAGTGAGCAGAGATTGTGACATTGCACTCCAGCCTGGGCGACAGAGTGAGACTCTGTCTCAAAGAAAAAAAAAAAAGTTAGTGAAATCATGATTGTGAAGGAACAATGGCAAATGGAGAGAAAGAGCAGAGAGACAGACAGAGATAGATACACACGTACACACACACATAGAGAAAATGAATATCCATCCATCCATCCATCCATCCATCTATCCATCCATCCATCCATCTACCCATCCACCCATCCACCCATCCACCTTTCTATCTCCTTGCAAGGTAGGTTCATCAACACTTTTACATTTATGCCCCAGCAAAAATCTTTTTTTGGCTCACAACTGCCCTCCTTCATCCAGCCAACTGACATATTTGCTGAGGTCTTGCCACGTGCCGCACTGGGTGCTGAGCATTGGAGTCTAAACAGGAACAGACCCCTGGGATGCACTCCCGTGGGGCCCTTCACTGTCCCGTCCCTGGCTGTGAGACATCCTCATCTCCCTGAGGCTCTTGTTTCTGGTCACTGGGAAAAGTCCCTGGCCCACCTCTCTATTGATACCTGGGAGACTCTATCGCTACTTTGAATAAAGCACTGATTTTCAGCATTTATTCTGTATCCACACTTACTAATGCCCTTTCAACGATTTTCTCATTTAGAAGTTGTTACAAACGGGAGGGGTTATAACCTTAGGCACGTTGTTTAAGAGAATTGTAAAAATAAGGAAACATGATGGCAATGGGGTTTTCTGCTTTCTCCCAGAACACTTCATATTCATTTTCTCACCTGTGTTTGGTTGGTTGCAAGGTGGCTTCCACACCCCCAAGTTTATTTCAAGTAGCAGAAACACTTGCTTAGAAAACAAGTACTTTGGGAAATGCAGGGTCTCAGCCTCTGTCCTCAGGACTCCACACATCAGAAAGACATGTGCGTCTCCTGCCACAATCCTGGAGGTGCCCGTGGACTGCAGGTTCGCTCCTCACTGACTTTACTCATGTCCTACTGGAAAAGGATGGAGCTGCTAGAAATGTCCCAATGGCTTGGAACACTCAATTTCTCTGTGTGCACTGCAAGCAAACTGACAGTTTGACTTTTCAATTCTATTCAACACCTGAAAATAAACTGAATTTTCAGTATATTTCCTTCCAGAGAGTAAACTGAAAAGGGAACCTTTCTAAATTCAGTTATGATTTCCTGAAACATCGAAGAAGGCAAATGTGGGGGCCCTTAAAGACAAGAGAATTCTCTGACCTCAAATTTCATGTGGCAGCTGTAAGGTGGAGCTGGCAGCATCTGTCCCCACCTCTGGGTACACAGCAGAATGTGCCAGCTTTAGGGACCCCGGAGGACACAGCCGCACAGTGTCCGGGGGCATCCAGCAAACCCTCAGGAAGGACTCGATCCACGCAGGAGCCTCCTTAAGCAACTTCTCCCTGAAGAAACCCTGAAGTCTTAGAAATCCATAAAGAAAAAAGATATTCATGTCTCTGATAAAGAAAAGAAATGTCAGCAATCCAGCACCGAGAAGGGAAGCTACGAGACCACATTTTCTGCATGTGGAGAAGACACGTCTAATGGAGAGGTGGGAACTTGTCTCAAAAGTGTTGGGCCGCAGTGAGAGGGTGTGGTCGTCACTGCCACCACCCGCTGCTCACTCAGTGACCCCTCCCCATTGTAACTAACGGGCCAGTGAAGAGAAACACTTTTCGTCTGCTTGTACTGAAATAAGGCTATTACAATAAATCATCTCTGTGGTTGATTTTTCATTTAAGGATGGGATAACTGGGGAAATTGGTGCCTGCAGTGCAGGTTTTAAAGAAGTTCCTAGAAGCCCTTCTGAGGCCATCTCCAGGAGGCTGCCCCAGCGGGTATGAGGCCTTGCGCTTCTGCCATCCTGTGTGTCCCTGTGATGGAATTTTGGCCCAGCTAGGGATGGCAAGAGGCCAGGTCATCGCAGGTGGTCTGCAGGCCTGGTGAGGAAGGACAATGACAGACGGGGAGGCAGAAAGGCACACATATGACCAGACCTCCCCCTGGGTCCTGCTCCCATTCCTCTGTCCATCACTCTTGCTCTGTCTGCCCTAGGGGAAATTTCCTGAAGGAAACAGGAAAAGGAACCTCTATTCCTGGCTGCATATCTTTTATGTAGGCCTTTCCTGTTATTCAAGCATATCCCCAGCAGATGGCAGAGAAGACATTTCAATTTCGTGCCTCTGCTTTTCCTCCCCCTCCTCCAACCGGAAAGTCAGGACCAAGGGAATGGATGAAGGCATTAAAGGTATAAATGAGAATGGGTGATAATTTCCCTTTCTCTGAGCTGGGGAGTCCCATTGCAAGGGTGGGAATAGAAATGTCCAGTGTAACCATTCAGAGATGACAGATACTGCCCTGAAAACAGCCACAAAATCAAACCATGATGTGCCTCCCTGGGCTCCTTGGCTCTGGGCTGCTGCTTTCTTTTATTGAGAATCTAAGAGGTGCTGAGCATTCAGTTAAAACGGGACTCAAGAGTTCCTGCATTGTCCTCTGCCTTAATTGCATTTGAAAATATATTTTGTCAGTTCAATCCTTCTCCTGCCCGTCTCTGTTTCTCTTTTTAAAGAAGCTGAACATTGGCACCTTCAAAAGAAAATTGCTAACATGTGAAATAATATATTGTCTAGGATTTAGTTGAAAATAACCTGGTGTTGGGCTATGGTTGAGGATGTAGATAAATCAAGAGTGGGTGTTACTGAGTGAAGGGTACAGTGAAGGTTACTTTACTCTTCTGTCTACTTTTGTGTTTGCTTAAAATATTTGTACAAGTTTAAAAAAATAAGAACCAGGGTTACCAGGGGGCATGGCATATGCTGAATAATCATGAGATACCGGTTATAATTTCAAACAAATCTCCAATAAAAATAGATAATTTGAAGTCAAACCACAGGGACAAAATGTTTTTAGATGTCTCCAAATTCCTCACTTCCCTCCTCTAAATTCAGGTGGGTCACTTCATACTTTCTCCCAACCGCAGGTTCCCAATAGGCAGGTCCTAGAGCCCAACCTTGGTGGGGCAGGGAGTAGGGATTTAAAAACTGCATGATGATCAACAGCAGGAAAGAGGATTGGGGCTGAGAGGGGAGGAGAGGCAGGCAGGAGACCCCTGGGGAGTTGCTGCCCCAAGGAACTCCTTCTTCACCCTCTGAGAGAAAGTGTCACAGGACCACAGACCCTTGGTCTTCATAGGTCCCATAACCTCCCCCGAATTGTATGTAAAATTGTGTGGGAATGCAGGTGAGTGCATTTCAGCTGGGGCTGGCTTTGACAAGGCTGTGGCCTTCAGTAGATATCAAAGTAGTCATCTAGGTCTCGTGTAGATGATGGAAAACTCGATGGGAGGGAGACACGGTGCCTTGACCCAGAGTCAATGCCAATAAACTTGGCTAGGACATAGTACCCAGTCATTTAATCAAAACCTAATCTAGATGTTGCTGTGAAGATATTTAGTACATGTGGTTAACATTTACAATCAGTTGACTTTATGAAAAGGAAATTACCCTCAATAATGTAGATGGACCTCATCCAATCAGTAGAAGGCTTTAAGAGCAGAAACTACAGTTTCCCAGAAAAGAAGAAATTCTGTCTTAAGACTACCATATCAACTTCTGTCTGCATTTTCAGCCTGCTGGCGTATCCTACAGATTTCACACTTGCCACCGTAATAATTGCATGAGTCAGTTTCATAACACGAATAACACACACACACACACACACACACACACACACACACCTTATTGGTTCTGTTTCTCTGATGAATCCAGAATAATACAGATTTTGGTACTTAGAGTGATTCTAGAGGAAGAGAATCCTTTTAAAACGTTTATAGCCAACAATAAAAAACTTTATTAAAAATGTTGAAAAGCATAAAACGGTAATTATAAATTAGCAAACACCCAACAAGAAAAGCACTTATTTTCTTTTCCTTATACAGTACAAGAAAGAGTAATTGGGATCTCATTCACTTTCAGCCACCATTTGCCCTAGATGTCCTTCACTCAAAACAAGTTTTTAGCTTGTGTTTTTGGAGTGGAAACTCACATGGCTACTAAGAAACAACTCTAAAAATGTAACTTAGACACTCAAAATTCCATGTGCCATGTTAACATGTAATGATGGTTCATATTACAGCATCTCACAATGGGTAAGCATTATTTCCAAAGTAAAATTAAGTCACATTTGTGGTTGCTAGTGAATGCGGCAGAAATGGACCCTGAAGATTCAGGCATTGTTCTGCTCTGGAGTAGGACATCTGTGGCTCCAGCAAACTGTACAAAGGCTTTTTTTTTTTTAATGTATCTTCCGTGATACTTCAATTATTTCACCTTATTAATCATTTTCTTGCAAACAAAACTGAAAATATCAGTTCATAATGTGTTTCCATACACCTTGCCCTTATTCAAATGGTTATGAACAAGTGGTCTTCCATTTTCTATTGCCGCTGTAATTATTTGTTCCTGATCTGGCAACACCTTCTTCAGCTCCTTTCTCTGGCCACCGAGATTAACAGTCCAACAAGCGGTCTTTTGATTCACTAAGTGGCTTAATAGGACAACGTTGATTTGAGCCAATACTTCTGGCATGTTCATTTCAATTTGTAACTTTTTTCTGAATTCATCCCCACAAGGTGAGCTGGAAAACTGCAACCATAACCAAAGCTAGAAAATACTGGAAGTAGCCAATATTTCTCTTCATCACCAAAGACTGGTCTCTAATTTTTACTATTGTTCTATTTTTTCCAGCCAGCCAACAGTAGTAGCTGAAAAGCGAGAGCACACTGATGAAGAACACTGCGGGCACAAAGAAAAGGAAAAGTATGTGGAGCTTTGCTGTGTATCTCTCAGTTCATTCTACTCACTAGAACGTGGCGTTCTCAGGAATTGACGTCCTCCAGGCCCCCAGATGAGGGTAGTGAGCACCCTGAGAGCCAGCTGGACTCCCCTCTTGGTGTGTTACTGCACAGCCACAGCCTCTGGGTAGGGAGTTGTCCTGCACTTCTGGAATCATCTTTTTGGTCATGGTGGCTACTGCTGTACTGTCCTTCTGAGGTCAGTGAGATAGGATGTTCACAGCCTCCCTTGAAAGGAAACAAGAGACTTGTCAGGTTGATGGAGAGAACAAGCTGTTCGACAGTGCGCAAACCATATCCTGGGCTTGTGGTTAGAACATCCTGCAGCAAAGAGGTAGAAGAGCCAAGGGAGGCATCCCCACATCTGAGGAAGCCCAGAAACCCATGAATAGCGTCCTTGGGCTGACCTATGCTCATTACAATAGTAGCAAACACAACTCTGAGAGGGAAGTTAAGATGCTAATGAGACGTAAGATGTGTGTGCTGATATGTACAACCATAGTGCATGCACGTTCAAGAGACCACAGAACATGCTTAAAACAATACCCCTTCCCACCTATTCATGAATAATCATGTAAGACTCCCGTGAGGGGAGGGTACTGTCTCTCTTTTGAGCAGCTGCTCTGATCAGCTGTCAGAGTGTACTTTCACTTTGCAATAAATTCTCTTGCTGACTTTTACTTTGGACTTGCTCTCAAATTCTTTTGTGTGGCAAAGTCAAGAACCTGAACCGGCCCATTGGCTACATTTCCTTCCTTTTTTCTTTCTTTCTGTATCTTGTTGCTAGGGATAACTTTGCCCCTGCTGGCAGCATGCCCCTGAGGATGGCACCCTGTGGCTGGCGTCTTCCTTGGCTTGGCCTCGGGTCACTAAGCATAGCCCATGGTAGGAGGTTCTGAGAATGAGTGGCACTGCCTTGTGCAACAGTCCCCATGGGAGTGGCCCACAGGTGCTTGCATCTGTGGCATTTTCACAACTGTTTAAAAAGACTCAAGAATGTACTGTGGGAGGAGAGCAGGTCTGGAGACTCACCTGTGTCCCCCCACCTGCTCATCTGCATGGCCGTGTGCCTGACATGGTCAGAAATGAGAAATGCTGCTGCCCCTTTGCAAAGCACTACTTAGTTTTTCTCTTCTTGAAGGTGGTGGCACGATGCCCAGGTTGAGATGGACGCAGGAGTCAGCATCCTAAAGTAAAAGGAGAGACTTTAACAGAAATACCTGAGCTTTTCAATGAGAATGAACAGGGCCTTTTACCCTCTGGCAACTGTGTATTTCCCATTGACATGTTTCTTGTCCTCAGAATGGTTTTCCCTTTTCGCAGGTGGTTTATTGAAAAAGGAAAGGACAGAAAAGAAAAAGCAGGAGAAGGTGTATGGGAAGCTGGGACCCTGGCCCTGTGCAGGGGAGATACAAGGTGCTTCTGGGGAGGCTGCCGCCATCTGGGGCACTGGCACATGGGGCATGGCAGGGCTCGCCTTCCTGATGATGCCGCCTATCCCAGTTGCCCACCGGAAGTTGCAGTGCCCAGATTAGTTTTGTATTGATGGAAATTTAAAAAAAATTATATTACATAATTTTATGCTTTTTGAAAATAGCTAATAAACTTTTATGGCTAAGTTGTTAGTAATGGTAATCTCTCTAATCTGCTTAAAGACGGTCAAATCTGCAGGGTTCCCATCTCCACTGGACACCTGTGCTTCCTGTGGGGTCTATTTTCCGGTGGCTTTCCCTGTTGGTTGCCCCTGTGACTGCTGACATCCTGCCTTCTGGTGGAAACCACACTCTTCCTTGCCCAGTGAGGGTTGGAAAATTGGATGACTAAACTCGACGAAGATAGCAAATAACATTTGTTCTGCGTGGGTGCCATCATCACCTGCACTTGAAAGCAAGGCTGAGGTGCAGAAGACACAAAATGTGGCCATGTCCCTTGGCTGGCAAGTGGCCTAGGGGCAATGTGAGCCTGAGTGTATGACACTGTGACACAGGACAGGGTGCGTCACAGTGTTGCCCATTGTGACTGCAGGGCCAAAAGGAACCAGGGCTGAGAGGAACCTGGAGACATGCTGGGGTGGGGCCAAACGAGGGCTTGGAGAGAGCCTCCACCCACCCTCACAGGGCCTGGTGGAGACAGACCGAGGAGGGGCACCTGCCCCTCTCCCCTTGCAGAGTGGAATGATAGCTGATGACATCATTTTGAAAGTCACAGTACTACAGAGATGTTTGGACACTCATCAGAGGCAGACCTGCTGTGGGAAAGTCAAGGCCTTGGTGCGGAAACCTAAGATTCTGCAAACTGGAACAGGGTTATCCTATGGGTGCCCTTTAGAACTCTCTGGGCATGCAGAGGAGGCTCGCCCTTCTCTAGTAATGGTTCCCACTTCCTACACTGGAAGTTGCTGCAGAAACCTCACCCCTATGATGCAGTGGGAATTCCACTCAGGAGCTTTGCAGTAACAGCCGTTATGTCCCCGTAGGAGCCTGAGGAGCAGTTCTGGGATTGGAATTTAAGGGTGTTTGATCAAAGGGCCAGAATCAAGCTGGATAAATTAAAAAAAACACCTTTGGCTTGGGAGCACTTTCTCAGGGTATGGGTTTATCAAGGACCTCAGGGCATGGGGCAAACCCACTGCTGGGGTGGACCCATGTAGACTGGAAAAAATGATGTCCAACTCTCAGTAAGTTAGACATGAGTTAGTTGTCCTGGAACATGTAGAGGATGGATAATGAGGCTGAGGGAAGTGGGTGTGTGGGATGGAGACATCATGTGAACCAGAATGCCCACTAGGGCCATGCTCCACAGAGGACCCATAGGGCACACCTTCCACCAGAGCCTCAGGAATGTGCTGGTGAGAGGGACTTGCATTGCTAAGAAGCGTCGGGGTGGTGTCCTCTGCAGGCTGGGTGTGATGGCAGGAAGGAGGTCCTATAGTTGGGCTCATTGATATTCCTGAGGAAAGTGTGGCCTTGAAAAGGCAGAGAACTAAATGGTGACAGTGGCCTGCAAAAGCCAGAGGGCACGGTTAACTTGACAATCTCAGAGGAGCAGCTGAGGCAGCTTGATCTGCAGGGAGTTGTGGGGAAGGTTAATAGAGGGTGGTGTCAGAAAAGACAGCAGCCAACAAGGGCACTGCTTGACATCTATGATAAGAAAGCAAGAATTGATGAGCAGGGGGCTGAGGGTGTTTAACTCAATACAAAGTCATGATCCCATTCTCAATTCCTAAATGTCAACCAAGTTTCAGATTCAGATCCCAGTTACAGAGAAGGAGTCCCTATCCCAGGAGGAAGGACCCTGGAACCTCATGGCAAGTATATGCTGGAACAATTCCCTCTGTCTTTCTGCAAAGGAGCCTACAGTCATTTACTCAGGGGACTGTACACTAGGAAAGGGAAACAGGCAGAATTTGGGGGAGTGTTGACATTGGGTGTGAGCTAATATTGATGCCTACAGGCCTACAGCACCATTATGTCCCCAGCACAGTGGGGCTTACAGAAGCTGGGAATAAATCTGGACACATCACAAAGAGACTACTGGGTCCACAGACCCAGCCCTGTTTATCTCCCCATTCTCCAAGTGTGTAATTGGCATTGATGCCCTGGCAGCTGGAGTAACCCCCACATTGGGTCCCAAGTCTCTGGAATAAGGGCTGTCATTTTCTGAAAGCCAAAGGGAAACCTCTGCAACTGACTTCATCTTGGCCAAATAAAAAATGATATTGAGTCCCAGGGTGAGTCTTATGAAAGGTGCTGTAGGTATTGTAGGTGTAGCACCGCCATTAGGGAGCTGAAGGATGAGGGGTGCTGTTGGAGTTGCCTATTATCTTCATGTAATCCAGCAATCTGTCCCCAAGGAAGCCTGATGGGGCCTAAAGAATGAATAAGATTACTTCAGACTTGAAAAAGTAGGAGTCATAATTGCAGCTGCCATGCTGGCTGGATATCACGGGTAGAGCAGATTGATAAGGCCTCAGGCACAGAGTGTGCAGCTGTGGATTTGGTGAGTGCATTCCTTTCCATTCCAATGAGAAAAACTATACATGAAGTGATTCATGTGGGATCCACAACACATTTATTGATAATTGGCCTCAGGGTTATTGTAACTGACCTGCCCTCTATAGTATAGTCTTAAGAGATCTGAAGAACCTGGCATCCTATAGAATGGTAAACCAGCTTATTTCATCAACAACATCATGTTGACTAGGATGGATGAGTAGGAGGTGGAAAGTATGCTGAAGGCCTTGGCAAAACACGTGCTCTCCAGAAGATGGAAGATAAACCATACAGAGATTCAGGAGTGGCCACTGTGGTGAAGTTTTATTCATCCAGTGGTTGAGGACATCCAGGAGTTTCTCCTCCACAGTAAAAGACAAAGTGTTGCATCTTGCATCCTCACTACAAGGAAGGAAGCACACTGCCTGGTGAGCCTCTTTGAGTTCTGACAATACCACATCCCACATCTATTGTTTTGACCTACACTCTAGGAGAAATAGGAGGGGACTTGCTTCAATTAGGCCTGCTGAGGAAAGGACACTGGCAGATTCAGGCCATGAGGCAGCGCCATCCCTCAGACCCACCTAGAGGTGTCAGTCCTGGGGAAAGATGCAGGATGGAGCTGAAACAAGCACCAGTGGGGGAGTCACATGGACGGCCTGGGATTCTGGAGTAAGGCCATGTCATCCACAGCAGAGACATATGCCCCTGTTAGAAGCAACTTTTGGTATGTTACTGGCCTTGATAAGATAGAATCCTTGCCATGGGACAGCAAACAACCATGTGATTTCAAATGCCCATATGAATTGGCTTCTGTAACTCAGAAAGTCATAGATCGGACAGACCCCAAAGCATCCATCATGAGATAGAAATGGTCCATCTGGATTGAGCATGAATCCTATGTTGACACCTCCAGAAAACATCCAAACCTGAAGTGGCACTAAACAACCAAGCAGACAAATTGAAGTTAGCCAGCCCTCACCATCGGGCAGCCCAGGCCTAGCAGGATGGGTTCATGAATGGAGCAAGCACAGTGGCAGGGATGAGGCTAAATATGGGTCCAGAAGCACTGACTACCACCTACCAAGACAGATCCAGCTGCTGCCACCTCTGAATGTCCAACTCATTAGCATTTGAGGCCAATGATATGCCTCAGTGGGGCTATATTTCTTTAGGTGACTAAAGCAACACTCGCTGCTAAGTGATTAGTTGAGCCACTTCCATTCTGGAAGGGCCAGAGGTTCATCTTTACAGGGTTAGGCACCATTCCATGAGTGGGTTTTCCTGTCCTGCTCTCAGACCCTCAGTCAGCACCACTCTCCAGGGACTGTTGACATTCCTGATTCACAGGCATGGCATTGCTCTTAGCACACTGTCTTCCTGGCGGAACCCACTTGACAGGGAAGCAGGTGCAGCATTTTCATGGCCATGGGATCCACTGGTTCTATCACCATCTGCACCACCCAGGGTCTGCCAGCCACTAAGAATGCTGGACAGGTCTTCTACAGGCACAACTCAGTGCCAGCCTGGAGGAAGCACTCTGAGGAGTGGGTGCTGTCTTTCAGGACATGGTGCATTTATTAAATCAGAGACATCTCTACAGTGCCGTGTTCTCAGTAGGAAGAACATGTGGGTCCAGAAACTAAGGAGTGAAAGTGGGTATGGCTCCATGTCTCATTCCTTAGATTCACCTGCTGTGGGATTTTGCACTTCTCATCTCCCAAACCTGTGCTCTGCAGGGTAGAAGGTCCTGGATTCTAAAGGAAGGTACTCTTAAATCAGGACAAATGAGAGCCTACTGAAGAACACATTACTATTGCCCCCAGAGAGATTTGGACAGTATGTGCCCAGAGACCAGCAAGTGAGGAGTCCCCTCCTCTCCAGGCACAGGTAATAGATCCTAATCTCCAGGAGGAGGTTGGGCTGCTGTCACAATGAGGGCAGGAGGAATGTGTGTGGAACCCAGTGATCCACTTGAGGGGTCTCCTGGTTCCCCTTGTCCCATTGTAAGTGTTAGTGGAATTGTCCAGCAACCAATCCTGAGGGAATTTGATTTCCAAGGGCCCAGAAACCTCAGGAAGGAAAATTTGAACCATGCTCCCAGATAATCTCCCAAGGCCCTGCTCCTGTGCTCTGACATCCTCAGCAGCATTGGTGCAGACACCCTGCTTTCCATGGGCTGTTCCCAACCAGTGATGGGTGACAAGAGGGACACTAAGGGAGGCCCATGTCTGGAAGACAAGGGCCAACTGTGACGAGAGGACTCCTCTATGGCCTTGCTCAACTCTCCTTAGATTGCCTATGGTCTAGGATGTGTCCAACAAACCTCCTCTCCTGTCCCTCACTTGGGGGTCACGCTTGCATCTCAGTCTGCTGTCTCTCCCAAGGTTTCCTGGATCTTTTCCCATATTTTCTGGCAGGTGAGTCCTCTAATAAAATACTGCAACTTTAATCTCATGTCATCTGCTTCTTGGAGAACATGGACCAACAAAATCATTTCCATTTACACACCAGTGACCTCTTACTTTTCCAGTTTGTAAAATCCTTTTTTTTATCCAACTTCTTCCACCTGCCCCAGTTTTGCTAGTATTTGTGTTGTTTTCTTTGAGTAAATTGATGTTCACTGTTTTAAGTCACTAAGTCTTGGGGTAGTTTGTTACACAGCAACAGATAGCTAATAAACCTCTCTTATGTTTCGATTATTCCATAGTGGTTATCTACATCTGATTTATTTCCTTCTATTTTTATAATATTATCCATACATAATGTTTCCCGTTTCTCTCCACCTATTCTCTTCTTGATTTTTCTTTTCCTTCCCACCATTTTTTCCTACTTCTCATGAAATATTCCTAACATATAAAATAACCCTATGTGGTTATGATATAAGGAAGCATTTTCTGAATCTGTATGTTAAAAGTTTAATGCCACAGTGTATGGGATACAAGTAAAGAACAGGAAGTTATTAACAGAGTCTGAGTAAAAAGTGCCTGGTGTAATTCTGCGGCCAAGACAGTGACTTTGAACTCTTACAGGCTGATGCAAAAATAATTGCAGTTTTTGCCATTACAATAATTCTTACCAAGAACTATTCACATTGGACCAAAGCCAATTGTAATGATCCATGTGATGGAGAGAGCCAGAATGCTATGAAAGTGGCCTTGACCAGAAATAGGTCATTTGATCCTTGGCTCATTGACATCTCCATAGATTTTTGGTGTACAATGTTCGGTCTGATGTGCAAGGTAATTCCATCTTGCAAAGGATTCGATGTTACATTCTACCACACACACACCTGAATTAAACTTTTACAGAATTGGAAATGCACATTACTGATCAAAATAAATTAAACAGGAAAAAATTATATAGGAATAACCAGTGATAGAATAGCAAATAGGAATGGAAAACACAATAGGATTGCTTAAAAAATACTGTAGAAGTACAGAATAGCAGTGCTATTTAGAATCATAGTGATGTCCAAATCATGTCTACCACGTCTCATTAAAAACCAGAGCGAAAGATGTCAAGTTTATTATGGAATGCCCACCCAGTAGCCAGTTTTTGGAAAATCTTGTTCCTAAGTTGGAGCTAAGCATTTTGGGCTACTGTATCCAACCAAAGTTACTGACATTATGCTAAGCTAGATGTGTTGGCTGAGGTATGAGATTCACATTTTTTCTACCTTAAAAGCAATCTGATTTGGCAAATATTTTTAAAGATGATATTTGAATGAGAAAATTGGCATTTGGGACATTCTTAAACTAAATTTGAGACATCTTAGGCAAAACAAATACTTATTTTTAAGGCACTATTGTTATGGCACTGAAGTCTTGGAACTATTTGATCTAGTTACTGTAAGTTCTCAGCTGTGTTGCAACTCATTAAAGAGAATATTGTTATTAAAGGTATTTGCAAGAAAAACTTAGAGATACTATAGTATCTCCTTTCTCTGTCTCAAACTTTTTTCCCCTCAATACCCAAGGCTCTGTGATGTCTCAAATTTTAATCATTACTTTAAAAAGAGAAGTTTAAAGCATTAAAGAATTATAATCAGATGAAAGCAGCTTTGGATTTATAAAATTCTGAAACAATAATTTTAATTTTGCTTTTAACATATATGCAAATTCTTTGATACTCTCCACTTTGCAGAGGTGCAGGTTCATTCCCTCCCTGTGAGTGTGGCCTGGACTTAATGATTCACTTCTATCTGATGGAGTGACTGTTGGTGTAGAACAAAAAACTTACCGTAGCTTCTACCTTTGCTCTCTCTGTCTCTGGGATCATGAACTCTGGGGGAAGCCAGCTGCTGTGTCATAAGCAGACCTGTGGAAAGGTCCATGTGGCTAGGACCGAGGCCTCCCGGGACCAGACAACAAGGAACTGAGGCCTTTTCCAATAGCCATGTGAGTGAGCCATTTTTCATGCAAATCCCCAGCCCAGTTGAGCCCTCAGATGATGCAGCCCTGGCTGACAACTGGACTGCAACCTTGTGAGAGGCCCTGAGCCAGAAACACTCAGGGAAACCTCTCCTGGATTCCTGAGCATTGGAAACTGTGGGAGATGATAAATATTTGTTGCTTTGAGCTGTTACATTTTCAGTAATTTGTAATGTAACAGTAAAAAAAAATACAGCTTCACAAGAGAGGATGAATAGTTGCACTTTAATTTTCATTTGCTCTAAATTTATTAGTGTTATTGTTATCATCATTATTATTGAGACAGGGTCTTGCTCTGTCACTCAGGCTGCAGTGCTGTGGCAGGAGGACAGCTCACTGCAGCCTCGACCTCCTAGGCTCATGTGATCTTCCCACCTCAGCTGTCTGAGTAGCTGGGAGTACAGACATGCACCACCATGCCTGGCTAAAATTTTTGTATTTTTGGTAGAGACAAGGGTTTTGCCATGCTGCCTAGGCTGATCTCGAACTCATGAAATCAAGCTCTCTGCCTGACTCCACCTCCAAAAGTGCTGGGATTACAGGCATGAGCCACCACCACACCCAACCTAAATTAATTATAAAATATTAAACATGTCATTTGGTTTTAAGAGGTAAGAGGAATTTCCATGGCTAAATAGGATGTATTTTATTATCATTCACAATTATTGCTTTATTTGAACTTCAATTTCCACCTGTGTCCCAATTAAACTCAAAAGAAAGACCCAAGCCTTGCTAGGCTGATTCTATCATCCCCCCCATGATAGACGTGTAACCTTGGTCATTCACCTGACCCCAGTTATTCAACCAACAATAATGTAAGTCCTGCCTTGAAGGGATTTTTGCATATATAATTAAGGTCCTAAATCAATTGACTTTAAGACAGGGATTATCCCTGGTCGGGCTGTCCTCATCTGGCGAGCCCCTGAAAGGACTGGGTTCTTCCTGATCAGAGAGATTCACAGTGTGAGAGGGATTCAGTGTGAGGGGGTTCCTCCAATGTGGATTCTAAAAATGAAGGGGCTGTGTGGCAAAGAATGCTGGTGGGCACCAGGAATTGAGAGCAGCCTCTCTCTACCTTGACAGTAGGCAAGGAACAGGAACCTTAGTCCTACAACTGGCAGAAACTGAATTCTGTCGCCTCTGTATAAGCCTGAAGGAGGCCCTCAAAATGAAAACACAGTTTTGGGAAACCCTAAACAGAGAACCCTCCAATCATGCTCAGATTTCTGACTAAGGAACTGTAAATAAATAAATAAGTGTTGTTTGGTCAAGCGTGGTAGCTCATGCCTGTAATCCTAAGGTTTGTGGGAATGACACAGGAGGATTACTTGCAGCCAGGAGTGAGACTAGCCTGGGCAATTTGAGGAGACCTTCCTCTCTACAAAAAGGAATTTTTTTTTTTTTAATTTACCTGAGCACGGTGGTACTTGCCTGTAGTCCCAGGTACTCCAGACACTGAGGCAGGGGGACCTCTAGAGGCCAGGAGTTTGAGGTTGCAGGGAACCATGATCATGCAACTGCACTTCACCGTGGATAACAGAGGGAGACCATGTCTCTAAAAATAAATAAATAAATACAATAAATGGGTGTTGTTTAAAGCCAGTGTTTGTGGTAATTTGTTATGCAGTCATACAAAAGTCATACACAGACTCAACAGACACATGGAATGAATTTATAAATTGATAAGCACACTACATGAGTAAAATAAAATATTTCCTTTTTCCAGTATTTTTCATTTTATAATATTCCATGATGCGATTAAATTTTTATACAATCATATTTCATTCAACTAGTCAACAAAAATTAATTTAGTGCCTATGCTGAACCAGGTATGCCCTCATATGCTCAAGTGCCTGACATTCTAGAAGCTTCACAAGACCGAAGTGGAGCCACTGGAGTGTTTTAGGTGAAGAAACGACACACTTTGACTCACAGTAGCAGGACCACTGTGGAGAGAACACTCAGGTGGCAGGTAATGGAACAGTGCTAGAGCCACTATTCAGGAGTGACAGAGTGGTGGGGACTAAGGGAAGAGGAGGGCCTGAGGGATGAGAGGGACGGAGGGAAGGGCTGGAGAAGCAGGAGGTGAGGAGAAGGAGCAGAGGGACAGAATTTGAAAGCAGCAGAATTCTTAGCTTTAAACACATTGTTTTATAAATTTTTAATACATCCATCTACAGAGCCTAGCAGGGTGTTCCTTGCATTTGGCCTTTAACACCTTATGTGGGACTGCCTAAAAATTAATTGCTTTTTCTGCTTTTTTTCAGGTTTAAAAAAATACTAAGTGTTCCAATAAAACATGCACACCACTTAGATGCGGATACTTCCTAAAAACAGGAAGTGCATGAGCACTGGTGAGGGGCATTGTGACTGCGTTGAACACTTGCAACTTTGAGGTGAATGAATGTATTGGCTCCTGGTTGCAATATACAATCACACGTTGTGCTACTTTGTATTGTCAGGAGATGTCCTGGACTCCCACAGAAACTCAGGGCTATGGAATGAAGGTAATTTTAGAATACAACAAGAGTCACAGATACATAGTCTGGGAAAGCAAAACTTAGGAGCTCTGAGAGTTGTACAACTGTAATGCATTTAGACACATTTATATATCAAGGGGCCAAAGTAACAGTTTTTACACATAAGATTCCTGATTGGTCGGGCGCGGTGGCTCATGCCTGTAATTGCAGCACTTTGGGAGGCCGAGGCGGGAGGATCACGAGGTCAGGAGATCGAGACCATCCTGGCTAACACGGTGAAACCCGTCTCTACAAAAAAATTAGCCGGGCGTGGTGGCGGGCATCTGTAGTCTCAGCTACTCGGGAGGCTGAAGCAGAAGAATGGCGTGAACCCGGGACGCAGAGCTTGCAGTGAGCCGAGATCGCGCCACTGCACTCCAGCCTGGGCGGCAGAGAGAGACTCCGTCTCAAAAAAAAAAAAAAAAAAAAAAGGTTCCTGATAATTCAGGGGTTACCAAGATTCTACTACTCACTGCAGCTAATAAAAAAAAAAAAAGAAAGAAAGAAACTGGTCTCTGTCCTATTTCATATGCTCAGGTACAACTTTTCCAGAGAAGAAGAGGAGGGGGGCGGGGAGGAGCAGGAGGAGGAGGAAAGAAGGAGGAGAAGGAGAAGGAGAAGAAGAGGAAGAGGAAGAGGAAGAAGAAGAAGAAGAAGAAGAAGAAGAAGAAGAAGAGGAAGAGGAAGAGGAAGAGGAAGAAGAAGAAGAAGAAGAAGAAGAAGAAGAAGAAGAAGAAGAAGAAGAAGAAGAAGAAGAAGAAGAAGAAGAAGAAGAGGAAGAAGAGGAAGAAGAAGAAACTGTCTCTAGACCTTCATTCTCAGGACAAGTTCATTGTCTGGCACCAAGCTCCTTGGGGTGAATTTTCTTCCAAAAGAGTCCGGGGAGTCCAGGTATGGAATGGGAGGCAGAAAGTTCAATCAAGGGACTGGGATTTCGGAATGAATAATGAAGGGAGATGGACTGGGTCCATGCCGAAGGTTTCTCCCTGGTTTCTCAGCCCCCGGGCGAAGACTCAGGGAGACATTGAGACACACCCTGCACAGGAGGGGGAGGGGGAGGGGGAGGGCAAAGTCCCAGGGCCCCAGGAGTGGCTCTCAAGGGCTCAGGCCCCGAGGCGGTGTCTGGGGTTGGAAGGCTCAGTATTGAGAATTCCCCATCTCCCCAGAGTTTCTCTTTCTCTCCCAACCCGTGTCAGGTCCTTCATCCTGGATACTCATAACGCGGCCCCATTTCTCACTCCCATTGGGCGTCGCGTTTCTAGAGAAGCCAATCAGTGTCGCCGCAGTTCCCAGGTTCTAAAGTCCCACGCACCCCGCGGGACTCATATTTTTCCCAGACGCGGAGGTTGGGGTCATGGCGCCCCGAAGCCTCCTCCTGCTGCTCTCAGGGGCCCTGGCCCTGACCGATACTTGGGCGGGTGAGTGCGGGGTCCAGAGAGAAACGGCCTCTGTGGGGAGGAGTGAGGGGCCCGCCCGGTGGGGGCGCAGGACTCAGGGAGCCGCGCCCGGAGGAGGGTCTGGCGGGTCTCAGCCCCTCCTCGCCCCCAGGCTCCCACTCCTTGAGGTATTTCAGCACCGCTGTGTCGCGGCCCGGCCGCGGGGAGCCCCGCTACATCGCCGTGGAGTACGTAGACGACACGCAATTCCTGCGGTTCGACAGCGACGCCGCGATTCCGAGGATGGAGCCGCGGGAGCCGTGGGTGGAGCAAGAGGGGCCGCAGTATTGGGAGTGGACCACAGGGTACGCCAAGGCCAACGCACAGACTGACCGAGTGGCCCTGAGGAACCTGCTCCGCCGCTACAACCAGAGCGAGGCTGGTGAGTGAACCCGGCCGGGGGCGCAGGTCACGACCACCCCCCATCCGCCACGGACCGCCCGGGTCCCCCCGAGTCTCCGGATCCGAAATCTACCCCGAGGCAGCGGGACCCGCCCAGACCCTCCACCCGGGAGAGTCCCAGGCGCCTTTACCGAGGTTCATTTTCAGTTTAGGCCAAAATCCCCGCGGGTTGGGCGGGGAGGGGGCGGGGCTAGCTGGGCGGGGCTGACTGCGGGGACCGGCTAGGGTCTCACACCCTCCAGGGAATGAATGGCTGCGACATGGGGCCCGACGGACGCCTCCTCCGCGGGTATCACCAGCACGCGTACGACGGCAAGGATTACATCTCCCTGAACGAGGACCTGCGCTCCTGGACCGCGGCGGACACCGTGGCTCAGATCACCCAGCGCTTCTATGAGGCAGAGGAATATGCAGAGGAGTTCAGGACCTACCTGGAGGGCGAGTGCCTGGAGTTGCTCCGCAGATACTTGGAGAATGGGAAGGAGACGCTACAGCGCGCAGGTACCAGGGGCCATGGGCGCCTTCCCTATCTCCTGTAGATCTCTTGGGATGGCCTCGCACAAGGTTGGGAGGAAAGTGGGCCCAATGCTAGGATATCGCCCTCCCTCTAGTCCTGAGTAGGAAGAATCTTCCTGGCTTTCGAGATCCGGTACCAGAGAGTGACTGTGAGAGTCCGCCCTGCTCTCTGGGACAATTAAGGGATGAAATCTCTGAGGGAATGGAGGGAAGACAGTCCCTGGAATACCGATCCGCGGTCCCCTTTGAGCCCTCCAACAGCCTTGGGCCCCGTGACTTTTCTCTCAAGTTTTGTTCTCTGCCTCACACTCAATGTGTTTGGGGCTCTGATTCCAGTCCCTCGGCCTCCACTTAGGTCAGGGCCAGAAGTCCCTGCTCCCCACTCAGAGACTCGAACTTTCCAAGGAATAGGAGATTTTCCCAGGTGTCTGTGTCCAGGCTGGTGTCTGGGTTCTGTGCTCCCTTCCCCACCCCAGGTGTCCTGTCCATTCTCAGGTTGGTCACATGGGTGCTGCTGGGGTTTCCCATGAGGAGTGCAAAGTGCCTGAATTTTCTGACTCTTCTCAGATCCTCCAAAGGCACACGTTGCCCACCACCCCATCTCTGACCATGAGGCCACCCTGAGGTGCTGGGCCCTGGGCTTCTACCCTGCGGAGATCACGCTGACCTGGCAGCGGGATGGGGAGGAACAGACCCAGGACACAGAGCTTGTGGAGACCAGGCCTGCAGGGGATGGAACCTTCCAGAAGTGGGCCGCTGTGGTGGTGCCTTCTGGAGAGGAACAGAGATACACATGCCATGTGCAGCACGAGGGGCTGCCCCAGCCCCTCATCCTGAGATGGGGTAAGGAGGGAGATGGGTAAAGAGGGGAACGAGGGGTCATGTCTTTTCTCAGGGAAAGCAGGAGCCCTTCTGGAGCTCTTCAGCAGGGTCAGGGCTGAGGCCTGGAGATCAGGGCCCCTCACCTTCCCTTCCTTTCCCAGAGCAGTCTCCCCAGCCCACCATCCCCATCGTGGGCATCGTTGCTGGCCTTGTTGTCCTTGGAGCTGTGGTCACTGGAGCTGTGGTCGCTGCTGTGATGTGGAGGAAGAAGAGCTCAGGTAGGAAGGGGTGAGGAGTGGAGTCTGAGTTTTCTTGTCCCACTGGGGGTTGCAAGCCCCAAGTAGAAGTGTGCCCTGCCTCATTACTGGGAAG
The DNA here is from genome assembly GCF_000001405.40 of Homo sapiens. Classification (NCBI taxonomy): domain Eukaryota; kingdom Metazoa; phylum Chordata; class Mammalia; order Primates; family Hominidae; genus Homo; species Homo sapiens. The sequence continues at coordinate 988,384 of NT_167247.2, forward strand.
CACCATCCACACTCATGGGTCTACCCAGCCTGGGCCCTGTGTGCCAGCACCTACTCATTTGTAAAGCTCCTGTGAAAATGAAGGACAGATTCTTCACTTCGATGATTATGGTGGTGATGGGACCTGATCCCAGCAGTCACAAATCACAGGGGAAGGTCCCTGCTGATGACAGACCTCAGGAGGGCAGTTGGTCCAGGACCCACATCTGCTTTCTTCATATTTCTTGATCCTGCCCTGGATCTACAGTTACACTTTTCTGGAAACTTCTCTGGGATCAAAGAC